>NC_000001.11:109856865-110159895 GCF_000001405.40 Homo sapiens | reverse complement strand
AATGAGTGCATAAATGAATTGATCCATTTTTGAACACCCCAAAGTTCCTGGAGTCCGATGTGTTTTTCCAACTTCTAGTTTTTTCCATTTTCTGATGCAATATTCTGATGCCAAGACCATATCATGCCCCAAGGATGCCCCAAGTGACAGTTTGAAAGCCAGGATACACTAAGAAGCCTGGCCATCCCTTTGTGACTTTTGGCCACTTTCAAAAGAGCCAGTATTTGTGCTGTACCTTCCCTACTTTGTAGACAGAATCCATCCTCACCTCAGGGAAATCATCTTTGGGTGGGCACAGTCCTGACACACAGCATGGCTTGGGACTTGTGGGACCATTCCAAACAAGAAATCCAGCTGAGGAGCCAGTGGCAACTTCTGCAGCCCTTTCTTACTTTCCTGTTGCATTTGCTGAGTCTGTTCTCTTGAGTCAATATCTTGTTTTCTTTGTCAAGAAGGAAGGGAAGCAGGAAAGGGGGCAGATGGTCCAGAGGGGGAGGAACTGGCACTGAAAAATGTGGGTGTGGCCAGTGCAAACAGATCTTGTGGTTCCATTTTACCATCTCACGTGGGAGAACGCATGCTCTGTGTGCATGTAAACAAGGGCAGCCCCAGAAAGCACCCCCCCAACCCATGCATTCTCTCTTTACTAGAATTCAGGTGCTGAGGGATCCACTGGGGGAACTTCTGAAGGCAGAGTGGGGTGTAGTAATAATAACAATGACAACACAGCACATAGGCCATAATTCTTGAGTCCCATCTCTGTGGCAACCACCATGCTGAGCACCAAACAGATATTAGCTCCTTTAATCCCGCCAGTAATTATATCAGGTAGATACCACTGTTACTCCCATTTTACAAATGAAGACATGGAAGCTGAGAGGGATAATTACCTATATTTCATTGAATCTAGGATCCTTTGATGCTGGCACTTTCTTGAACTTACCAGAAAGGGTTCATCAAAGTTTCCCACCCAACTAGGGTGAGCTGCCATAGACCCACAGCCATTTTGAAACAGCTATTGATTGCATGTCATGTCCTGATTTTAAGATGTGGCAATGTGCAAAAATACACATTTTGGAATTGATGAAATAAGGCAAGTCATCCAAAGCCCCTGGATCTGCACTGACAGACTGACCCTGGAGCCTGACTCTCAACCTCAATGCTATCATGGGTTTTAGAGCCAGGAAAACCTAAAGTCCTGCTCTGCCATTTATGAGATGTTGGTCTTTGGGAAAGTACATAACCCCTCTTGGTTTTACCTTCTAGACCTGAAAAGATAGGGATGAAGGATGCTACACCTCGTAGGGTTGTCATGAGTATAAAATGAGGTAACAAAAGAGTTATGCTCAACTCAGGCCAGGCCCTCAGGGGCATGCCATCAACCAGTGCCAGCTACCACCTTCATGTGAGAACATGTGGGAAATGGGCTTAGCCAGGAATCAAGGCATACTCACCCACATCCCACAACGCCCTGGAGCTGGGTGGGACATGCACGTGCAAGCCCAAGGACACAGTGGGCTGACAGGGGATACTGGGGCTCAGTTCTCCGACTTCTACTCCCCTTTTGGCCTGGAAGGAGAATAGAGCCCAGCGACTTCTATGAACTAGAGGTACTGCTGAAATATGGGATTTTAAAATATGGCATTTAAAATATTTTTAAATCTCTTTCCCTCCTTCTTTTCCTTTACTTCTTTCAACAAATATTTGCTGAACATTATGTTCTAGGCCCTGTTCTAGTACAACAGAGAACAGAGCAAATAATGTCCCTGCTCCATTGGATTTATTTCTAGTGCAGAGGGACAAATAGAAATCAGACAAATATATAATTTATAGTGTACATATAAACATACACTATATCTGATAGTATATATATCAAATAAACACATACAATATAGAGTATGAGGGGATGGAGCACAGCAGGGATGCTACAACAGAGATGGGGGTAAGGACGTATGCTCCGATAAGGTGACATAAAGACTTCAACGGAGTGAGAGAGTGGGCCATGTGGATGTCCTGGGAAAGCATTCAGAGCAGAGGGAACAGAAAGTGCAAATGTCCTGAGGCAGGACCTGCATGCCTGGTGAGTACAAGGAACAGACAGACGGCCATGTGCCTAGAGCACCCTGAACAATGGAAGAGTGGGAGGTGCTGGGCTAGGAAGACAGTGAGTGTCCAGAACAGGCAGGACTCAAGGAGCATGGAAAGGAGTTGGGGTTTTCTTTCAAGGCTAATGGGAAGCTGTTGGAGGTTTTCAAGCAGAGGAGTAATGTGACCTGACTATTTTTATTTTTATTTTATTTTATTTTTATTTATTTATTTTTTTGAGATGGAGTCTTGCTTTGTCGCCCAGGCTGGAGTGCAGTGGCGCAATCTCGGCTCACTGCAACCTCCACCTCCCGGGTTCAAGAGATTCTCCTGCCTCAGCCTCCTGAGTAGCTGGGATTACAGGCGCATGCCAGCACACCCGGCTAATTTTTGTATTTTTAGTAGAGACAGGGTTTCACCATGTTGGCAAGGATGGTCTGGATCTCCTGACCTCGTGATTTACCTCCCTCGGCCTCCCAAAATGCTGGGATTACAGGTGTCAGCCACCACACCTGGCCTGACCTGACTGTTTTTATAGGGATCAATGGCTGCTGGTAGGACAAGTGAAGAAACAGGGAGGGTAGGTAAGCGATGATGGTGATATGGATCAGGCTGTTGGATGAGACTTGAGATTTGAAGAGAAAGGGAAATGAGGACGTGAGGTGCTGAAGGGCACACCAGGTCTCAGACAGATAAAGGACCTGTGAGAGTATACCAATTTGGAAAAAGAAAAATTTTACAAACCAGATGTGCAAATAAAAGTCCAGGAATAACTAGTGAAAGCCTCATTCCCTTCTTTCCTCATTCATGGGGGGACCACCATGGGGACAGATGAGTCCTCACAGCATCTGCCAAAATAATCTGACCTGGATTTTCTTAAAACCACTATTTTCTGTTGTCTTAGAAAGAGACAGAGGGAACCAAGGGTGTTCAATTACCTGAGTTACCAAACGGACTGCTGAAGAGCTCTTGAAGGAATAGTGATCAGAAACCCTTAATTACAGTCCCAACATGATGTCTCTTTCCTGAAAATGAGAAGGGTTTGTGTCTCTTTTCTCATCAGCCTCCAGTGCAGCTTTGTAGAGGGCTGGGCAGAAAAGCATCCTATTGGGACAAGCCACAGGTGACCCACTGTGCTTACATGTGTTATTTATCCTCCCAACAACTTACGATAAAATACAATTCTTATCTTCAAGACAAAGAAGCCTCTATCATGTACAAGATTACCCAGCCATAAAATGGAAGAGCGGGGATTCAGACTGTCATCTACCAAACTGTAGCTATATTCTTTTTGACATACTGGTATGTTCCAATCTTTTGCATGTCATGACACAGAAAATAACACTATCATGGCACACTGGGGTACACGGAGGAGGCGCCACCATGCTAGGCCATCCCAGGCTACTCCAAGGGATGAGGGCATCATTATTTCTGGGCCACATGCTACCCATCTGTGGCACTGGTTGGGAAGTTCTGCAGTGCACCATGCAGCCTTGCAAAATGATACATTCAGGAAGTCAACAGTGGACTGAGCTCATCTACCACCATTTCTCCCAGAGAGCAGGATCTTCCTCACTTGACCAAGTTCTCTTCCAAAACTCACAATATAAAGCAATTTGGGGAACTGGTCAAGGAGATTCCTTTCAGCTGTTATGTGGAGTCCCAAATTACTAGCAGGCAGATGGCCCCAGTGGTGTGGCAGGACCATGGACAGCGCCCACCGGGCTATTCTGCGAGCCAGCCCCAGGTTGCGCAGTACAGAACATCTGCTCTCCTTCCTTTAGACCTGGGCAAAGGAAGGGAGACCCATGTCCTCAATGAATACTCACTTGGCAGTACATTCTGGAACCACCCTATCGAGTGACTATTCATTCCTCTTGCAAGGTAGTTTTAGCAAACATTGCTTCTGCTCCATTTAGAGCTGGTGTGGGATTTAAAGCCTCAGGAACCCAGGAGTCTTATAATTAAAGAAAAATGTAACTGGCAGAATTTTGGGGTGTGGACCAGTGAATTCCACTTGCAAGCAAAATAGAAGGTGGTAAATTGGTGGGATGCAGAATCCAGCAGAAATTCTAATTGAACCACTAATTAGAAATGATGGCGTACAGTGACAGGCAACTTGTTATCTTCAAATAAACTGCTAGGTAGGCTCGGGAAGGCAGAGTGGCAGCTCAGTGGGACAACTGCAGCTAATGAGGTGACCCCAGGGCCTGTGAGCTGGGGTACTCACTCCTCTGCTCTATATGTGCCTCACTCCCACTCCACAAGAGGACATAGACTGGACAGGGCTTTGTGCCTCAACTCCCTAGTTAGGGACTCAGGCAGCCTAGAACTCACCTGACCCAGAATTATTCTCTAACAAAACATACCTGGTTCTGAACATGAGAGTAAGTGTATACAGTAATTCATATTGCATCTGAGCTTATGTTCTTACATGTGAATTTTCTGTACATATTGAACGTCTAACTATGTATTTTTTAAAAAAAACTGGATTTGCCCATAAATGAGCAATGTTTTAAGAATCACTCATGGGAGGAGGAGAAGGAAGAGAAAGAGAATTATCAAAGGACTTATCTCCACAAAATGGCTGCCTATGAAGCAAGGGTTTCTGGGAAGTCCTTTTCGTCCACTGCCAGTGAGGAGCATTAATACTTACATTCAGTTATCCACCTTCAGGAACTTCCCCACTGAGATCTCAGGTGGTTTGGAGATGATGGGCAGGCTAGGACAGCATGGGCCTGTTCTGGGGATGGCGATTTTTCAGAGAAAGAGAAGAGACAGAGAAGCTGGAGGAATCAGGTGCCATGTTTCCCAGAACGGCCACGGACACGTGTGGCAGAGTTTTGGAGTGAGGAGAAAGTGGGCTCTCTGTGGGAAAAGACCAGGAAGAAGCAAGTGGAATCTCCCCAAGCAGCCCTGCCAGCAGCTGCTGTAAATAACCTTGAAGTGTTAGTAGTTTTCTCTGGGGTCTGGGGCCTCACCAGAAACTGCTACAAATCCCTGGCATACACTCTTCAGCAGAGAAATCTGACCCACCAAGCTCCCATCAGCAAGTGGCCGTCCTTGATTCTGCATATGCAGAAATTCTCAGGGCAACATCCACCGGCTCTGACTCCTCTCACTGCTCTACACACGAACCCCTAGCTTAGACAGATTTTAAGGGAATGAGGTCAAGGGCAGTAGAGGTCAGGAAGAGAAGGGCAGGGAAAGGACAAGAAAGCACCAAGATGAAGCCTGGGATCTTTTTCTGTATTTCAACCCACCTGGAGCCAAATACCATGTTCCCCAAACCTTGGACGTTTGGTTATGTTTGTTTTCCACCAATTTCCAATTAGTACAGGCCGATTTCCCCTTTTCCCGGGGCACTAACTTAAAAAAACTGGACCCACAGCTCTAGACAATCTTGTTTGGGTAAATGCCTAGGTTGTCAGCATTTATTAAGAATGTATTGCGGAAAAGTATCACATAGAGGTTAGGAACATGAAGTTTGGACTGATAGAGTTCCAATTCTCTAGTTGCCACTCACCTGTGTGACCTTGAACAAATTATTTAACCTCTCTGAACCTTAAATTTTACAATCTGTAAACTGGAGATAGCAATATCTGTCTCCTGGGATTGTGGTGAAGATTAAATGAGATGGTCTGGGAATAAAGCACTTAGCACAGCACAGAAGCCTCAATAAGCAACTGGATATTATCAATTTGTGCCAAGCACAGTGTGAGCCACTGGAATCCAGAACAGCACTCACCCCTCCTAAAAGCATGCAAAGTAGGCATTTCCTTACATATCACTGCCCCACTTGAGTTTGGGATACTGCTCTAGCAATCACATCTACCTATGGCTCTGTGCTTCTGACCTCTGGCAGCCAGCAACATCATTCAGGGGAGGGAAACACAGGGGCTGAGGTGACAGGTTTTTTTTCCCCCATCCTGGTGCTCCAGATGTTTGGCTGTGAGGACTTCTTGTAGCTCAGCCTGGGAGCAAGTGATAACTCAGAGCTAGTTCTAGCAAAAAAGCTTAAATCCATCTTCCCCTTAAACTATTCTGCTGCTTATCTTAGCAGCTTTAAAGGGATTAATGATGAATTGTCCTGCTGCAGCAAACCTGGACAGAAAAGGAGTATAAAGGAAGGGAGGGTACACAGGCAGAAGGAACCTGTTTCTCTGGAATCTTCTCATCTCTGTTTCTGCCATCCTTGGAATTTGCTCCTGGATCCAATGGGGAGGGCATTGGCTACAGAATGAATGGTGAATGCAATGCACACACACACACACACACACACACACACACATTTCCAGTAGCAGATTGGAGTCCCCTGAGCCAGCATGGCTTCTTTCTTGCTGCACTGGGGATCCCCTTATTTCCTTCACTCTTAAGGCACACACATCTTAGCTCAGCACCAAATCTGGACATTTTATAGACGGAGAAAACTAGGGGCCCAGGGTCCTTCAGGAAAACAGGAATCACACACCTCACTTTCCTTTCCAGGAGAGGCCAGTCTCAGCTCTCCTGAACAGTTCTCTTGTAACTTTCAATTCTATTATGGATAGAATGGGTGGGGAGGAGGATGGTAAGACCTGAACAAAGAGAAGTGACCCCTGAAGTCCACCCAGCACGTGCTGCAGCTTGGGACCAGGCTACAGTCAGAAACAACCCCAAGGAGTCAAGGTCTGTGGTGCTGGAGTCACCCCAGAGCTGTTGCAGGTGGCCAAGGGCAGCCAGCAGACCCAGCACAGCTGAACCCCACCCCTACCCCAACACTAATCCTGCTCTTAAGCAGGCTTCCCAATTTAGGGTCTCATGGGGAGACTTGAGGGTTGGAAACAGGTCTATGTGAAGCTGAGTTACAGGTCCTTCTTAATCACATGGGAAGCACCGAACCTTCATGTGTCCCCACAACCCCTTTCATGATGGAGCAGAAGCAATGAGAGAAAGAATTGCCTCTGGTTAAGGCCCATAAGGGAAGGGATGGGGAACTAACATCTAATGAGCACCTGCTGTGTCTAGCACCTGGCTCAAAATAAGCCTGCAGAAATAATATCATAGGCATCCCTGTTTTACAACTGAGGAAACTCTGAGACTCCCGAGGTGAATTGACTTGCCCAAGGTCACCCCACTGGCACATGGCAGAACACTGGGCCCAGTTCTGACCACAATCACAGAGCCTTTCCTTACCCTCCCCTTCACCTCTCCCCATCTCCCTGCCCAGCCCAGCCTGGCCCTGCTCACCTTCCCAAGGAGTCAGAGCTCCAGGACCCTTGCTCAACAGCCAGAGCTCTGCTTAGCTCCTTCAGAGGACTTGCCCACCTCTGCCCAAAACACTTGGGCTCAGGCCATTCCTGCTCACGAGTCCTGCTAAAGAACTCCAATCAACTCACAAACAGCTGACACACGACTCTGTGTGTGACTCAGGCCAAACAAACTCACTCCAATCAGAGCTGGTGGGCACCATTTGCCTCCTGCACTGAGTCACCCTCCAGGCTGAGCTTCAGGGATTCGCTGAAACTCAACCACCTACTTAGCCACAGATGTTCCATTGGAGAAAAATCCGGCAGTGGAGCTAAAGCCTCTGACGGTCCTCGTGGATGAGCCATGGCCAAGGACAATCAGGTGTGACCTCAAAGCTCTTCCTGCCCAGGTGATGGGTCCGCCTCACAGAGCCATGGGATAATGTAAGCACAGAACGAGACACAAGAACTCCCCACTGTTAACCTCAACACACTCTGACCTTGTTCTCCAGACATCAGTGAGCGTGTCCAGCAAGGCCTTAACAGTTAGGCGCTAACTAAAGTTTTGGCCGAATTTTTTTGGAGCCATTACAGGATTGTCTTTGTTCCTGAAGTTCCTGTTAACAAGGACAATGCCCGGAAAAGAATCTTCCTCCTCATTACCACTTCCCTGTCTCCCCAACCCACCCCCATCTGCCTCAAGTTCACAGCTGAATTGCCCAAAGGTAGCTCTGGTTAGAAATCTCGTAATCCAAAAGGCCTGTTAAAGTATTTCTTAAAAAAAAAAAGGAAAGAGGAATGGCATCAAAAAATATTTTCTAAAGCCAACTTGACAGGGCCTAGGTCCTGTAAGGTGAATGGCCTTGGGATTTCTGAATTTGATTTCTGACAGGGCTGTCTGGGCTTTAAAAGGAAACATCACGCTTCTTTCCAAGGCAGCCGCGCCCCTGGGGAGCGGCCCACCCATAGTACTGCGAGCATCCAGCATCGCTTCAGAGCACGGCGCACACAGGCATAAATGCAGCAGAGGCCTCTCGACCCGCCAGGACGGCGCCCCCTCCAGATGGGCACCACACGCACGTCCCCTGTCTCAGCCATTCCGTTCCCCAGATGCGCTTCCCACGAGGGAGGAAGGGCTCTCTGCTAGCTCCGAATCCAGCGAGGACCAGCCCCAGGACTGAGAATTAAATATTCATCTCGGGCGTGACAGTTCTGCTTCGCTTGCCAATGTTACTGTCAAGGTCACAGGCCTGAGGCCGAGCGGCTGGGGCTGGGGTCTCCAGCTGCGTAAGAGGCTCCCAGTGGAACTGCGCCCTGGGCGCGCAGTTTCAAGCCGCGGATGGGCCGGACAGGCCCCCTCCGGTTCTCCGCGGGCGCTTGCCTCCGCAGCTAAGCCCAATTTCCTCCGGAGTTCTTGGGCCCTTCTGAGCACCAGAAGCTGAAGCCCGGTGTCCAACCCGTGCGTACGCCGCTGGGGACCCCGATGCGCGAAGGAGAGCGGGCCCCGGGGCTCCGTCGCCAGGCAACGGCGGCTGGAGCGGCGAGAGGAGCCCGGGACGAGCGCAGGGTCGGGCGGATGCGGGGGCAGCGCCGCCTCACACCTTGGTCCTCAGCCCTCCCTGGCTGGGGCGGGGCCAGAACAGGGAAAGTTGCAGTGGCCGGCCCGGTAAAGCCAGGCGGGGCGCGGCCAGCGACTCACCTGTCACGCGTGGGTAGTCGCGCAGACTCGGCCCGTGCACTCCGGCCGAGCAGCTGCGATCCCCGACGGGTCGCGGACGCACAGCTCCTCCCCCGGGCCACAGGCCCCCGGCTGGGGCTGGGGCGACCCGGAGCTGCGCGCCGGCGCACGCGACTCCGCTCGCTCCTCACTCCCTGCCTCACCACCAGTCCCAACCTGGCTCCCGCCCGCCGCGCGCTCGGGGCTCAGGGGAGCGGCGCGGGGACCCAGGTCCCACGGCGGAGAGAGCGCGCGGGATTGCGAAGACTGGGGCCGAGTGCCGCCCTCCCTGCGCCCTGGCAGCGCCGGCTCTGCGGAGCAGAACGGAGCTGGGCGGAGCGCTGCGCGCACTGTTCCCTCGCTTTCCGAAAGGCCACCCTGGCGGCGGGGCGCCGTGACGCAGGCTTGACTCACGCGCGGGCCGGCGTCAATGCGAGGCTCTCGGGCAGCGAGCGAGGCTCTGATGGCCGACGTAGGCGGAGAGGGTGGGCGTGGGGCGGGAGAGGGAGTTGCAAGGGGGCTTAGCTTCTTGAGGCCCCTGGTCAGGGGATGCAGACCCTGGAGCCCTCGCCAGGGCTTCTGCCCTCGGAGAGGAATGGGGCCCCAATGGTTAAAGCCCTCCTGGACCCTGGGCCTCACTTTCTTCTTTTCAGACTCACCTCTTTTGGCCTTCTTTAATGAACTCAATCTCAATTCATGTGGTTATTTCCCCTGCCCTAGACATTTCCACCTCCGTGCTTCTGTTCCCTTTCCTCTAGATGTCCTTCCACTCCTCCGTCCTTCCATCCTACCATTCTGCAAGGCCGTTCCCTGTGCAGGTCAACTCTTAGGACATCACTCATCTGTTGAGCACCTACTGTATGCCAGGGGCTGCAGAGGCTGAAAGGATCACAGACGTGAGGGAACCTCCTGGAGAGGCAGTGTGGGTTGACCCAGGTCTTTACAGTACAAAGCGAAAGGATTGGAGAACCGTACAAGATGAGTAAAGTGGGGAGACAGTGACAGGGAAATTCTGACTGGTCTCTGAGTAGGCCTCTTGGAAGATCCTGGCCTAAAGGATGGACAGTCAGAAGGGGAGAAGGATGACCCCTGTGGAGTGGACAGCATGGCAAGGGCATAGATGCAAGAGAGTAGAAACGTATGCGTGGGGTGGGGTGGTGGTTGCCTGAGCTGGAGCAGGGGTGGGGATGATGAGAGGTGAAGTTAGACAGGGAGGCAGGAGCCATCCTGCCAGGGCCTTGGGGGGCTGTTATGAGAGTCTGGATGAATTATCTCTCTTCTAGGGAACACTAAGGGGGCCTTTGGCATCCAAGGGAGGTGTTTGGGAGGAATGGGAGATGGAGGTTGTCTTAGTGAAAGGTGGTAAGGGCCATTGTCAAGAACTCTGAAGAGTCTGAGATTTTACACTTACAATCTAAGTTACCCTGCCAGTTTCATGGATGCCATCAGAAGACAGGAAACTCTGGGCCAGACACAAAGGACTTTAATTACTCATGGCACAGCAGGCTGCAAGAGCTTCACATTCAGATCACCTTCCCTTAACTCTGAAGTCCTATGGGTGGGACATGAGACTGGACCACACACACTGAGAAACTCCAAGCTTAGGAAACCTCAATCTTTTATAATGCGCTGCAAGCAAACTTGCCCGACATTTGCCTTAGACATATCTTTATTATACTGGACAGCAAACAGAACTGCTCTCCACTAGAGGGAGACGCTATCGTTGGAGGCTGTTTGCTATGCAACCATCCTCTAAAAGATAATGGGAACAAAAAAGCCATCAGTGCCTCTGCCCACAAGACTTGTGGGAACACAATAAACCCATAGAGAATTATCTCCTGATAGAAAAATTCTTTCAACAATTATTTAGTGAGCCTAATGGTTACTTTACACTGTTCCAGGCCCTAAGGAGACAGCAAAAAATGAGACAGATAATAATCTCTGCCCTTATAGGGTTTACATTCTGGTGGAAGCAACCAGGGAAGCAGATGGGGTGGAGTGGCATGGCAGGAAGTAGCAAGAGACAGGACAGAGATGAACAAATAGAATGTGACAATTGACGTGGTATGGGAGGTGGGAGGAAGGAACCTATCAGAGATAGGCAGTATTAAGGCAAGAGAACTTACAGGTGGTGTGGTCATGGAAAGGGGAAGGACTTTGGAGCCTCATAGATCTAAGTTTTCATCCTGACTGCCATTTACTAGAGACCTTGAGCTAGTGACACAACCTCTCTGAACTTCTGTTTCCGTGTCTGTAAAATGAATGGTACATACCTCATAAGGTTGTTATGATGATCATGAGATGATTGTTCTAAAATATCTGTTATTGGCCAGGCACGGTGGCTCACAGCTGCAATCCCAGCACTTTGGGAGGCCAAGTTGGGAGAATTGCTTAAGCCCAGCGTGGGCAACATAGCAAGTGCTCTTCTCTAAAAAAAAAAAAATAGTAAAATATCTGTTATCATATCTGATAACATGTTCTTAATAAATAACTGTTATTAGGGGTATTACTAGGTGATTGTATTGTTATTAACCAAGATGGGGAATTTAGAAAGAGGAGCAGATTTGGGGAAGAAGGTAAAGAGATAATGGATTTGGGACATATTGAAAATGACATGTCTGTGGGATATCAAGGTGACAACTAGAAGATGCCCTTGCCTCACTGCCTTTTATCACATCTACCCAGTGAAACCCCACCCTTGAATGAACTTAATACCTGGTTTCTTTGTGCCAAGTTCTCTAGACAGAAACACACCACAGACCAGTCTCTGTCTGCCTTCATGGCCACCAACTTCAAGTGGGCTCCTCACACTTCCTAAGGACTTCCCTGTAATTCTCTGGTCAACTTACTTCCCCACTCTGATCAAGGCCATTCCAACCAGAACTCTCCCCAAACACTCATCCTACTTTCCCCCCACGTCATACTTCCCTGCTGTCTCAGGAACTGCCTTACTTCATTTGGAAGACCCCTCGGTTTTCCAACGAGAATTAAACCGTTTCCATCTGCACATACCCTCTTCTCCCTCTTCCCTGGATATGGTAGGGAGAGTCTCTCCTCTGTAGACCAGCCTCCACCTGTCCCCTGGGTCCCATGGCCCCACACCTTCTTGAGAACCTCAGCTACCCATTAGTTAATCCAGTCTCTCCTGTCTGTCTCATTAACTTTCCCTTTCTCTGGATGCTTTTTAGCAGCTCGAGAGCATATGCAAATATCTTCCTTTAAAATGTCACTAGAGTCCATCTCAAAAAAAAATGTCACTAGGCTCTCATCCCTCATTTCTTCATTTTCTGCCTCCATTTCCTCACCCCTACACACTCCTTAACACACTTCTGCCCCATCATGCTGCCAAGAAGGGTCTCACTAAGGTCACCAGTGACTTCTGTGTCACTAAATCCACAGGACATCTTCCAGTCCTCATCTTACTGACCTTTCTGTAATGCTTATTGTGGGTGCCCTCTCCTTCCTTCTGACACTCTCTTCCCTCCCCTTCTGGAATTCTGCGCTCCCAGGTTTTCCTCCTAGCCTTCTGCTCACCCCTCAGTTTCCGTTGCTGATCTTTAAGTGTTGGACGTCTCGCAGCCAAACCCTCTTCTCACTCTGTACCCTTCCTAGACCATCTCCTACACTGATGACTTCTGCATGTCTGTCTCCATTCCAGACAGTCTTCTGAGCTCCACATATTCACCCTCCAACTCCACCTTTCCACTTGGCTCCACAGAGCTACACATGTTGAAGAAATGAACTCAACATTCAAAGATCTACCCTGCAGAACATTCAGCAGTTGGCTTCTTGCTTCTCCTCCTGTGCTCCCTGGCTCTGTGAATAGTTGAGCCAGCCAAAACCCCAATAATCACCCTTGAGACTTCCCCTTTCATAAAATCTATCAGTAAATCCTGGAGATCTTAGTTGCTACATACCTCTGGGATCTGGTCGTTTCTCTTTAATTCTGCTGCCACCACCTCCCGCCCCCAACTGCCTATTCCAAACTATAATAATCACTCACCTGGACTCACAGTCCCCTCTTGACACTAACTCCAGTCTTACTCCCTTCTCTCCACATAGCAGCAAGAGTGATCTTTTAGAAGTACAAATATAATCACAACCTTTTTAAGCTTGCAGAGTTGCACCCACATCTTTAGCATGTCTTTCAGGGACCTTCCCTGTCTCCAGCCTCATCTCACACCCTTCCCCCCATGGACTTCCCTGTAATACACCACCCTTCTTTCAGCTCTTCCTACCCCCCCCACTCCTTCCTGACTCAGACTTTAGCCCATAAGCCCTGACAGGGATCTGCTCAGTCCCCCTTGTTCTCTTCCCTCACTGCCTGCCCACTCGTCCAACAGAGTTCACCATGAACTGGACCCTCTCCTGACCATGGAGAAGAACTGGGTCAACCTCCCAGCTGGACTTTTCTTCTCCTTTTTAGCCCTTGTCACAATTGTAATTAAGTACTGAGGGCATGACTGGTTGCTTAGGGACAGTCTCCTTGGTTGATGTGGAAGCTCCACAGGACAGAGGCCATGCCCAACTTTAACACACAGTAGACTGTCCATAAATAGTTGATGAAATCTGAATAACTAAAAATAATATTGCTAGTCTAAAATCACTCCCATATTGCTTTGATTTGTAAGTTCAACCTTGTTTAAATAAAAAGAAAAACAATGTGAAAAAAAATAGTTGATGAAAGAATACCTAAGGTGTGGTTAGAAATATGAGTAGAAAGTCCAGGAAAGAGGGCAGGAGACACACACTTGGAAGTCATAACCATAAAGGGTTTGGGGGAAGGCGAGACTCTCTTGAGGAAGCACACAGAAGATGGTCATGAGGATAGAGGCTTGGCAGGACATGCTTATTTCTGAGGAGCAGGAGGGGCAGGAAAGAAGACAGAGAAGAGTCAAGAGCTGAGAAGATGACATGTATCACAAAAGAAAGAGAATTGTAAGAAGGAAAGGTAGTTCACAGTGTTGAAATCTGCAGCAAAGTTAAAAAGATGAAGCCTGAGAGGTGTCCTCGATGACAGCACTCATGGGGAGGTGGGCCTGAAGCCACAGGAAGGGGCTGAGATGGAAATGGGAAGAAAGGCCTCCACCATGAAATCTTCCTGAACACTCCAGCTGTCAGTGGCCAACTCTCCTCTGAGCATCTAGAAAACAAATTCTTCCTTTTCTATGGCATATGGAAATACATAAACTTATACAGTGTAATATTATAAGGTCAGTATTATTCAAATTCCCATTTCACTAAAGGGAAAATCAAGGCTTAGTGTGGTTAAATAATCTGTCCAAGCCATACAGTGAGATGCATCCTGGGTCTAAAGTCCTTGTTCTCAATCCCGACCTTTAGGGCTTTATAACATAAGTCTGCCTTCATGTGTCTATGCCTTCCTCTCAAATTAGAGTGTGATTCCTTACAGGGGAGGGATCTTTTCTTCTTCATAGCTTCATGCCGTACAGCCCCAGCACAGTGACTTACATACAGTAGGTGCTCAGTCAAAGCTTACACACTGGGCAACCCTGTCAAACATGGTGGATCCAACACGATGACCTAATCCACTCATCCCAGCACTAGTCCTCCTTGAAAGAGGAGACACGTGTACTGGCTAACCTTTCCTTCCCAGCTATCCCCCATCCACTCAAGCCTGCTTTCCTGAAAAGAAAGGCATTGAAGTGATGTTCCTAATGTTCATCTCCTGCTACATAGCCTCAAAGATACTATTCCCAAATATGTTAAGTAGGAAGATGTAGGAGAACATATTGGCCTTTTCCCAGGACATGGAAACAACCCAAATTGCAATTCACCTAAGTCGTGTTTGTGTTTCTGAGTGTCTTAAACATACAGCTGCTGAGATACACCCTCTCCTTTGTTCTTGGTGGCACAATTATTAGAGTTTCCTCACTGTGTGTGTTTTAAAACATGGCCTCAAAATTCTTTGACAATGCTGTCTTCAAGAAGTGAAGTCTATATTCCCTCCCTTTGAATCTATGCTCTGAGACTATGTAAACAAGATAATTAATATCATGTTTGTTTCTGGACACAGACCATAAGAACACAGTAGCTTCCATTATCTCTGTCTTGGTATGCTTGCTCTTGGAATCCACCTACCATTCTGTGAGGAAGCCCAAGCAGCCTATGGAGAGGCCCATGGGAGAGAAACTGAGGCCCTCAGCCCACAGCCCTGGCTGAGCTCCTGACCTACAACCATCCCCAACCTGCCAGCCATGTGAGTGAGTTATCTTGGAAGCAGCTCCTCCAGCCTCCAGCCAAGCCTCACAGCTGACACTGCATGAAGCAGAACCACTGCCCCTCAGTCCTTCCTAAACGCCTGACCCACAGAAACCACAAGGGAGAAAAAATGACTGTTGTTTTAAGCCACTACACTGTAGGACGAGTTGTTATGCAGCAATAAATAACCAGAACAGCCATGTAATCATTGAATAAGTGTGGAAGTAGCAAGATGACCGGGGACCACTTATCCACCTGCTCCTCCACACCTTTGAGATTTCCCTCACCCAGTAAGCAGTAAGAGGGGCCTCTTCCCATAGCCATCATAAGAACCCCATCCTCCTAGATTGTGTTAGATCAGCAAAGAGGATGAGTAAACCTCACCAAATTAGCATTCAAAATCTCAAACACAGCTGATAAGAAAGTCCCCAGCCACCATCGTTACCGTATAAATGTATCTGTAGAATGAATGCTCGGCTGTGTGGTGCCTTGAGATATGGTTATCCTCTTGTGGCCTCTGAGAAGAAAGCTGATCCGTGTGGGTAGGTGGCATTCTACCTGAAGGAAGAGGCAAATGCCAGTGTCATTCCCTGGGGGAAGTAGAAACTGGGACCTGGAACATGAGCTCCATGCTTCTACAGGGCTAACCCACATCCATGACACTTCAGTTTCCTTCATTCCCTTTCCTTGCCCATGGCCACCATCCCTAATACATTTTGGTTTGATTTCCCATTGAGACCCTACTTGGCCTCATTACATCACCAATCAGTTGGAGTCAGCAGAAGAAATGAAGCACATTTGCCATCCTGGGTTGGAAAATGAGGAGACATGAAGCTTCAGCTCTCAGAGGCAGGGACGAGGGGGCAGCATGGTAAGACAGCACACTGAGGATGTGGTTAAAAACTCGGCTCAGGAGTGGAGGTGCCAGCGTTCATCGTCTCACCCCATTATTACCAGCTTGGGATGTCTCAGGGCCTGCATATCCTCACCTGTGGAATGGAGATAATAACAGTTCCCTCCCTCACAGGGTGTTGAGTAATAAATGAGATTTTTCCAAGCAACACGTTTATAACAGCAGCCTGGCACACTGCGAGGACTCAATATATGTAAACTGCTGCTGCTGTGATGATGATGATGAAGATGACAACATTGTGAGGGGCGGGATCAGGAGCTTGGAAGGCGGGGGGCGGCGGGGAGGGATGCTTCAGGTCACAGCTCTTCATCCAGGGATCCTGTGTGGATGGAACAGAACTTTGATCCCACAGAGGGAGCTCTGCATTGCAAGCCAGGCTGTCCAGAAGGTCACCTGTCCCAACATGAGCCATGTGTTGAGCGGGGAGCAGTGAAAATCTGAAAGGGGACAGGGACTTCCTCGGGCAGACTCAGGAGAGAGTGGGCAGCTGCCCCTTCTCCCGTGGCCCACCTGGTGCCAAGCTTGGATGTGGCAGCCCTTCCCACATCTCCATGCCCACCTGCTCCTGTCTGCAGGCAGTGGTCTGGGTTTCAAGTCCAGCAAGTCATATTTGGGGGAAATCTACTGTCCGTCAGGTACTGTGCTAAGTTCAGCCAGCTCCTGGCAGAATCCAGAGGAAAGGTTTTACAGTCAGCCAAGGACAACTTGGAAGATGTCAAGGAGCTAAACAACTTTCCTCTGTAGGGACCAGGGCCTAATAAGAGCCCCAAAGCAGCCCCAGAGGAAAGGAGACAGTGACAAACTTCATTCAGATATAAGAGATGTTTCCTGATGTTTCCTAAAGCAGTGACAAAGGGACTTTGTTATGTTGCTTTGAAGAAAGAAATAAAATTGATACTCTCTCTCTCTCTCCATATACATCTCTCAATTCCATCAGAGTTTATATGAAAACTACCTAGAGTTTTAGTTTATTCCAAGCTAAAGAAAAATGAGGCAACAATGTAAAACAGCCACTAAAACAGTAAACTTAAATTTGAGATGCATTAATAGAATTACATTTTTCAGACAAAAAATGATTAAACAAGTCCATCTAGCTTCCTATCAGAGCTAGGAAACCACTGTAAAGAAACAGAGAACAAGCAGGGATTAGCTCATGAAGATCAGCATGTCCCCGATCTCACAGACCTGGGTCTGGATCCAGGTGTGCCATTTAGAAGCTGTGGACTTAGGGAACTAGTGGAAACTAAAGCTGGAAGGTGATCTTGATTCTCTAATGTGGAGGCCTGACATGTCATGGTGGAAAGCCTCTACTTACGTCAGAGGATAATAGGGAGCCACTGAGAGCTTTAGAGCATGATAGTGACATTGTGGGGATGACTTTCTATCTAGGCTTAAATGGGAGGTAGAAACTTCAGAACCCTTCTGAAGCATCCCTACTCCCTCAGAGGAGACCTCAATTTCTATTCCCAGGTTCCACCTCACAGGAACTTCTAGAAAGTTCTTCATTCAGACTGTAAAATGGAAGCCTCCCTGCAGGGCCTGAGGAGGATTCCTGACACTAACAAACCCCAGTGGCGAGCAGGGTTGGGGGAGGTGGAGGAGAAATGGGGCAGAATGTGAGGAGAGAGAGGGGCAGAGAGGGGCAGAGAGGGGTCAGAGGCCCTGGAGGCCAAGAGGAAGTGCCTCCAAATCCTTTCCCATGCCCACCACCTCACCTTCCTCCATCATGACTCAGAGGAGCCTCGGAACCACCATGCCCCATGATGAAGGGGACAACTGGACAACTCTTCACAGGACCAAGAGGCACACGCAAGTAGAGGTCAGGCCCCCTTGCCCAAACTCCAAAGGCAGCGTGCCTCTTTGGCTTGTTGGAGCTCAGAGGCACCGCATATTGCCCCTAGAGAATCTGACTCTATAGAATCCTTATCGAGCAGGGCAGGCGTGCCCCCAGCTAAACATACCTATGTGTGAACATCCAGAGTGAAAATCAAAGCAGACCTTTGGAACGAGTGATTCTAAAGGACGCTTCACTTTACAAAAAGATTCCCCTCTCTTTCTTTTCCTCAAGACAATGTGATGTATATAGTCAGAAAAACTCAGGTTCTGACCCAAGCACTACCTTGACAGATGACTTTTTTTTTTTTCTTGAGACAGAGTCTCACTCTGCGTCCAGGCAGTGCAGGGGCGCAATCTCAGCTCACTGCAACCTCCACTTCCCACATTCAAACAATCCTCCCACCTCAGCCTCCCAAGAAGCTGGAACCACAGGTGCACACCACCACATCCAGCTGATTTTTTTGTATTTTTTGTAGAGATGGGGTTTTGCCATGTTGCCCAGGCTGGTCTCAAACACCTGGAATCAAGCAATCCGCCTACCTTGGCCTCCTAAAGTGCTGGGATTACAGGCGTAAGCCACTCCATGTCTGGCCTAACAGGTGACTTTTGACATATCACTATGTCAAAAGAATGTGACCTTCAGAATCTTTATTTGGAAAATGGAAGTAAAATCTGTCCTCTAACCTCATGGGGGTCATTGTAAAGATTAAATGAGATGAAACTCTGTACAGTCAAGGCAATATTATCACTGTTGCTATTAGCGATAGCTCAGAAGATGTGCCAGGCACTACTCTAAGCAACTTACCTTTATTAGCTCATCGAATCCTTAAATAGCCATTTACCCTGGGGGTTTTAAATATAATGTGCATTCTTCCCTTAAAGGCTGAAAGCCTCATTTAAAAAATAATTTACAACTGGCTGGGCGCGATGGCTAACACCTATAATCCCAGCACTTTGGGAGGCCGAGGTGGGCGTATCACCTGAGGTCAGGAGTTCAAGATCAATCTGGCCAACATGGTGAATCCCCGTTTCTACTAAAAACACAAAAATTAGCCAGGTGTGGTGGTGCGGTCTGTAATCCCAGCTACTCGGGAGGCTGAGGTATGAGAATCGCTTGAACCCGAGAGGTAGAGCTGCAGTGAGCCAAGATCACGCCACTGCACTCCAGCCTGGGCTAGAGTAAGGCTCCGTCTCAAAAAATAAAAATAAAAATAAAAAATAATTTACAACTAAAAAACTTATACAAGATAATTCAGTAACATGGTTGGATACAAAATTAACCTATTAAATATCTACACCTTCAGATATACAACAGCCAGTAGTAAGAAGATATAAAAAATGGTTCAGTTACAATAGCAACAACAACAAAAAAGAAAAATACTTAGGAATAAACTTTAAAAGGTTTCTAGAAAGTCTATGTGAAGAAAGCTTCCGAATGCTACTCAGAGATCCAAAAGAAGGTGTGAACATAGGAAAAGAAATTATATGTCCTCAGAGTGGGAGACAAAACAGAAGAAACATGTTAATTCTCTCTGAATTAATCCATAATTCTAAAATGACCCCAGTGAAAATAACAAAAGCTTTTCTTCTTTTTAACTAAACAAGCTAGTTAAACTAACACTCATATAGAAAAAGAAACAAAGAAAAAGCAGTGGAATTAGGAAAGGGAGAATTAGTGGGTGTCAGGTGAGGAATTAGCCTACCAGAGGGTGAAACACATTACAAAGCTGCAAGTTTAAATTAGTGTGGACTCAGAGATGGCACCACTGCACTCCAACCTGGGTGACAGAGTGAGACCCCGTCTCAGAAATAAATAAATAAGTAAATAAAAATAAATTAATGTGGACTTAGTTATGAGAAATACATGAGGCAGAACACACAGTCCAGAAGTAAACTCAGATACAGTCATTTAGAACATGATAAAGGTTATATTTTAAATGAGCAGAAGATGGATTTTTAATCAATGATATTGATTTGGTCATTTGAAAAGAGTAAGTCTGACTCCTTACCTTACTCTTCATACCAAAATAAATTGTAGATGTATCAATATTGATAAAAGAAAAAAATTAAGCCACAGGGATGCATCAAAAGCAGTATATAGAGGGATATTTATAGCTTTAAATAGATAGAAAAGAAGAAACGTTGAAATCAATGAACCAAGCAACCATCTCAAAAATGCAGGGAAAGAACTACAAAATAGACCCAAAGGAAATAGAAGGAGGGAATGTAGAAAATAATCAAATAGGAAAGCAAACATACAATAGAAAGGATTACCAAAGTCAGAAGTTTGTTCTTTGCAAAAGGGGATACCAGAGGCTGGGAAGGGTAGAGAGAAGGGAGGGATAGGAGCTAGATAGGAGAAATAAGCTCTAGTGTCTATAGCACTACAGTTACAGCTACAGTTAACAATAATATATTATATGATTTCAAATAGCTATAAGAAAGATATTGAATGTTCCCAATACAAAGAAATAATAAGTGTTTGAGATCATGGATATGCTAATTACTCTGATCTGATCACTATACATTATATGTATTACAACATCACTATGTACCTCATAAATATGTACAATTGTGTCAAAAAAGTTTGTTTTTTGCAAAGTCCAATTATTCTTTTAAAAATCATAAAAATACTATGGAAAAAGAAAACACAGAAAAAATTGTTATCATGTTGGGTGAAATGGGTGGTGAGACCTCTCTAAATATGACATCATCACTGGTTTTCCCTTTGCCTCATCCTGCTTTATTGCTCTTGAAATCACGTATCACCATCTGGCATTCCACTCACTTTCCTGTTCATTTGTTTGAAGATGAAAGCAAACTA
Source organism: Homo sapiens (assembly GCF_000001405.40). Lineage (NCBI taxonomy): Eukaryota > Metazoa > Chordata > Mammalia > Primates > Hominidae > Homo > Homo sapiens. The sequence goes on along the minus strand of NC_000001.11, from coordinate 110,139,070 downwards.
GATGAAAGCCGTATCACCAGCGCCTAGAACAGTCCTGACACATAGTAGGTGTTCAGAAATATTCATTGAGTGATTGTTAAAGAAGGGGGACAGGTTTCTTTGATGAGCAAAAACCTCCTGAAAATCAGTAAGAAAAAGATAGAAAAGGATATGAATAGAAATCTCATAGAAAATGAAATATAAAGGCCCTTGCACATGTAAAAAGATGTTTAATTTCATTCATAATCAGAGAAACGCAAATTGAAAAATAATGAGATTCCATTTTACCTATTATATTGGCAAATAACTAAAACAAATGACAAAAAGTTAATAACACACATGTTCCTAATGAGAGAAGAGTTAAATTATACAATCTCTGTGGAAGATAATTAGGCCATATTTATTAAAATTATAAAGGCACATACCCATTGACAATTTGGCCATATCTATCAAGATTATGAAGTCACATACTCATTTTGCACATGTGTTTGTTTAAAGAGATTCGTTTAAAGATACCCCTTGTAGCAGTGTTTGTAATAAAAAAAAAAGGAAACAATTAGATGTCTATCAACAAGAAACCATTTAAATAATTTATGGTACCTCCAGCAATGAAATTCTTTGCAACCATTAAAGTGAACAGGTCTGCCCTATAGGTTCTGATCTGGAAACATCTCCAAGACACATTGTTACGTGAAAAAAAAAAAGGCAGAATAGTGTAGAGCGGGTATGGCCATTTGTATATGAAACATGTACTTATAGAGGCATTGAATACTTCTGGAATGGTACGTAAGAAACATAATAGCGCTTGCCTCTAGGGTGAAGAACTACACGAGTGGGGGCAGGCATGGGAGAAAGATTTACTTTTCATCATCCGCCTTTTGAATTTCATGCCATATGTCTGTACCATATATATTCAGTACATCCATGTCTGCTCCTATATGCACATGAGATCTCTAGAAGGAGAATATCTGAAACCAGCCACAGTGACTTCCTCTGCAGAGGCGGACCGGACACTAGACGACGCTGAGAAGGGAAACTTAGTATTGGACTTATTTTAATTTTGTTTGATTTCTTTTTCTTGACTGTGTGCATGTGTTACCTGTTCATTAAAATAACAAAATGCATTTCTCCCTGCTCCTCTAGACTGCCCTTTCTTCGGCTCTGTCCTCAGCACCAGCCTTCCCTCCTGCCTCCTCCTTTTGAGCACACTGTCTGCCACACTCCATGGCCGGGCACCTTGGGAAGAGCATGGACTTTAGGATTGGATGACCCAGGTTCTCACACGGACTCTGAGCGTCCTCGTCCTCATCTGTAAAATGGGGATAAAAGCAGTATGTTATAGGATGTGGTGCGAATTACATGAGATAACTTATAAAGTGAGTGCTCAAAAACAACAGTTCCTGCTGGCTCGCTTTTCTGGAACACGACTATCATACCCATGAAGGGCAGAGGTGGCTGAACCTTTCTGTGGCTTGGACTCAGAAATATCCTCCCTCCCTTTACCAGCAACCTCCAAACTCTTAAGGAAGAAACAAGTGGCAAAGTCTTTGAGGAAAGCAGTATCCCTCTAATATTTAGAGAGCAGCAAGGACATTCCTCCAGTTTGTACATGGGGAAAAGGGTGAAGAAGGGGTCCCAAATTCCCAACACACCCAGCATCCTGGGGCCCCAAACTCCAGCCTGGAAGGAAGCATCGTTCAATGTAAACAGAATAGGGGAGTCAGCTCTGGCAGGACCGGCATCAGCTGGGAGTAGGGGTGGGGGGGTTCTGCCAGGAGACAACAAGAAGGGGAGGGGAATGTTTGCCCCACCAGGCATGAGGAGAGAGAATCAGATGCAAAACCTGCCTTGCCCCAGGGACAGCATGGAGGTTTCAGTACCAGAGTCAAATATAGACCCATTTCCATAAAGGCACCAGCCACTGCTTCTATAAATACCTCAGCCAGTTTTCCGGGGTTCTCATGTGACTTTGATGCCTACCTCGTCTGCGGGGATCCGTCGCCATGGTGACCGGGCCATGTGACCAGCCACTCTTCATTCATGACAGGTTGCAGTGTCCTGGATTGGGGGTGGGGTAGCAAAACACGGCTGGAGGGAGAGCCAAAGAGAGGGAGAACAAGGATGAACAATGAATAAAGATAAAGTTTCCAGCCTTGGGGGAGACTGCAGAGCTCTAGGTTTAGTGCAAGGATGCTCTGACAGAATTATCTATTTCCCCAGGCTGGCTGTCAGGAGAGGAATATATTTATTCAAGAAGCCTTGCCTTTGAGTCAGAGAATCAAAGGTTTAGACCTGGAAAGCATCGTAACAATCCTCTAGGCCACCACCCTTGATTATACAGATGAAAACAAGAAGACTCAGAAAGGTGGACTAACTCTTCCAAGGTCACACAGCAAGTCAGTTGCAAAACTGGGGCAAGAACCAGGCTATTTGTCATTGTCAGATTCCTCTCCATCTAACTGGGGCCTCTGGGCTGGGGTCTGTGGTGGGCCACAGATTTAAGTGTGACTCTGATGAGTGGAACTTTAGGTACCTTTGCACCCAGGTGATTCAACACAGCTGGAGTCATAGGTCCTCCAAAGGAGGTAAAAACAGATCATTTCATCTGTGCGAAGGCTCAGTCCTGGCCCCTTGGCCAATAAATGTGGGAGACAGTGGCTAATAAATCGTGAGAGGTCTTGCATTATTGAGCAAAGTTAGACGTCATCCTTGGTAATCTATGGAAATCTCTTTTTGATCAGAATGTCTCAGATCTGCCTCCACTGCTGAATCCCTCAAACATCATCAAGTCCTGTACCCTTCCTTGCTGGGTGTTGGGGATAAGATGAAGAGGCAGGAAAAGAACGCTTCCTGCCTTCACAGACCTCCCATGCTTACGTACGTATGGATAAGAAAGTAGAAGAGAATCTTGTTACCCAACAAGCTATGCTCTAGGGAGTTCTCAGGTCTAGAAATAGGACAGGCCACTGGAGTTGGGGAAGGCTTCCAGGAGGAGGTGAGGAGAAGGAGGTGGCCTGGCAGGCAGATGAGAAGGAGCATTCTCAGGGGCATCAGATAGTGGAGCAGGAATTAAGTGGGCGGGGTAGGGGAGAGTATATTTGACTGAGGTGGCCAAGCCTTCAGATAGGTCGGCTGCCAACCGCATAGCTGATTCATATGGTTCAATCACGTGGGCGCAAGCAGCTGGCAGTGAGGGTCCAGGAAGAGATGGATTCAGAGAAGACAAAAAAATACTTGCATTGAAATATTCCTGAAAGAGACCAAGAACAAAGCAGACATCATCACGGGGCCGGAAGACCGTCAGCAGCCGTTGTGAGCTTTATCACCACCTGGTCTTGAGACAGCAGTCCAGCAGGCTTCACGGAGGTTAAAATTCCCCATGCTGGAGCCTGGTAGCAGCCAGAGTGTCCCAGCCTGAGGCTCTTCCTCTCTCCTTCTTCACTTATGCCATCCTGGTGGATCTTAGGGGTAAGGGCAGAAGGCAGGGATGAAGCAGAGGGCAGAGCACCTCACCTGCCCCCACCCCAACATCTGTTTGCCGGCAGAGTAGACTGACCATCACAGCCTCCTCCCACCTGGAAGGGTGACAGCACGTAGTCTGATAAGGGAGGCTGTGCCAGCCCGTGTGAATGCCACACTTCCTCTGTGCTTCTCAACCAGCTGAGCACCCATGCTGTGTGTGTTTACCAGAACTGCAAGCTGCTGGAGTCCTGAGACAATGCCCAACCTAATTCTATAAACCCCTCCCCTGGCTTATAACAAGGGGCATTGAATGGAAGCACAAAGTCATCTTGGTGGGCCCGGGAGGGGTTGGTATTTAGTATGCCAGTGCAGACAGGGCACACCTTGGAGACAGACCTGAATCTGAGTCCTGGCTGTGTCACTTACTTTCGTGGCCTTGGGGACCTTCTTTAGTCTATCTGAGCCTCAGCTGCTTATCTTGCAAAAGGGGATAATGTCACCTGCCCTGATGAATGGCTGTGAACAGTAGACGCGATGATTACAAAGTGGCACATAGAAAGTGATTTTGAAGGTAGTAGCTTCTATTACAGTAGGCGGATGAATGGGAGCATTTCCTCGTGGGTTTCCAGCTTCCACCTCACCTCGAATTTTCCTGAGACTTCATACCTAGCTCCTTTCTGTGCATCATCCCTTCTGCCCAGGAGGTCCTCCCACTTGGCTCCACTCATCCAAAGCCTCTCTGTCCTTCAAAGTCCCATTTAAATGTCATTCCTACCTATCTTGCCTGATCACCTCCAACCCAGAGTGATGTTCCACAGGCCAACTCTTCCAGCACTTATGCGTGGCCACAGCACCATCCTTCAGCACACAGCACACCCTGCCTTTAACAGCAACAGTGAGAAGTATCTCATGGAACACCATTTACTGTACCAAGAATCTGACATATATGAGACTTGGAGAGGGTAAGTGACTTGTCCATGATCACACAGCTAAAAGGTGGCAAAAGTGGAAAATAAGCCCAAGCCCCTACAGTCCCATGCTTACACATGCTGCACATCGCTGCTCTGCATCCTTACTGTTACTCACTTGAACATCTTGACTCTCTCCAACTACTCCAACTACATTATAAGCCAGTGTGTGTCAGGAAAAACACAAGCCCTGGACTCAGTTCGAAATGGGTTGAAAGCTTGCCTTTGCCACTGACTGGGTGGGTGACCTTGTGTGAGTCGTTACCTTCTCCAATCTCAGTTTCGTCATCTTGAGTTACTGAAGGGTTCGTTTAAATGATATGACATGTAGTGATGGAGCTGTTTTATAACAACAAACATTTGCACTCATGCTTCCTGTTTGCTCCCAGGCAGCTGGGTACACAATGAAAGCTCCAGCTAATACCCGAGTGCATAATCTAAGCGCTCCTTGTGCATCCGTTCATTTTATTCCTTACAACGTTACAGAGTAGATACTGTTAGTGTCCCCACTTTCTCAACAGGTTAAGAAACTCGTCCAATGTGACATCACCAAACAACAGAGCTGGGATTTGACCCTAGATCCTTCGGATCCCAAAGCCCATGCTCTAAACCATGATACTATGGGGCCCCTCTACACAGTGGGTGATGGGTAATTCCTCATCCATTTCTCCTGTGAGATAGTTCAAGCAGAAATCACAAATTCCATCTTACAGATGGAGAAGGAAAAGCCCGGGGGTATTCAGTGACTTGTCCAAGGTCACAAGCCAGCTGATGGCAGAGTCAGTCCTAGAACTCAGGACTCCTAAACCCAGTGCTCCACGTTCTGTGAGCTGCTGCCTGTGGCTGAGGTTCCTGAGATAGACATGCTGGGACTCTGGGACCTTGGCCAGGAAGTTGGCCATAGGCCTCAGCCTGGGCCCAGGAAGCTTCCAACCATGGAGGAATTTGCTTTGAAGACAAAGGATGACTCCTGGCAAGGGGAGTTGTTCCTATTTCTGCTCCAGACAAATGGGAGGCTGCTGCAGATTCCATGATGAATCTTTTTGCGAAAGATGATGCATCACTTTGGGCCAGTTACATGCATAGTCTTTGGACATTATACAAGTCAATTACTAAGACCAAGTTCTCAGCACTGAGCAGAGATATTTTCATCGAGTCGCTGTAACGGAGCCAGAGCCTCCCAGGGATCTGGCAGGGAAGCTGTTCCACTTCATATTTTATGCTGGGGGTGACTGCAGAATGGTGAGACCTGCCCAGGTGCCCCGTGGGAAAGGCATCCCCTCCCATCAAGATGACTTCCACTCAGTGTTTGCCCCCGAGGATTATTCTGCCCATTTCAGAATCCCCAGCCTAATGTGTCCTCACTCTCAGCTGCCTGGAGTCAAGGAAATAAGTTTCCATTCGAGGCTGAACCCCCAAGTACAGGTCTGCAAATAGGGCCTTGCTTTTCCAGCCTCTAAGTCCCAGAAGCACTCTTCTATAAACTAGGTATCCTAAACATTTCCAGGTCATCTCTCCTGCCCCCTCAAAACCTCTTGGGCATTCCAGCCTGCCAGGCCAGTCCCTAGGAACTGCTCCAGGCCAGCAGATCCAGCCTCCCCTCTACTCTGCAAATGAGAAGCACATGGCTGGTCCTCCTGAGGCCAGGGATTTCAAAGCTAATATGTTTATTTCAAGAGGGTCCTTCTCTGGTCTGATGGCAGCTTTTGGTGTTTCAGAATGAAGGTTTGAGGTCCTGGTAAGAGCACTGTAGGCCTTACCCACTGGCTGTGTGGCATTGGGCAGGCCCTTAACCTCTCTGGGCCCCAACTGCCTCAGCTGAAAATGTGGCAGGTGGTCTGCCTAGCTCCAAAATGCTCTGATTCAGTCTCTGGGATTCCAGGAAGGCAGCTGGAAGTGGCTGGAGCAGAAGATGAGGGGGCTGTGGGTGATAAGAAATAAAGAGACAAGATTAAATGGTGAAGGCAGGGGCTTGAAGCATGGAGAGCTTGAATGTTATGCTACAAAGCTTAGATTTTATTTTAAAGGTAATGGAGAACCAGGGGAAAATTTTAAGCATGGGTGTAGATTTACCAAATTTAGCAAATAAGAATACCAGACATCCAGTTAAATTTGAACGGAACTGACCATCCTGTCTTTTATCTGGGAATCCTGCATGGGACCAACAGAGAAAGTTCTCTGGGCAGTGAGTGGAGAATGTATTGGAGGGAACAAAACTGGAAGCAGGAAGACACCATTTGGGAGGTTATTATTATACTCTAGGCAATAATTACAAAAGCTAACTAATATTTGTTGAATGCTTCTTTGTGGGTTGCTTTTTTTTTTTTTTTTTTTTGCCAGGCACTGTTCTAACTGCTTTACATATATAAATTAATGTAATTCTCATAACAAGCCTATGAAGTGTAGTATCTAATATCACCCCCATTTTACAGGTAAAGAGGCTGAAGCACACAGAGATTAAGCAACTTGGCCCAGGTCACACAGCTACTTAGTGGCAGAACTGGGGTTGGAGTCCAAAGCCTCTGTGCTTAACCACTTTGGCATACTACCACCCAGGGGGCCACGAGAGCCTGGCCCCAGGCCATGTGATGGGAACTGGGTGATAGACTGTTTTAAAGCCCCAGCCTCTGGGGTGGGGATTGGGGTACCATGACAGGTAGACAGGTGAGAAGGGAGGCTCAGGAATCCGGCTGTGTCACAGTGACACTCACATTTTCTTTCTTTTTTTTTTTTCTTTCTTTTTTTTTTAATTTAGACAGAGTCTCACTCTGTTGCCCAGGCTGGAGTACAGTGGCGTCATCTCCGCTCACTGCAACCTTGGCCTCCTTGGTTCAAGCAATTCTCCTGTCTCAGCCTCCTGAGTAGTTGGGATTACAGGCTCACACCACCCCACCTGGCTAATTTTTGTATTTTTAGTAGAGATGGGGTTTCACCATACTGGTCAGACTGGTCTCAAACTCCTGACCTCAGGTGATCCACCCGCCTTGGCCTCCCAAAGTGCTGGGATTAAAGGCGTGGAGCCACTGCGCCTGGCTGACACTCACATTTTCAGATCACTTGATCCTTTTCATAGCAGAAAGAGGGACTGGTAAGAAAAAAAACTAGCCTTGAAGAAAGGCATCTACCAAACACCAGGCCTGGTGTGCAGTACTTTCTGTCCATCATCCCGCCTAACCCCCTCCACTGCCTGCTGAGGTAGGTAATGAATTTACTCCATGAGTGAATAGGAGATTTTTTTAAGCCAGAGGATGAGCTGCAGGTGGTGGTTGGGGGGCAGGGGGGTGAAGCGAGAGGCCAGTCAGATGGCTGCCGTGAGTGCCAGAGCTGAGGGCAGCATTCAGGACCCTGAATGCAGGGTATTTAAGGGGCACACGCAGCAGCACCTGGCAGCTGCCTGGATTGGGTAAGGGCAAGGGAGGGCTGAAGGACCACTCCAGCGGTCCTTCTCGGGGACTGCCAAGGGCCAAGGATGACATTAACCAGAGAGCAGGTGTGGGATGAGGAGCAGCATGGGGCCTAGGCTGCAGAGAAAATTTCCTCAGCCCAGGACATGTTTACCTAATTAAGCACAAAGCAATGGGGCCGTTGAGGCCCAGAGAGTTAAATGACTGTCCTGGAGTCGCACAGAAAGTGTTAGGGCAGAAACTGGAACTGAAGTCTCCTGACAGTATTTGGGGTACCTGACCCAGGTGGAGCCCTAGTTCACAGACGGGATGAGGATGGAGACACCCAGACACAGCCATGGTCAGCACTTTGGGGCGGCTGTGATGAAATTCAGGCACACCTGGGCGCCCAACTCTGAGAACAGATGTTGCCCCTTCAATGCTGAACAAAAGCTGAGGGGAGGCCAAGAGCAGTCTCCCCGCAACAATTTTTCTCCGTCTGTGAAAAGAGACAACCACAACCCGCGGCAAGGTTGTTTTGAGGACTAAATGAGGGGAACCCGCAGGGACGCTGCTGTACCGCGCAGACCACCGCACCCCCCCGCCGCCCCTTCCATCCTCTCCATCGTCCCCACCCCCATTTCCTCATCTTCCCTCATTTTAGGCCTTGGGGCAGAGCCCGTTCCCGGGGGTGTCAGGCGATGAGCTGCCTGAGACAAACGTGCTCACCCCCCAGCTCGGCCAGCCTGGCTCCCCCTGCTGCTCCTGCTCTACCGCCTCCTGCGCCCGGACCAGCCCCACCTGCCGGCCGACATACCGCGCACGATAGTCCCAACGCGGGCCTGTCTCACCTGGACTTCCTTCCCGCCAACCGCCCTTTCCCCCCAGTACCTCCCCTCCTCCCTCATCCAGCGGTCCCCCGCCCCCAGGGAGCTGCGGGAGGTGGCCGTAGGGACCGCCCAAGAGGCCCAAAGGGATGGGAGGCTCCGGTCTGCGGCCTGGAAATGTACAAAGCCCATCCTTTGGGACCGTGAGAGCCTGACGTCAAACCGAGGCTGAAAATACAGTCTGGAAAGTCACGCGGCACCCGTGAAAAATGAGCCACCCTCCCCAGCAAGAGGCGTGGGAGCCGGGAAGGGACATAAATCCCGGCTCTGTAGAGTATCCAAACAGCAGGGCAGCCGACGAGCCTCTAGAATGCCTGCTGAGAGGTCTCGGGGTCCCCAATGCCCCATTCAGAGGCTCCCTTGGCCAGAACATCTGCAAACACCGCCCCCCGCCACCTTCCCCATATGCTCCCACCATGCACACACTCCTGAGAGTGGCCAGCACCTAGAGAAGGAAGGGACTCCAAGAGGGGACGTGGGGAAATTTCTCACAGCTGGTCCGGTGCTCCCTTCCCCACTCCCACCCCTGCCCAGAGCATCTGGCTAGGACACAGTGTGCTGGGGACAGGATTTCCCAAACCATACCCCAAAGGCCCAAAGAGTCACGGGTGGTGGATGTCACAGAGGGCCCCTGAATCCTCTGCAGCATGTGGTTCTCAGAGACCAGACTTCCCTCCGGCTTGCTCTCAGATGCCCCAGCATCCCCCTCAGACTGGGGTCAAAGGAGCAGAGGAGCCACAGGCTGCAAGGGCTAGTCACGGATTAGGGCTTTCCGAGACAACCGGAACAGACCTTCAGGACCAGACAATGGCAAAGGCAAATGTCCCCACCCAAAATTACCAAGGTTAAGTTTTCACTCCCCTGCAGCAACAAAGTCAAAAGAATTTAGGCTGGGCGTGGTGGCTCACACCTGTAATCCCAGCACTTTGGGAGGCCGAGGCGGGAGGATTACTTGAGGCCAGGAGCTACAGACCAGCCTGGCCAACATGGAAACCCCGTCTCTACTAAAATACAAAAATTAGCCGGGTGTGGTGGCACGTGCCTATAATCTCAGCTACTCCGGAGGCTGAGGGAAGAGAATTGCTTGAACCCGGGAGGTGGAGGTTGTGGTGAGCTGAGATTGCACCACTGCACTCCAGTCTGGGTGACAGAGTGAGACTCTGTCTCAAAAAAAAAAAAAAAGAGAGAGAAAGAGGGAGAGACAGAAAGAATCTAAGCTGTTTTAGAAAATAAAGAACACTTAATTGACTTCCCATCTATTTTGAGGTTGAGACTCTTCCACACACGTTCATGTCTGGGTCTTGTTCGTGGTGTTCCCTCCTTCTGGTCAGCCTTTAACACTCCAGCTCCAGTGTGGTCCACTCTCTAAATCCCCCACTCACTCCCCACCCCCAGCACCATGGTTGCTCCCTCCTCTGATGTGAAGAGCCCCTTCACACTACATGTGAGTGTGTCACAGACAGGTCTGTCTCCTTCTACAAGGCTCCTATTTGTAGAGAGGCACCTTGGGCATCTCTGCAACCTCAGGGTTCAGCTCAGCCCTGCCCCAGAAGAAGGCCCTGGCTCATGCTCATGGAATCAAATCAAACAAGGTTCATTTGCACATCAGCATTTCAAAAACCTTACAAAGCCAACAAAGGGCTGGAGCCCTGGGCTAGGAGGCAGAGGCACCACCACACTCCCCTTCTCTGGCAACCTGTCCACAAAGTCATGGACCTCAGGCTTCTGACACTCCTACAATAGGTCTGGGTGGGAAGCAGGAGGCAGCCAGTGCCATGTGACTGTCCAGGGGGACAGTCCTCCTTATCTAGATGGCCACGTGCAGGGTCAGGCTTCAGGGCGGCTAAGACATTAGAATGAAAACCTAAGTCAGTCAGAACATGCCACTCCTCAGCTCAAAGTTTTGTCCTGTTCCTCATTTCACCTGGGGTAAAAACCAAAGTCCTTAGCATGAGCCCTGTGTGATCCAGCCCCCATGACCCCTCAACTGATGCCAGGCTGTGCTCTGCCTCCTTCTTCCTGTTCTAGCCACAGCAGGCCTCCTCTAATGCCACTCCCCCAGGACCTTGGCACCTGCTCTCTCCCATTGCTCAAATGTCACCTCTAGAAAGGTCTTCTCTCCCCACCCACCCTGTTCAAAATTACACACACACACACACGTACATGCACACACCTGCACTTGCACACACACACACGCATGCACATGTGCACACGCATGCTCCTTGTCCCTCTTCCCTGCTTTATTTTTTTATCATTTATCACTAACTGATACCTATATATTTTATTTATTTGTTTCTTTATTTCTTTTCCTGACTAGAATGTAAGCTGAATCAGAGTAGGAACTTTTAACTGTTTGATATTCATTCTTCTCCGATTAATTCACACTCCCCCCTTTAATATCCTGTAACTTAAGTTCTGAGATAGAACGTTAACTACTATCAAAGCATCTTATGTTAAATGGTAGGAAATGAGGGAGGGAAAGAAAACAAAAGTGCTTACTGGAAATGCATGTAAAAACATATTCATTAGGAAATACAGTCCTTGTTTCTACAACCAGCCATGTGGCCCTAGCAGGGGCTTATGACCACCTCTTCCACTGGCCAGTTCATGCTCGCTTTGCCCTCAGCAAGCACCTCAGCTGGTCGAGTGCCTTGCCTTGCTGCGGGGTGCATGCACATGATGGACCCTCAAATAATATTTACTGAGTCAATGAGGAAGAAGCTGGTCTACACATATCATAGTAAGCAGGGAGAAGCCAGGAGCTTGTCTTTGATCTATACAGATAGCCAGAATAGATAAACTGAGTTTTAATGTTTTAAAACTAAGCAATTTACCACCCAGATCAGGAAATACTCTCCTGTCAGTTTTGCTGTGATGGGTGTTGAGACACATCACTCTAGCCGATGCTGAAGAGCTACCTGCCTCAGTTTCCCCACATCTGTAGAGGGCCCCCTCAGGGCTGGATGGGCAGGAGGGCTTAGCTGGATGCAGCGTGCAGGGAAAGGTGGAAGGTAATCCCTTGGGTTCTGCACACCTCTTCCTCAAGGCCTCCCTCAAGAGGGCACTTTCCAGAGTCATTATCAGTGCCTCTAACAAGGCCCAGGGGACCCTGGGGGACTGCCACCCACTTCCTGCTGGTGCCAGGAGGCTCCATTCTTCCTGCAGGCCCAGAGCACCTACCTCCGCAGAGGCTTCACCTGAAGGGAGTAAGCCTGAGTATTGCTCAGGGCAACCAGGACCAGCTAGGAAGGCCAGCTCAGCAGCTTCCTGCAGGTCCAGTGTTAGCCCTGATGCAGCCACAAACCCCCTAGAGAGGCATCCCTGGACTAGATGCCCCAGGAGGGCAGGGAAAGGGTCTGGCCGACATTATTAAGGCTCCATCTCCAGCTCGGGCCTGGCCCATGCATGAGAGACACTTGACACTCAGGGGCAGAGCAGTTATAAAGCAGCTAACAAGACAAGTAGTGCTGCTGGGTGGCTGTGAGGGCCCCTTGGGTAAGCCAGGACTCACTTCCACCACCTATTAGCCAAGTGATTTCAGGCCAGTCACTCAGTTCTGAGTCTCTGATTCTTTATCTGAAAAGCAGAGATAATGACACCTGTCTCACTCAGTGTTTCAATGCCATAATGTGGCCCTGTGTTTGTGCCAGGCCAGCAGACAGACAGCAAGGGCTCCACAAACAATGTAGACATGTGGGCAGAGGCAGGGCTTGCCCTGCCATAGCCTGTGCATCTCTCTGGCACCACTGCAGGGGCTTCCACAGGGGTTCCTCCACCAGGCACACCTGATTCCTTGTTCCCCAATGCCTCCTACCACTCTGTGTCCCAGGAGAGGCACCCTGTATCTGTCAGAGGTCCACAGAGAAGCAGAGCCAGTAGGAGATGTATATGGATTTGTTGCAGGAAATTGGCTTATGCAAGTGAGGAGCTGGCTACACAGGTGGTCAGGAAGGGAAAGTCATGGCAGGCTGAATCGCACAGGCATGAGTCCCTCTCAGGGAAGGGCTAAGCCTTAAAGGGCTTCCAACTGACTGAGTCAGGCCCACCCAGGATAATCTCCCTAATTTAAAGTCAACTGATTAGGGACTGTAATTACATGTGCAAAATCCCTTTACAGCAGCACCTAAATTAGTGTTTGACTGAATAAGAGAAAGAAGGGGAGTATATGTGACAAAATGGCCCTGCCTCCTTCTGTCCTCCAACTTTCATGAGAGACTATCGCCTGTGGCCTACCCTATCTGGAAGCACACTGGAGAATGAATTCTGGATAATGTAATTTTGCCCGGCCAAGCTAACACACTGCGAAGCCTTCACATACTTCACTGGCTTAAATCTGCACAAGAGCACAGTAGCCACACTGCACGACAACCTACAGGCATAGCTTACATTGTCTTGCACCATCCTCATGACAGATCTTTGAAGGGAATTTAATTATTTCATTTTAGTGGTGACTTAACCTCACACACAGCTGCTAAGTGGCAGAGCTGGGATCTGAATCTGTGTTTACCTGACTCATTCAGGTCCTCAATGGGGTGTGAGTCTGATAATGAGAGGGAAGAGAAAAGAGCTTTGGTTTCTGGCTGTACTCCAGAAAAGGCCAGAGGAATAGAGACCTAGGTTTCCAAGGCCTAAATTTTGGTTTTGCTGGGACTTCGTTCTGGATGATAACAAGATAGGGTATCATGAGTAAGAGATTTTGCTCTCCAACATACGGTGTTTAAAAGGTCTCGTTTCTTTGTCCAGATTAAATGTAATCTGCTCCAAAACTCCATCCTACCAGCCCAGAGGGAAATTCAATTTGCCATATTAAAGCTTCCTTGCCCATGCACCATCAGAGGCAAGCAAAGACTCTGGGGTCTCCCACATTGCAGAACATTTAGAGGAGAGTCTGCTGGTCTTCACACATTCTGTCTACACAGGTATGCTCATTGACCAATTCTCATGATTCAGGAAGGGTGATGGGTCCCTGCTTCTAGGCCAATTTGGGGAAGGGTCTCTGCTTAGAGTCAACCTTCTCAGGGTACCCTGCAGCCATTGTCCTAAGGCTCTGTCACCTCCCTGGGGTCCCATAGGGAAGGATGGCTCCAGTCTCATCTATCGTGGACCCCCCACCCCCAACACATCTCTTTAGTCTGCTTTCCTTCCAACTTTCCTCCCACTGCCCCCTTCTCCAAGATAATCCAACACAATCTCATCAATGAACCTAGAATTTGACAAAACAAAAGCCAACAATGTGTGAGAATAGTCTTCTGAGTGATTAACAATTGATACTTTTGGCTCTACCACCCCAAACAGTAGCAACAGTAAAGTTTACTGTACACTGTACTTTTACTATGTTCTAAGCTCTTCATTTGTGATCATTCATTTAATCCTGTCTATAAGTCACTAAGGTAATAGATGCTACTTATCTCAGTCTGGATGATAACAAGGTAGGGTATATGAGTTGTCTCAGTCTGTGTTGCTATACAAGGAATGCCTGAGGCTGGGTAATTTATAAAAAAAATAGGGTTTATTTGGCTCATGGTTCTGCAAGCTGTACAAGAAGCATGGTGCTGGCATTTACATCTGGTGTGGGCCTCAAGCTACTTCCACTCATGTTGGGATCCCTGCCTGGAGTGTGCAGGGATCACACAGCAAGACAGCAAAATCACAAAAGAAATGAGGAAGGTGCCAGGCTCTTTTAAACAACCAGCTCTCATGGAACTAATAGAGTGAGAACTCACTCATTACCATGAGGATGGCATCAAGCCATTTGTGCAGGATCCATCCCAATGACCCAAACACCTCCCATTAGGCCCCCCCTCCAACACTGGGGATCAAATTTCAACATGAGGTTTGGTGGGGTCAAATATCCACGTGAGGTTTGGTGGGGTCAAATATCCAGACCATAGCACCATATGATTAGCTACTTTGGTTAAGGTAACATGCCCAATGTCAGCCCAGCTCACAAGTGGCTCCTAGCATTCTAACTCAAGGACCTATGCCCTAACTGCTACTCTGTGCCATCTCTCACCAAAATCTGGTATAAGGCAAGGCTGCACAAAGGACTGGTTGTAGCCCTGAGCTGGGGAAGAGATGATTAGTTATAAAAGTGAGATCAAGCCACAAACTAAAGTTGCAATAAATTGTTCCACCTATGTGGGTGGGGAGTAGGGAATGGAAGTAAAGGATTCGGATACTGGATCTGCTATGTACCAGCTCTATGACCTTGGGAACTCACTTAACCTGAGTTTCAATCTCCTCAAATATAAAATGGGGATGATAATGACAACTTTTCAAGCTTATTGAGAGGACTAAAAGAGAAAAAGTATGTGAGAGCTCTTCATACCCTCTACACCTGTGAAGATATTACATGTTAAGGACATTGAGCAGAACGTCTGCCTCGACAATGCCTGGGTTTAATAACCTCCACTTTGGCAGTCAACAACAAAAGAATGCCCAGTGGCAAGGGCAGGTCCCTCTGCTGGGAGCTGGAGAACCAAGGAAAAAGCTATCTTAGAGACAAAGACAGAGTTTGTTTCCTGCACTAAAGAGACTGGAAAGTGTGTAACCACATTTGCCAGACTCCTTTGCAGCTAGGGTTCATGTGAGACCCAGTTCCACTAAGAGAATCCCCACATGAACCTGGGGAGGGGATGGAGAGAGGAGCTATAGAGTTAAAAAAAAAATGTAAAGCAGTGGTAGGCCAAGGGGATTAAGTCCCCTGGGCCAGCTGTGGGGGTTTCTAGCATGTCTTCCCTGAGGAGTGGACAGCAGAGCGGTATTTCCACCAGATCTGTCCTGTGAGATGCTCAGGTATTTCTCCTGACTGTGATCTTCTGGGCCATGTAGTGTCTTGGCCCTCTCCAAGATTCTATGTAATATCCTCTAATAAATTCCTTTCTGCTTAAATCAGCCAGAGTGAAATCTGTTGTCCCCAATTTAGAACAGTAACTCATACCAGAAGAGATTCTAAGCAAGAAACCCTCAAGGAAATGAGAATCTGGGACTGGTTTTCTGAACACGTTGCATTTTGAGGCAACAGGGAGCTGGTCGGCATCAGAGGACAGGCTGCTGGTGGTGGGTGGCTCACTGTGATGAAACAGTTACTGACGGGCCTGAGGCTGTGCAGCATGGCAGCTGTCAGAGGCAAGGCTTCAGCAAACTGAGCAGCACTGAGGTAAAGCTTGTCAAAATCTTGTGTTATCAAACATTTCAAACACACACAAAAATAGAGTAGTATGAACAACCCTATGCACCTTGTACCCAGCTTCTAAGGTCACTCCATGGCTCCAGAAACTGCCTCTGTCCCACTTCACCAGATTATTCTGAAGCAAATCTTATGTACCATTTCATCCAAAAATATTTCACTGTGCATTTCTAAAAGATGACTTTTTAAAACCATAACGACAATACTATCATCACACATTTAAAAAATGCATACTAACATTTACTAGCATCAAATATCAAATTGATGTTCAGATTTCCCTGATTGTCTTGCTTTTTTTTAAACAGGTTGTTCAAATCAGAATGAAGATAACTCCACACATTGCAATTAGTTGTTATGTCTGTTCAATTTCTTTTAGTCTATAGAATCCTCTCCCTCTCTGTCTCTCTGTCTCTCTCTCTCTCTCTCTTTTTCTCCCTATAGCAATTGATTTGATGAAGAAACTGGGTCATTTGTTCCACAGGAGAAATTTCCCACAGCCCAACCCCCTTTCCAGCTTGTTGGAAAGTTAGAAGTTACATTTCCAGGACTCCCTTTCAGCTAGGGTTCATTGCAATATGGCTGCTCCCAGTCAGACGCTGTATGTGACCTCTGGGTGGAAGAAAGTCAGGTGAGAGACAGCTCTTCAGGGTGCTGGTGGGGGCACTGGGGTCCCCCAAGAACCCGTGCTGGGGGCTTTGGGCTCTCACCCCTGGAACCGCAGGGCCAAGCAGCAGGCAAGGTGGTCACCGTGTGTCAGGCATTCCTCTTGGTTGCAGTGCTCTGGCTAAGTGTCCAAGTCTGGTTCCTTGGCCCTCCCAGTAAACCACCCACCTCTGCAATAAATTATTCTATGTATAAACTGGTATTCTGTTGATCGCAGTAGAGATTTCTGTAGAGAAAGAGGGGGATACAAATAAGGCTAAATTCTGCATAGCTCTGTAGGGTTTACAAAACACTTTCCCATACCTCATCACTGGGTGCTCTTAACTACCCCTCAAGGAGGGCCCTATTATCCCCACTGTACAGATGAGGCCCCTGAGGGTTAGAGAGACCAAGTGACCCACCCAAAGTTGCACAGTTAGGAAGTATCTCAAGACTGACTCCTAAGTCTTCAGATTCCAAGTCTAACACTGTCTCTGTCACCACCTTGCCCCTGTCTCCTTGTGGACTGCCATCTTCCCAGCTCAAATGAGGAAGGGTCTGGAGCTACAACGGCCCCAGGAAATCAGGCGGCCCAGAGAGTTAGAGTCTGGAGAAACACCCCTCTCTTTGTTTAGGATGAGTGCCTCCTCCTCAAACTTCCCTGCCCAGTGAGGTCAGCCACAGGGCTGCTTAGACAAAATCCTGGGGCTTGGAGGCCCAATGCTTCCCTCCTTCTAGCCAGGCTGGGCTGCAGGGAGGGGCAGCAGTGGGTCAGGAAAGGCCCCTCTCCAGCTGAAGCCCTGGCCCCAACTCTGTCACCAAAGCTCCCCCAGACTCCCTGTCCTGATGGGTGCGGAAAGTGGGGTGCATTTGGAGATGGTTGGGAAGGGGGTTCAGGGGAAGCCAGGAGTACTGAGGCTTTGTCTAACGTGTTACCGTTCAAGGTTAAGTAGCAGCAGCAGCCTGAGGTTGTCTGGGTGAGAGGAGGGACCAGCAGGACGGCTCCAAGGGCCTCTGCCCTGTCCTCTCTGATGGACAGTAGCTTTGATCCTGGGGTCTGAGGCTCATAAATAATGTCCCAGGCACGGGTGCCCTGGGACTCATCCAAGGGCGGTTGGCTGACAAGGCAGACTCTGCCGGGCCGCAGCAGGCAGGCCTGGCCCCACTGCAGCAGGCCGTGACGGGTTTATGACCAGCCACCGACAGTAGCTACCTCAGATTTATCACCCTTCTACAAGGGCAGTGGGAACTGCTAAAGGCTGCCAGGGAGCCCTTAAATCACAGTGATGGGAAATGCTGTCGGAGGGAGCAGAGGGGTAGGTAGGAGCCATTCGGGGGGCTCAGGCTTCCTGCTGGCTCCTCAGGTTACAGTCCCTTCCAGAGGGGATTTACAGCCCTGGAGTCCAGCGGGGCCACACAGCACCCCTGTGGAGGAGCCAGGAGGAACTGCAGGAGAATGAGGGCTGGGCTGGCAGGGGCAGAGCCATGGGAGGAAGTGCAGGAACCCAGCACCCAGCCTGCTGGCCGCTGTGGCTGTGGGAAGATTGCCTGGTCAGATGCCCCTAGTGCAGGTGTGGCCCTGAGTGTGCAGGTGTCTGTGCCCCTTCTCTGGGTATGTGTCACGTCTGTTCAGGGGTATACATCAGCAAATACGTGCATGCATACAATCAATAAGACCATTTCTTATTGTACTGGAGCACTGGGCTGGCTATGGGTACTTATGAACTGGTACTGTAAGTGAGCAGGGGTTGAGGGGTCAGGCACATACTCAAAGGTAGTGGGTTCTGAGTCCCTGCACATGCCTGCTCACTGTGTGAGTCTGGGAAAATAAAAGAAAGAGGACACACAGGAGGACAAGGAGAAGAGCTGCTGTTGCTGCTGCTGCTGATGATGATGCTGATGGTAATGGTGGTGGTGGTGATGGCGACGGTGATGGTGTTGGTGGTGAGGGTGGTGCCGGTGATGGTGTTGGTGGCGACAGTGATGGTGATGGTGGTGGTGGTGATGGTGATGGTGGTGGTAGTGATGGTGGTAGTGTGTGGTGATGGTGGTGGCGGTGGTGGTGATGGTGGTGGTGGTGGTGATGGTGGTGATGGTGTTTAACAGAAGGGCAACTACCGATGGCTGAAAGAAATGGGAGAAAGAAAGGTGGGCAGTGGGTGGATAGAAAGTGATATAAGGAACAGAGAGAGAAAGAGCTGAAAGGAAGCACCCAGATAGCCATACAATGCAGCCAAATTAGCCCCAAATGTGACTAGAGAGGACAGCAGATAAATGGTAGTGAAGAGGTACAAGAAGAAAAGCAAAAAAGACAGAGAAAGGAGAAAGGTGACCCAAGAGGGGAGTAGGGTGAGGCAGCTGGCAGCGAGCACCATCTGCCCCAGAGGGCACCAGGAAATGGGCTTGGCAGCTGGCTGGGAGCACCATCTGCTCCAGAGGGCACCAGGAACTGGGCTTTGCAGCTGTTCATGCCTCAGCTGCCTCCATGAGTTCCAGCTGGCTCGGCAGCAGGAGCCAGGGCAGCCTGCCCTCTGGCCACTCCCCTGCCACAGGCTAGCAGCACCCAAGTCCAGCCCAGAGCACAGGGAGAGTGAGCCAGGCTGGAGCAGGAATCAGGAAAGCAAACATGCCACCTTGGAGAGTTCACACAGAGAAGGCGGTCTCTGCCCTCAGACATACATGGGCTGATGTGCATGTGCAGGTACCCTTGAAAGCCTGCTGGAAACCAATGCACGAATGTGTGCACACATGCATCCATCTCCATATGCTTGGGGACCTCCCCGCATACTCTTATGAAAACTCCTGTCCTGACTACATGATGCATCACTTGAAGATAGCAAAGGAGGTCCAGGTGACCTCTTCCTGAAGCCCTAGCAGTTCCTGAACTTGGCTCTGTAAAGTCTCCCTTTTCTATCCTTGAATTTGCTCTGTGAGATCTTCTGGCTGGACTGCCTGGGCTGGGCTGGGTCAGTGGGGCTCTAACAGCCTAAAACCCAAAAGGCAAGGTCTGGACCACTGACACCATAAGTGCCGCTGAGAGTAAAGCTCACTGCGGCAAACCCGGCTCTGCCACTGTAGACCCTCACGCTTCGGGTTTGAGGTGTTGGGAGGGGTTGTCTGTGTGTTTGTGGATACGTGCCTTGGGTGTGTCCATATGTCTCTGGGTGTCATGAGGCATCCAGCAAGGTCATATGCTCGGCATGTTGAGCCAAGTAACAATTCCCCAGGTGTAAATGTGGGCCCCTGGGTGTCAGAAAAAGCAACTTGGTAGTCACCAGCTCAGATGCTACCTTGAAGTCTACCTGACCACATCTGAGAGCAGTCCCTCCTCATCTATGCTATATTCCCACAGCTCCTGGGCCGTGGACCACTTCAATTGGTTTATGATTCATGGTTTTGTACATACAAAATTATATAATGACATAATCAACACCTACTGCAGTGGAAAGAATATAAGGAGGGCCCCTGTGATCTCCACCTCCTGGCATCCAAGCCTTTGTATAAACCCCTCCCTCTGAATGTGGGCAGGGCCTGTGACTCGCTTCTAACTAACAGAACTGGCAAACGTGGTGAGGCATCACTCTCATGATTACATTATGTTGTAGAAGACTTGGCCTTGCCAGCTAACTCTAGAAATTCTCTTTGCTAAAGCAGGCAGTCATGCTAGAAAAGCCCACATGGCAAGGAACTGCAAGCAGCCTCTAGGAACTGTGGGTGACCTCCCACCAACATCCAGCAAAAAGCCCAGGCCCTCAGTCCCACAACTGCAAGAAAATCAATTCTGCCAACCACAGGAATTTGGACGCCAATTCCTCCCCTGCCAAGCCTCCAGAGGAGAACACAACCCGGTCAATATCTTCACGGCAGCAGCCTAAGACCCTAAGCAGAGAACCCAGGTAAGACATGGCACTGAAGTGTGAGATAATGCGTGTTGTTTTAAACTGCTGAATTTGCAGTACAGTTGACCCTTGAACAACATGGGTTTGAACTGAGTAGATCTGCTTATACTTGGATTTTTTTCAACCAAATGCAAATTTAAAATACAATATTCACAAAATGCAAAACCCACGTATACAGAGGGCTGGCTTTTTGTACACCCGACTTCCTCAGGGCCCACTTAAGTATGTGTGGATTTGGGTATAATGCAGGAGAGGGGGTGTGGTTATGGAACCAATCCCCCATGTATACTAAGGGATGACTGTAGTTCATTGTACAGTAATAGAAAACTAATACCCATGTACCCACCACTTGACACAATACACTTTATAATTGAAGCCCTTGTAAAAGTTTCCTCGGTTGCATTTCCCTTCCTACCAAACATTTATTAATGTTTTCTTAAGCATGTATCCCTAAATAATATCTATAATGTTGTTTTGTATGATTTTGAGCTTCATATTTCATTACAAAAATGTATTTATATTGTCCATGCTATTTGGTAGCAAGTCATCCTGACCATCCTGCCATTGTCTATCTTCATAATAAATGGCCATCCCTGATGTGTGTTCAAGGCCTCACAGTGCCCCCGTGAGAGCCAGCTCCTGTTGCTTTTCCCCAGCCTGGGGCATCAGCAGCTCCTGTTCATGACTTCACACCATCACAGAACCTTAGTGTCAGAAGGTACTTTAGGGGTCAAGTCCAATTCCTTCTTCTATTTTGAAAATGAGGGAGTCTCTGGTCCGGAGATATGAAGTGACTTGACTTGTCCAAGGCTCAAGGCAAATAGAAGAGCCAATACTGGGTCCCAGGCCCCTGTCCAGTGCAAGACTTCCTACACTGGGATCTCTGGCTGTCAGAGTGCACCTACTCAGGGGACAGTCTGATCATTCCATTTCACAGCTGGTGCTTTTGTCAAATTAGTCCTGATGTGAAGACCTAGACTCAGTACTTCTGGACTTCCATTTGCAGTGACTGTCTCACTAATGGGGCCACCCCACAGTATGAAGAATTCAACAGTTTTAGAACTGCGTCCAAGAGAGCTTACTGCATTTATTATGGCGTCAATATTTTTCATTTAGCAAAAGCAAAGTGGTGTTCAAGCTAAGTCCCAGATACAGAAATAGAAACTGAACTGGGTGCAGTGGCTCACGCCTGTAATCTCGCACTTTGGAAGGTCAAGAAAGAGGACTGCTTGAGGCCAGGGGTTTGAAACATAGGCCTGGTCAACATAGTAAGACCATCTCTACAAAAGAAAAATTAAAAAAAATTATCTGGGCATGGTAGTGCACACCTGTAGTCCCAGCTACTCAGGAAGCTGAGGTGGGAGGATTGCTTGAGCCTGGGAGTTCAAGGCTGCTGCAGTGAGCCATGATTGCACCACTGTACTCCAGCCTGGGCAACAGAACAAGACACTGTCTCAAAAAAAAAAAAAAAAAAAAAAAAAAAAAAGCTGACATTCTACCCCTGGTCCTTGCCCATTACAACATCACCTCTCCCAGCACAGAAGGAAGATTCCCAGAACCCGCCCATCCTGTCTGTTTACATCTCAACACAATGTCACCATGTCTTCCCTCAGGCACCTCCACTGGACTCTGCTGTTTTTCTGAGGAGGCGCAGCACTGCCCTCCACTTCCTTCTACCCATGCCTCTCTTCCCCAGTTTAAAATGGCCGGAAGCTTTATATGATAACTAAAATCTCACTTAATCCTGAACAAAGGCTGATGGAGGGGAGCAAGTCGGAGTGGAAGGAGGGGAGAGGACTGGATTTGCTTCTAAAATCAGCCGTCCGGGGTTTCTGGAGCCCTGGAACATTGAAAGCTTCTTCCACATCTGCAAGACTTCATCCTGACACACCACTGCCTGCCCCATCTTTCAGGACTAGTGGTAAAAGCACCACAGCTACCTACAAACACATCACCGCATCCTAATTACAGGCCGACACTGGAGGTCAGGGGTTTCCAAAGCCCCTCTGCTGCACCATGCTGCAAGGGACAGCAGGGGGCGCACTACTCTCGGTCCAGGAGACAGGACTCCTTGTCTACCAGCCTAAATCTCAGCACAAAGCCTGCCACATGGCAGGATGCTGTGGTCTGAATGCTGGTGTCCCCCAAAATTCACATGTTGAAACATAATCCCCAGTGTGGTAGTATTAAGAGATAGGGACTTTGGGGGAGTGATTAAATCACAACGGCTCGTCCTCATGAATGGGATTAGTGCCTTTGTAAAGGAGATTGAGGCCAGGTGTGGTGGCTGACACCTGTAATCCCAGCACTTTGGGAGGCCAAGGTGGGCGGATCACTTGAGCCCAGCAGTTTGAGACCAGCCTGGGCAATGTGGTGAAACCCTGTCTCTACAAAAAATACAAAAATTAGCTGGGTGTGGTGGTGTGAACCTGTAGTCCCAGCTACTCGGGAGGCTGAGGTGGGAGGATCACCTGAGCCTGGGAAGTCAAGGCTGCAGTGAGCTGAGATCGCGCCTCTGCACCCCAGCCTGGGTGACAGAGGGAGACCCTATCAAAAAAAAAAAGACTGCAAGGAGCCTGTTTGTCCTTCTGCAATGTGAGGAAACACAGCAGGCGTTGTCAGTGAGGAACAGGTCCTCACCAGACACCACATCTGCTGGCACCCTCCTCTTGGAAACCCCAGCCTTCAGAACTGTAAATGATAAATTTCTGTTGTTTGTAAATTACCCAGTCTAAGGTATTTTGTTATAGCAGCACAAACAGACTGAGACAGAGGCCCATATATGTTTATTGATCGAAAAGCAAAGGACTGACTAAATAGCACATGGACCAGGATGCTCTGCCTATTTCTATCAGAAAGACTATTTTGCCATGGACCAGTGGACTGAGGGGTGTTGGCCTGCAGGTGACCCAGGAAGAAGCTGGGATGAGAAGCTAGATTTCTCTGTGGATAGAAACACGAAGCTGGCTACTGGATGTGGTGGCTGTCCTGAAATGCCCCCAACATGAGCAAAATTGTTACCTGTAGGTAGGTAGGGGAGAGATGCCGTGGGGAGTTAGGGGAAAGAGTTTCTGCCCAAGGCTGAAGTTTAGAAAAAGTGCCTTCTCCCTAGCGAAGCAGAGAGGAAATAGGGAGCCTTCAACAGGTGCACTGGTACAGGCTTCAGTTTGAAATAGGGCAAAACTAGGCAAAGTGAGGGGTCCCATGGCAGGCAGCCCAAGAGCTAGTGTTCTCAACACAGATGAGATCCAAACCCATCGCTGGAGTATTAGGGGTTGATCCTGCCCCAGCCCCTCAAATACACTCCTAACTTCTGTTCTCTGATGACTATAACAACATCCTTTAGGGGACAATGCCTGTCACCCCACATTGAGAAACACAGCACTGAGTAAGACCATTCCTGGGAGTGGTGACAAATAGGTGCAAGTTCCTGCTAAGTTCCAAGTGACAGTGCATTCTCTCCTGCTTTTGAAGGGAGGAACAGGGGCAGGAGGGCCCTTGGGATGGGGGAAGTCGGTAGTGGGAGGTGCATGGAAGAGCAGACCAACTTTCCTTCTTCCCCGTTTGGGATTGGAGACATCCTCCCCTGCAGTGCTGGGGACAGACAGTGGAGGTGGCTGCCTCCCCTGGCCTGCTCTCAGCCAGCCCTGATACTCCCACTAACTAGAGAGAAAACAAAGGCTTCCCCTGTCCTTCATGCCAGCTTCTCTCAGTAAAAGGAATAAAACGGCCCACTTATTTTTATCGCTCACGGATTTCCTGGGAAATGGGCTATTAGTTCCCCTAATGTAAAGATAATAGGCTCATCTCCCTTGGCAAATGGTACAGCCCCAGCATGAAAACACTCACAGAACTGTCAAGAGGGCTCCCCTGCTGAGGATGCAGGGCCCAGGAGCAGGACCAGGACAGGAACCAAGGAGCAGGCTTGAGCCCCCTAAACCCCAGCCTGGGAGTGCTGGCTGCAGCCAGTGCGTGCTGGGTCCTTGGTACCCCAGGGAGAGGTCATTAGTCTCCTCAGAGCCCCTAGTTTGCTCTCTTGGCTGGGACAGTGGGTGGGGCACTGGGAAAGGAGCTGGGTCATAAGCTGAACGAGGTTGTCTTATTCTGCGAGGTGAGGGAATGACCACTGCTAAGCAGGCTCCCACAAACAGAATGCTTTCCACATCCATCCTTGTCACTGCCGCTGAGCCCACCACTAGAAGACATCCCTCCCAGTTGGACAGTCTTTGCCTCTAACCGTCACCAACACTCATGGGGTAAGTAGATGCTGTTATAAGGATGCCCATGCAACAGGTGGGAAACCTGAGCATCAGACAGGAAAAGCAGGTTACCCATGGCCACACAGCTGGACTCGGACTGGAAGAGAGGATGAGGGGCCCTGCAGGCCAAGGACAGGATGCTTCCTAGGGAAGGGGGCCCTGCTTGTTCAAGACATTCTCCTCCACCCCTTCCCTCCATCCCCATCACTCAGGACTGAAACTTTTGCAATAACAGCATTTCAGGGGCTTCAGCAGTGAATGGGGGACCACAGCTCCCCACTCCCTCCCACTCACACACAGAGTGTGGGGACTCCTCAGCCTCTGCAAGGGCCACTCTCTCACTCAAAGAACAGAGTAAAGGGCCTGGCTTTCCTCGTAGTCTGCAGGGGACTGGCCCCTCTATGCTGAACCCAGGGCCCCGTGAGGCCCCGTGCATTCAGTCACACACACTAGACTCTAGTTTCATGTCACCACTTTACTTTTCACATGTATAGCAGCTCTCTGCATCTAGGCTGCGTGCTCTGTGAGGGCAAGGATCCTCATTGACAGATACCATTTTTCCTTCCAGGGAGCCTTGGGCAGCGCTGGGCAGGTAATGTGAGCTGTGATACCTACTGACTGATCAGTCTGGGAGGGTGGGGCATGGCTCTGTTCACGCTGGCCACAGGGAGTGTATGACTTTGCTGAACTTTTTTTCTGCCTGAGGCTCAGTTTCCTGCTATTCTTGGTCTGTGTCTGTCTCCCTGAGGGCTCCAGGGCTGGCACCCGGTACGTGCCCTCCTCCCACTCTCACCTCTGCTGTGCCTGTCCCTTAAGCTGGAAGCACAAGCAGGAGAACAGCAGGGGCAGCCTCACCCAGAAGGCAAGGGGCAGCTACCTGACATTCCTCTCCTCTTGGCTGCTGGGGAGCCTAGGGGAGATGTCACGGTCTGAGGATGGAGGAAAATGAACTCACATTGTCTTTCTGTCCCGAAGGAGAAAGAGGGTCTGCCTAGAACCATGGAGACCCTGGGCCAGGGCTGCTTTCAGCCTGGGGAGCTGCTGGGTATGTGTGGGCAAAGCTGCCAGCACAGGAGGGGACTGTGGCCTTTGGGGCTGCCCTCCGGTGATCAGAACCCTTCTAGGGGAAGCATGGTGATGAGGGTTGGTTCACTCTGCATTTCAGAGGGAGGACCTCAGGCCCAAGAGGGGACAGGGATCCAAAAACCCTCCAGCTGCTTGGAAGGTTCAAAAAGGGGTGTGGACGCATCCACATCAGCAGGAAGTAGTAGGAAAAGTCACCAGGGAACACGTAAGGATGAGGCCGGGAGAATTTTAGCATGCAAATGGGTAGGATGGCCCGTTTACTGATCAGCTGCTGCCTCCTCCTTCTCCTCCATGTCACAGGAGCTCTGAGGCCGTGCCTTCGCCTCAAGCTCCCTCTCTCCAGCTGGCTCCACGTGAGGCTCCTCTGCCAGGAGGTACTGGGCCAGCTGCTCCAGGTGCTCCAGGCTTATCTTCTGCAGGCGCTCCTCGTGCTCCTGCCTTAGCAGCTGCAGCACGGCCTTGGCATCCTGTGGTTCAAAGTGTTTAGCTAGGACCAGTCCCAGCTGGTGCCACAGGGGCTGGGTCTGCGGCTGGTGGGCCTCCTTTAGCGCCATCTTCTCCAAGGGCTGCATGATGACATTGATAGAGGCATTGGGCCCAATGCAGTAGTCAGAGAGGTGCTTGTCATCCTCCAGGAGCTGGCCACGGAAAAGCAGGTGCTGCTGCTCCTCAGGCACCTTCAGCCGCCTGGACACCAGTCTCTTCAGCGTGGCTACACTCTCTTGCCCTGACACCTTCAGACTGCATCTCTGGCCCAGGAGCAGCTTGACTGTGAGGAACATCGGGCTGAGTGGAATCAGGAGGGATCCATGCTCTGGGAGCTGCCCTGAAGATTAGGGGGTCCTGCGGGAGATGTTGGCTTCTCCCTATCAACAAAGGGCTAGTAGTCCCAGGAGACCAGGGACCCAGCTTAGGCAGGCAGCCATTGGCTAGTGCACGGTGATGTCACAATGCTGCGGGGGGGCTCATTTCCAGAGTGGAACTTTTGGGACAGCAAAGGGGTATTTGGGCCCAGAGCATCCTTCCTCCACGAGAGGAGAAAAAGAGCACTAGGAAAGAAAATGTGGGACTGGGGGAAATGAGAGTGAGACTAGGGAAAGGGAGGGAGGGAAAGGACAGGGTGGTGGGAGGAGCATGTCTATTGATTTCTTCAACACATGTGTATTAGGTGCCACCTCTGTGCCAGCACCTGGACCTGGGGAGACAGTCATATTCAGATGGATGACTTCTGCCTTCATGACACTTTCACACTAGTGAGCTGGCTAGCATTTATCAAGCGTCCTCTTTCTGTCAAGCACTTTACACGCTCTTTTGGATTGGGCTTTCCAGCAGCAGACACTGAGACAGGGATTTGAGAACAAGTACTCAATTAGGAGGTGATCCCAGGAGGCACCAGGAGGGGAGTGAGGATGTGAGATGAGGACGGGAGGGAAATCAAAACGTGCATTCATGAGCAGGTTGCCATTGTGGGCAACTAGTATGTTATCCTGCTGGGGAGTTCTGGGAGGTTGCATGGAACACACCTGAGTTGCACCAGGTGTGGTTTTTTTGTTTTTTTTTTTGTTTTTTGAGACAGGGTCTCACTCTGTTGCCCAGGCTGGAGTGCAGTGGCATGATCTCGGCTCACTGCAACCTCCGTTTCCTGGGTTCAAGTAATTCTCCTGTGTCAGCCTCCCAAGTAACTGGGGCTACAGCTGCACGCCACCATGCCTGGCTAATTTTTGTATTTTTAGTAGAGATGGGTTTCTCCATGCTGCCCAGGCTGATCTCAAACTCCCAGACACAAGCAATCTGCCTGCTTTGGCCTCCCAAAGTGCTGAGGTTACAGGCGTGAGCCACCGCACCTGGCCGAACCTGCATCTTTATGCTCTGACTCCTGTCTTTGGCTAATAGAAGTGCTACCTCCTTGGCACTTCTGGTCCACAGGTGTTAAGCAGCATGCTCCTGTGACCACAGAAAAGTAGGAAGCCATCGGGCCCTCAGGAATGTGAGTGCTGAGGGGATGGGGCAGGACAGCCCACAGCATCTGCATCACAGGCCTGCCTAATTGAATCCTCTCAACCTATGAGGCAGGCACTGCCATGATCTCCATCTGCCAGAGGAGAAAGTGGAGGCTTGGCTGATCCTACAGCAAGCAGGCAGAATTGCTCTTGTCTTCACTGTTACCTCATGTTGCCTCCTAAACAAATCTCTGCTCAGTGCCTTTTGTGGCCCAGGCCCTGAGCAGGCACCCCCGGCTCAAAGGTGAATATGAAAAAGGACACTGATTGGGCCTCCTCTGTGTCTGCAACTTCTGCAGCATTTGGCAGTTTTCAGTGCAACACATTGCTGAAGGCCTTCTGGGTCAAGCCCTTTATATATGTTGTCACAATTTAGCCTGGGAGGAAAGTATTGTCTCATTTTAGAACTGAGCAACTTTGGAGAAGACCTGAATAACGTCTCGCAGCCAGTGGGCTGATTTTGTCAGGGATCCCCTCAACTCTCACCAGCTCTGTGCTCGACTGTGCCCTTCTTCTCACTCACCTTCTCCCTCCCTCCCACCTAACCTCCTTTCCTTTTCCACCTGCCTGGAAGCTACAGTGGCATGATGCTGTTGTCAACATCCTTGGACTTTCCTGAACTGCCCTTCCACAGCACCCAGCCCTGAACTCCGCCCAAAGGTGGCTGCAAGCTCTGTCCCTGTCTTTGGAAGCTGGCAGCCAAGAGCAGCTGGTGAAGATACCCATGGGGCCGGGCGCGGTGGCTCATGCCTGTAATCCTAGCACTTTGGGAGGCTGAGGCGGGCAGATCGTGAGGTCAGGAGTTCAAGATCAGCCTGACCAACATGGTAAAACCCCGTCTCTACTAAAAATACAAAAATTAGCCGGGCGTGGTGGCGCGCACCTAATATCCCAGCTACTCGGGAGGCTGAGGAAGGAGAATCGCTTGAAACCGGGAGGCAGATGTTGCAGTGAGCCGAGATCACTCCACTGCACTCCAGCCTGGGTGACAGAACGAGACTCTGTCTCAGAAAAAAAAAAAAAGAAGAAGAAGAAAAGAAATATCCATAGATGCCACAGACTCAGCAAGCCCTCACCCCTCACCCCAGCCCCATGTTCACTCTTGCCGGGTGACTCATATTCTAGTCCATAGGGAAACTAGAGCTCACAAGTCAGGAATTCCCTGACCTTCCGTCCCTTCCTCACTTCCTTCCTCCTCTCCTTTCCCCCACTAAATGAGCCCCCTTGTTATTTCCCTTCTTCCCTGAAAATGTCTCCGAAACCCACTCCTCCTCCTCTGCATCCCCACTGCCCACCGGTTCAGGCTGTCAACTCCCTCCAGCCCATAGTTCATCTCCTCCACCAGTCCCACCGCCTTGGGTCCATTCATACCACAGCCAAGGGGATCTTCCCAAAATAAAAGCAAGGTTGTGTACTCCTCTGAGTAACACCATCCAGTTTAGTTTCCTCTGCTTTTGGAATCAAAACTGACCTCCTTGGCCGGGCTCTGCTTGTCACCCAGCCTCGTGCCTCCCCACTTGGCATCCTCCACCGTAGCCACACCAGTCTGCGTTTCCTCTACTTGCTTGTCCTATTTGAACTCTTCCAACTCATCCTTCAAAAC
This sequence comes from Homo sapiens, assembly GCF_000001405.40. Taxonomy (NCBI): domain Eukaryota; kingdom Metazoa; phylum Chordata; class Mammalia; order Primates; family Hominidae; genus Homo; species Homo sapiens. Next base: position 110,109,713 of record NC_000001.11, on the reverse strand, counting down.
TCAGGTTAATGCATGCCTATAGTCCCAGCTACTTTGGAAACCAAGGCAGAAAGATAGCTTGAGCTGAGGAGTCCAAGACCAGCCTGGACAACATAAGAAGATCTTGCCTCTAAAAAAAAAAAAAAAAAAAAAAAAAGAAAGAAAGAAAAAAGAAAAGAAAAAAAAAAGAAAGAAAAAGAAAGAAAAAAATTCAGGTTGAAAATCACCTCCTCCATGAAGGCTTCTTTGCTCTCCCCAGCCCTGGGAAGAGATAATCCCACCTCCCTCCATGCAACCATTGCTCCCCTTGAACTTACTTACGTGAATGCATCTAGCACACCTCATTAGCTCTCAGAGACTGGGACTAGGTCTTCTCTGCCTTTGTGTCCCACGCTTCCAACACAAGCCTGGTACACAGAATGCCTTGAATACCCGCCTGTCAAATGAAGAAGATAAAATTGAGACACATTGAGCCATCCAGGGGCATGCAGGGCAGGTCCAGTGCAGCAGGCTGTGGAAAGACATAAACCCGCCTGCAGCCTCTCTCTCACCCCCACCTCCTGCCCTAGAGAGATGAAAATACAAAATTACATAAAAAATCAATCAGAAAGTGAGGCCAGTCTTTACCAAAGGATCTTCTATAGCATTTCTTTAAATAGCCAGCTCCCCTGGTGCATTTGAAATAAGATAGAATTTGTAAATGTACCTGTACATACAGTGTGGGGGAGACCTGTGGACTCTCTTACTGCAGGGCCTCTCTGCAGAGGGAGCAGGGGGATGGATGAGGTTTCTCCTTGGCCATGTGGGCACTCCCAGCCTCTAGAGGGGAGGACTCAGTGGTGGACAAACCATCAGATGGACAGGATTGGGGCCACACCATGGGAGATGTCCTGAGCAAAGCAGAAAGATGAAAATCAACTGCCTGCCTCCAGCATCTCTTCCTCAGACCCATCCACCCAGCCAGACACTGCCCAGGACACTGGAAGCCACTGAAGAAGACATATTGGGCCTGGGCTTCTAGAAGCACATGAGCACCACAGCTCAGGCTTTGTTTCTCCCAGACCAGCGGCTGCGTGCAGGCAGGGGCCCTTGTGACTGGGGCTTAGAGAGTCATATCTGCTGGGCCACACTTTCTAAACCAGGCTACCTGTTCTAGAGAGTCCTAGTTGGGCCATGAAGATAGAAGCTTCAGAATTAGTGGTGCCCAGAGAAGCCGAGAGAGATGGTCACTACCCAGCTGCTGTGTCTGTGCCCAGGAGACCCCATTGCCTTTCCTAAGGGGGACAGTGGGGGCACTTTGCTGGACCCTCAAATCACATTTGGAGCCTGGAAATTTTATGTTTTCCCATGTAATTGCTTGTGATAATTATGCAATTAGCATTAGAAAATGTAATTGTGTAATCGGAGCATGCAATCAGACAATGATTGCCATAATTAGGGGGGAAGATTATTGGGAATGAGTGGGTCTGGTGACTTGGGGAAAGGAATCAATGTGTGCAGACAGTGCTGGATAGTATTAGGCTATCTTGAAAACAACTGCAAATGCAATTTGTGTCACTGGGAAACAAGCACAATGTCCGGCAGGGAAGATGGATGGGCGTGGGAGGGTGCTTCGGAACAGGTCTGTGAACATCTGGGTTCCTCAGAAGCCCTTTGCAATCTCCTGAGCAGACGGACTGGACATTGAATGCTGAGGGTGTGAACTCCTCAGGATAAAAGCCAAGTGTCCAGCTGCCGGCCTGGGGCCTGCCTTGAGCAATCCTGTTCCTTGAGCCCCATTTTCCTCCTCTGTCTAACGGGAGTGTGGTCACTGCCCAGCCTCCCTTGCAGGGTTGCTGTGAGGGCCAAAATAGGTAGGCCATACCCCCAGGACCTCACACAGCATCCAACCCATGAAGACACCCAGACGTATAGATTTAATTGATAAATGTAAACGGCAGCTCTTACTGTCACCCCTCGACAGTGAATGAAGATCCCACTGTGCCTAGAACTGTGCCCAAAGTGTGAATCCCCACAGGCCGGGGTGGGCCCCACTGCTTGCACAGGTCGGCAAGCAGAGGCCTTTGCTGACTGCTGAGAGGGGCCCCAGGAGGTGGGAAGTTCACAACCACTCCCAGGGGCCACAGGAAAGGCTCATATAGAAGATAAACTATAGCCTCTGCCCACCTCACTCCCTGGAAAATGATGAAGTTATTGCACTTTAATGATGTCAGGCTGGCCTTCCAAGGAAGGTGCCTGGGATGGAGCAGAACCTGGGGAGACAGAGAAGGAGAGCAAAAGCAAGACAGAGAAACGGAGAAGGAATGGAGAATAAGAAAGCCGAGTGTAGGAAGTGCTTGGAAAGGGGTGAACAGTGGAAGGGACACAACGGAAAGGGGATGGGATAAAAAGTGCAGGCAGGGGAGCAGCACCAGGGAAGAAGGTAGAAAAGGAAAGAACTGGGGTGGGCGCGGGGTGGGAGAAGCAGGAGCATGAAGGGACAGTTCATGCAAACCAAGTGCAGTCAGTAGCGCTACAGGCCTCCCTTCTAAGAACACAGTCCTCCCCGCTCTCCTTACAGTCTGCAAATGGTTCACGGGGAAACTTTGGTAGAGAAAGTGGAATCTGGGAAGCTGAGAGCACAAAGCTGTGGTCCCCAGCATAACCTGCTGCCTCCAGCCCATATAGCCGCATCACTCAACAGTGTGTCTCGAGCGCCCATGATGTGCCTGCACCTGCAATGGTGAGGTGAAGACTGGCAGGTCACCAGACACAGCCCTGTGGCAAGGGCTGCCCCAGGCCCACCACTATGCTGCTGGAGACCCCACTCAGCCTGTGCCACCTCCTGTTGCTGTCATCAGGGACCTCTTACCCCTTTGAGGAAGAGGGCTGCTTTGTGCCCTGTCAGGCCTAGCATAGGACAGGACCGGCAGCTCTTTAGGTGGCCCCTGACCCAGGCTGCCCTCCATAGTGCCTGGCACATAGTAGGTGCTCAGTAGGTATGGCCCACTCCCTGCCTGTCATCCACTGGCTGGCATTGGCTGTCTCAGCAGCTGCACCAAAATGGGTTTGGGGCTTCTCCCATGAGGGCCCTAAAGCCTCCTCCCTTCCCGGGTCTCAGGGAGCCGAGGCCCAGGTGAACCTGAGCCTGGGGCCTGCAGGGCCAAGGAGCTGGAGCAGGAGGAAGGCAGCAGATCTCATGGGGCCACAGGAGCCCAGGGGACATCACTTACAGTCCCAGCCCTCTCTGGCTGACAGTGGGTAGTCCAATATCTGAAAGGCCTCAGTCCTCACACCAGACAACCTAAGTCCTGCCCTGTGCTGGTGTCCCAGAGCCCTGGAGAAGTCAGACACTGGCTGGGAGCAGATCAGAAACCTGGCTCCAGAGACCACATGGAACTCACAACTGCTGGAAAACCTCACCGGGCTGTAGCCTGCTGTGACCACTAGATGTCACTGGTGACCTCACCAGCCAGTCCAGCAGCTGACACCAACCAAGCCAGCCTGGGGCCTGGGCACAAGGTCTCACGTGGAGACCAGCCCCCTCCTCCTGCAGATCACCAGCCATACTCCTGCCCTCCTCTTCGGGGTCGTGGTCTGAGCACAGACATCGCCTGGCCCTGAAGCAGGAACAGGATAGTAAACTTTACTATGGAGGCAAAGAAGTTCTAACTCCAGCAGGAGGTGGGCCCTGATCACAGGCTTCACCTGGGAGGGAGCTTGGGTGGGTGTGAAGGAGGAACAGGAGTTGCCCTGATGAAGAAGGATGCCCTGACTGAGGGCCCAGCACACGCAAGTCCATGTGGAAGTGTGGGACTCGGTGAGCTGGAGTGCAGCAAAGGAGTGAGAGGCGAGGCAGTCAGGAAACAGGCAGGGCCGTCACCTTCACAGAAGAGCTCTTTCCTGGAGCCAAGACTTCTGCATCCCTGCAGGGCACAAGCACAGGAGTCCCCAAGGAGCAGCCCACAGCTATCACTCACTCTGTCTTACACACACATGCACACGCACACGCAAACGCACGTACACACATGCCCTGCTAACCTAAGCTGGGATCAGCAGGGGGCTTTCTTTCCCACACTGTCTCTGAGCTCCACTGGGGCTCTCGGAACACCAGGACCCCAGCCAGTGTTATGGTGCCAAGAGTGAGTTTCTCCCTCCCTCATGGCCTTCTCTGGTGTGCCCTGGAGGAGACACTGCCCATGGTGTGGCTGGTGGCCCATCATCTCTGTTAAGGGTGCTTTAATCATGATCAACACAGGGGCATCTCCTGTGCCCGTCTGCACTCTGGGCTGTGTGATTTCAGCTGGCAAAAAGTAGTCTGCTTCAACCTGTAGCTGTGGGACTGCCATGCATTTAAACATACCAAACAGGCTGGGCGTGGTGGCTCACACCTCTAATCCCAGCACTTTGGGAGGCCAAGAGGCAGATGGCTTGAACCCAGGAGTTTAAGACCAGCCTGGGCAACAAGGCGAAACCCCATCTGTATAAAAATACCAAAATTAGCAGAGCATGGTAGTGTGTGTCTATAGTCCCAGCTACTGAGGAGGCTGAGGCAGGAGGATCGCTACAATTTTATCATCCTGCCTCAGGATGATAAAAGTGCTGGGATTATAGGCATGAGCCACTGGCCTCCATGTGGTTCTTGAGTACTTTTTTCCCTTTTGTTTCCTCTTAAAGTGCTTCCTGAAAAATCTACAATTTTATCTTGGTTGCAAGAATAAGGAAAAAAAAAAGATTTCTTCCCATCTAGGCCAGATTAGATGGAGAAGCAGAGGGCCTCCTGGGCCAGGCAGAATGGTAGCTATATTCTGGACATTCTACAAAGGTCCAGCTGAGGGCCTAGACTTGGCAGGCACCCCCCCTGGGAATGGCTTTGATAAATGTTCCCCTTCCTACAGGGGTGACTGCTTCCTTGAAGATCTGTGTCATCAACCAGAGCGACAGGAACCCTCCACCACGTGGCAAAGATCAAACACGATGCATTAAAAGCCAGGACCAAGAAGGGGCCCACAAAGCCCTGCCCTGAACACCTCCTGCTCTTGCTGGTCTTGCAAGTCTACAGCCAGGTGTGGGTGGAGAAGCCAGTGGCCAATCTAAAGATGCTGCCACATGGATCGTGCAGGACCAGAGAGAGTCCTTGTTGCTCCTGGCGAGATACAAAGGCTGGTCTTTCACCAGGGCAGCTTGTGCTAGCCTTTCAGCCTGACTCTTGGCCTAAGGGTGCTAAGGCGAGTCCTTGGGTGAGATTCCTGCTAACAAGACCCCTTCTGTCAGTTGAGGAAAGCAGGCTCCTGCCAGAGAAGATGACATGGAACAAGCTGCATGACATCTGCCCCAGAGGAAGCCAAGACCAAAATGAAGGAACAAGGGAAAAAGAGTGAGAAAGCTGGGAACAGAGTAAAGCTGGGCTTGGGGGAACTGAGCTACCTGTAAGACAGATCTCTGTTAGGGGAAGAGAGACTAAACTACAGCTGAACAGAACAAGGGGCTAGTAAACTTGGATTTGACTTAGGCTTGATTAACCCCAAGGAAGTCCAGTTGGCAGGTGGGATGTTGGGTTAGGGTTACAGTTAGGGTTGGCCTATTATTTTGTTTGACTTCCTGCTCCTCTAGCTGGTAGCACTAGCCACATGCAGCCACTCATCAGAACAAGCTGGAGCCAAAAGCAAGAGGGAGAATATTTAAATCCAGCCAACAGCTGATTGGATGGTCCCATGAGCAGCATGGACTGTATGGAAAAACGGGTCCGATCAGGGGCTGCCTCAAGCTCCATAGCAGACCATCAGAACTACTTCAGTGGAGTCATTCCTGGTATCAAAACCCAAGTGACTACCTGTTGGACCAGCAGCCTCATATCCTAGCTGATGGCCATCCCAGGGGTCACCAATATGAGCTTCTGCCCTGAAGTGCCTCTTCCACTGCAAGAATATCACACTGGACTGACTACCTTTTGTACATTAAGTTTATTACCTAATAAATGCTCCTAGGACCCACAGACAAGTCACCCCATTACTTTCATTAACAGGGACCTGATTAAGAGTTAAGTGTCTTGGAAGGGACAGGACTCATGGTAAGGTGGGAAGTATAGAGCATCTGGCACCAGAATTGGGGGTGGTAGGGGCTGGCAAGAATGTTACGTGGGGTCTTTGCCCTGGAGAGAACTAGAGAAAGACAAGAGAGCCAGCTGTCAGCCCTGCCTCTCCTTTGGCCTCTCCAAAATACTGCCTCCCTTTGTCTCCCACCCAGCAGAAGCGTGGACCCCAGATTCAATAACTGCTGGCCTGAAGCTATCTCTGGCATTTGCAATTGGCCTGAACACAAGGTACTCAAAGGAGGCCTGAGAGGCAGTGGGCATGGGTCAGGTGATGGGTGGGTCTGGCTGAATTGAGGCTGAGGGCCAGTCCCACAGCCCAAGCTCTTGGCACCAGGTTCCTGGCAGGATGGCAGCTGCCCATCAACGCCAGACTCTGTTGGGAGTGGTGCATCTGCAGTGATGTCCCAGAGGCCAGGAAACAAGGTGGGAGAGTCATGTGGGGTGGCCCTGGCCTCCCTCCCTGCCTGCTGGTAGCCCAGTTGGGAAGGAAGAAGAGCCCTCCAACCAGGATGGGGCTGCAGGGAAACAGAAATTAGCACTCTGCCTCTGGGTCCTGACTAAGCTTATGTGCCAGGCATTGAGTCTTCAGAACTGGGACCCTCCAGCCCCTTGGCTGGGCAAAGGCAGTTGTCACGGCCAGACCGGATTCTTTACCAGACAGGAACCAACGGCCCTAGAATGGGATCTGGTAGGAATCACATAGGTTAACAGATAGGGTCTTCTGTCCAAGCTGCTTCAGGGTCTCAGAGTGGTCAAGGCAGGAATCTCCAGAGCTATCCAAAACCACCGTGCACCCCCTCAAGCTCCCACTTACACCTGACCCCTCCCCTACTTCTCTGCAAGGGGTGGCATCTGAGTCTGGAATGACTAAGAATTACATTTAGGGAGAAATTTCTGATATAAGGCTGGGGATGTTGCTTCCTGCAAACCAGAATAGGTGACTGGATGGTCCTGCCGTAGCCTAGACTGGGGAGTCACAGGCTGTGAGTCGTGGATTGTCAGAGACAACGGCGAGCTGAAAAAGCAACCCCCTACCACACCCATCAAGAAACTGGGGCCCAGAGAGGTGACTTGCTAACTTCATGCCTATTGGGGAGGGGTTTACACACCAGCAGAGCCCTGGGGAGAATGCTTTCCGGGAGAGGAGCTGGCCCAGAGCCCAAGGAAGTGAAGCAGGATGGCCGTGAGGAGCCAGGCATGGGGAGTGGTCCCCAAGGCCCCAGCTAAGTTTCTGGGCCCCAGATGAAGAGTGAATCGCTGGTTCTCCTTGGAGGGGAGTAGTCAGTCACCCTGTAAAAGTTTATTTTTATACATGTCTGATGTATTTCACATCCGCTCAGATATTTTGACACACACACAGGAAATGTAACTCTCCCCCATATGGCAGTGTTTGGTTGGCCGGACCTGGGGAAACTCAATAGGGTCACAGAGGAGCAGAGGGGAACTGCAGCATCAAGGAAGAATGCCAAAGGCCTGAGGCCATGATGGGCACTCCTGGCCGGCAGGCTGGAGACGGAGGTCACGGTGAGGCCAGTCCTCCTGCCTGGATACAGAGCCCTGTATCCAGTCTGGGACCCCAGACTTAGGAGGCCAAGTGTGGCTCTGGTTGCTGCTCCCCAGGAGGGAGGGGAGATCCCTATGAGGATGAAGAAGGTCCGGAAGAGCAGCCAGAGTGGGCCACCAAGGGCATGGGCTGCAGGACAGACAGAGACACGCAGGCCTGAGCGACAAAGACTGGGGCGCCTCTGACATCAGCTGGGAGCAGGGATTTTCTCCATGTTCCAGCATCCCAGGAGGAGGAGATCAGGGAACCTACAGCTCAGATGAAATAAAAGCACAGGGAAACAGCTCTGGGCTGGACCCCACCTGGCTGGAACTTTCCGCAGTTACCCAACTTCCTTGAGCCTCAATTTCCTCATGTATAAATTGGGGTGGATATGACCCAGCGGGTAGACCAGGAGGATTAAAGGAAAGAATGTATGTGCTGCTTCTTGAAGAGGGCTGATAAAGAAGAGGTTGGCAGGTGCCAGCTCTCCCCATCCTGAACTCTAAACTGGGGAGGATACGAGCATCTCCCTGGCAGGGCAGAGCGAGGGTGAAAGGGGGCCGTGTGCGGAAATCCCCCTGCATCCTGCCTGGCTCCGGGGGCAGCAGTGAACACTGGCACTGAGCTCAGTCTAGGAGAACCCATGGTCTGTGACACTGTGACAGGCCCAGTAGGGTGTAAGTGCAGGCTGCTGTGGAACAGCAGGGAAGGGCAGCTTCCTCCCATGACACCGAACAGGGAGGGTCCTCCTCTCCCAGAAAGAAAGTAAAATATGCAGCTCATAACTCCAAGAGGGAGAGTGGGCTGGAATAACACATTGATTGTGTGGAGCTTTTTCTTCTTTTTTTGTAATAGAGACAGGGTCTTATTATGCTGTCCAAGCTTATCTCCAATTCCTGGGCTCAAGGGATCCACCAGCCTCAGCCTCCCAAAGTGCTGGGATTACAAGTCTGAGCCACTGTGCCCAGCTTTTGTAAGTTTAAATTAATGGATATCACATTCTTACAGGGTGTCACGATGAGGCAGGTCGATGGATGGGCATCCCTAACTCACAGAATCGAGATGGGACTGACACCTGGTCACTCCCTGTGATCCCTTGGTGCTAGCATCAGGCACAGGGCACGGGAAAGACTTGCCATGGAACAGTTGGATTCTCCTAGTCCTGCACGCTTACAATGCATACGGTAGCCTGGCCTCCGCCTCGAGAGTTCTGCTTCTGTCTTGACACCTCTTTCCCCCTAGCTGTAGACACTGCTGGCCTGGAATATGTGCTTGCTGCCTTGGTCATGAACGTGGCCCCAGGGGGGTGGTTCAGGATCTTAAAGCATCAAGGAGGAGCCTCACAGTCCCTCCTTGGTAAATGGAGTGTGACGGCCAAGAAGTTACTAAGATATCCCCTTCCTCCCTTCTCCCCTGGAACCCAGAGAGTAGCAGCTCCAAAAAGCCCAGGGAGTGAGCTATATCTGCAGGTAGAGGCTGCACGTGGCTCACCTTCCCCCATTCCCCAGCCCATGTCCCTATAAATCCTGGCGACACAACAGGAAGGCCCTTTAACTAGCACATAAAAGTGCTTTGGGCTTTCAAAGACCCTCTCTGTTTACAGGGAGCCCAAGATTTTTATGGGCCATCTCTAGTCCCCCTTCCTCTGACCTGCTGACACATCTTGGTTTCCAGCTGTGGTATGGGGAACTATCACAGCCCAAGCCAAGTGCCCTTGGGGTGTGGAAGGAGGATGAAAGACCCCTGGAACTTGGGAGGCAAGGATGACCAGTTAGGCTGACCATGCATCCACCCGTTGTGGGCCCAGCATATGCTAGGGTCCCACTGATTTGCCCTCTGTCCTTCTCGTGGGGCCAAAAATAAGTACCCACAAAATTGTTATTTATCATTCAACTGATTTGCAGCCACAGTAGCTGTAGCTCAGTCTTGGAAGGTGCCCAGTAAACACCTCTGAACAGGTGGTGAGGGTCCTGTCCTGAGAGGTACACAGGCCATTCTGGAGGAGGCCAGGTAGGTGAACTATCAATGCCAGCATTTTCTTTAGCCTTGAAAGATTATGAATTTACAGTTCTATGAACCTACTATAAACCTACTGCCCAAGAGAGATTTTCCCCAGCTGGTCCTCTGATGCTAGCTAGTCCAGAAACCTCTCGCAGGGATCCTGACTCGAAGTGCAAGGCAAGGGTGGAGGTGGAGGATTGGAGGTGGGCAAGAGGCTGTTCCAGTGGATGGGGGGAGAAGAAATCTTATGTCCTGGTGGACAGGAAGAAATCCTAGCTCTGCACATTCCCAAGGCAGTCACTGAGGCCCCTCACCAGCAGTCCCCTCTCTTTGGGCCCCTTCCCATCTTTCTCCCACCACCCCCTCCCCTCTTCATCCTCTTATCTAGCTTGCTTTCTTCTCCTCCTTCCCTCCCTCCCTGCCGGCCCCCTCCCTCCCTCCCTCCCTTCCTGGCAGTTTTTCCTGTCCCTCCTCACTCTTCACTTTTCATATTCTTTAGTCTCATTCCTCTTCTCCTCCAAATCATTCTATTTTTTTTTTTAACTTTTCTTTTTCTCCTTTTCCTTTTTACTTGCTTTAACTATCTCTTCCCTCCTCTCTTGGACAAAAATGTCTCTTAAGGTTTCAGTTAGCAATGAAATCACACAATTTTAAGATCCAATCAATATGTGCCATGCCCAGTGTTAGGCACACTCATGCTTGTTATTATATTTTTAGAGAGTACTTTTAGTATAGTCTGCAATACGATGCAGATACTGTTCTTGGTGTCCACGCTGTAGGTCCATACTTCTCCACAATGATACTATGAGGTAGGTACTAATACCACACCCACTTTACGGTTGGTGAAACTGAGGTGCAAAGAGATTAAAGAATTTGTCCACAGTCACACAGCTAGTAAGTGGTAGAACAAGATTCAAACCCAGTCACTTGCTGAGCCTCCAGACTGTATGCACCATCGCACACCCTCTCCTCCAACTCAGAGGCCTGTGAGCCCTGCCTACAGGATATGAAGGTGTCCATGGCACATATCTGAGTCTGTGTGTCCTGAGGAACCCGAAGGCAAAGTGTTGAGGAGGGATGTCATGGGAAGGGGTCGACTGAGACAAGAAGATCCTGTCTTTTTCCCAGGCAAGAGAGAATAAAGGCCTCTATTGGGAGCCCCCACCCCTGCTGGCTGTTCCCAGAAAGGCGTGTTGCCCCCGCCTCTGGGAAAGCCCTAGAGAACTTCTGACCCTGCTACTCCCCTGACCAGGGAGCAGCAGCTGAGTCATACCCAGGGAAGGGCCCATCCACCTCTGCCCATCAGCACCCCACTTGGATCATGGCCTCCCCAATGCTGGGTACTTCCTGGCAGGTACCTGGCCCTGCCTCTCCCCTCTGGCATAGTGAGGAATGTGCTTCTGTCATCCTATCCTCCCTCTCCGACCCTAGCCCAGCACAGAATTGGATTAAGAACAAAAATATGAGCTATGTTTGTTTTAATCAGCTTCAAGACATGGGGGCTTTTAGAGGAAAGGAGAACAGGCCGGAGCTGGCCCCAGGGCAGGCAGGCTGGGCGGTGATGCCATCCTGGGGTCAGGAGCACGCAGAGCAGTGAGTGCATCTGCAGGTCAGATCCTGGGCAGATAAGGCTGGGGGAGAGGACCTGGGGCCAAGGGCGGAGGGAGGATAAAAAGAATGGGGAGGAGGGAGGGAAGACACGGGTTTTCCTGAGAGTCAGAGGGACCAGGGCTGCCCACAATCCCTGTCCTGGAGTGAGGCAGGAGGGGAGGTCACAATGGGAAGCCATGGGATACCCCAGGGGCCTAGAGGAGCCAGTGGAGAGTAATTTTCCAGAGGAGGAGATACCTCCTAGCCTTTGGAATGAGGGATGATGGGAAGGAGGTGAGGGGGGGCATCAACGATGGTATCCACCACCCAATGGCAGCCCGATGGCATCTGGACTCAAGCTCTGTGCCTAGATGTTCTGGCACCGAGAGGACACAGCTGAGTAAGCTGAACACACAGAATCCAGTGGAAAGCGGAAGGTGTCAAGGCCAGGTTGAGGGAACAAAGGCATGGTAGGGCAAGAGGCTTGCAGAAAAACTACATTCCTGGGCAGATCTCAAGCTGGATGAAGACCTGGAGGCTGTGGGGTGTGGAGGAGGGCTCTGAAGTGGGAGCCAAGAACCCGGGCCCCACCATCGACTCTGTATCTGCTGCTAGCAGTGAGTCTGTCACTATTCCTCTCTAGGCCTTGGTCTCTTCACCCGTAAGACAGAGCAGCGGGGTGTAAGCTAAGTGCTCTGGGATACTGGAACGTTCAGTCACTTCTTAAAGAGCCCCCAAAGCCATACATCTGTACATTTGCTACATTCATGGCTATCCTAACATTAGCTCAGTGAGCCAAGGAAAGGGACCCAGAGAGGTTCAGGGACTGGTCCAAGGTCACACAGCCAGTGTGAAAAGCAGCTGGTACAAATGCCCATATCCAGCCAGTGCCCCAACCCCCAGGGTGGAACGGCCTTGGGTTAGTGTGAGGGTCAAAGGATCTGGATAGAAACAATGATGTCATACAATTGAGGACAGAGCTCCTAGAGGCCCTTCCCGGAGCCCTCCATTCCCTTACCAGGCACCAGGAGAAGGGCCTGGGTTGGCTCTACCCATACCCCAACCTGACTCCAGTGCTCTGGGCAGCCCTTTCCCAGAGGGGACTGTATGCAATGGCTGGGGATCCCCACCTTAGACCAGAGCATGGGCTGCTTGGGACAGACCTGGGTCTAATTCAGGCCCACAGAAGTGTTTTGGTCCATGATAATGCTTGTACCAGTCTGAGGTGAAGCAGAAAAATAAGTAGCGAATCCTCTGTACAGCTACATTTTATGCGTTTTAGTTTAAAAATTTGAAATGATATCATTTCTTCTCTCTCTTTTTTTTTCTTTTTTTGAGACAGAGTCTAGCTCTGTCGCCCAGGCTAGAGTGCAGTGGTGCGATCTTGGCTCACTGCAACCTCTGCCTCCCGGGTTCAAGTGATTCTCCTGCCTCAGCCTCCCGAGTTGCTGGGATTACAGGTGCCCGCCACCACACCCTGCTAATTTTTGTATTTTTAGTAGATAGGGGGTTTCACTGTGTTGGCCAGGGTGGCCTCAAGACAGGCTCCCACCACCTAGGCTGGAGTGCAGTGGCACAATCACAGCTCACTGCAGCCTCGACCTCCTGGGCTCAGGTGATTCTTCCACAACTACGTTATTTTATTTGAAGACATTCTCATCTAGCATGAGGCACAGTCCAGAGTGCTGAGTGACATAAGTACTTAATAAATGTCAGGACCAGGCTGATGGAATAAAGGCCTGGTGGGGCAAGAGGCTGGGAGAAGACTGACATTTTTGGGCAACATTATACCTGGAGTCAGCGGGGACTTGGATTGGGAGCTCTAGAATCTGGAACCTCAAATGGGCAGGCCTGAGCAAATTACTTTATGTTTAGCCTCAGTTTCCTCTTCTGCAAAAGGAGGAGACAGGACTATAAGGTGACCTCTGAGATGAATCCCAGCAGCAGCATTCCACAGCTGAGCTCATGGAAAACAGGTACTGGACCCGTCTCAAGCACTGAGCACACAGCTATGCCCCAGGCAGAAGACTTCTGATGAAGGGAGGCAGGGGCCACACTTACTCAGCCAGCCTATGCAAGAGAAGTTCTAATAGCAACAACAACAAAGGGCCTGCCAACCAAGAGAAAAGAGCTAATCTGACATCAGCCAGGACTTGGGACCAGACCAAACAATGGCCCCTTGCCCACTGTCCCAAGCCTCTGGATGCATCTCCCAGTCCCTCCTGGCCGAGACCAGTCTCATTTCTCAGAGTGTCTCCTACAACTGTGAGTCATCTCCCCTTCCCACCTCCACCGTAGGTAAGTCAATCCAATCCAATGTAGCAAACCTTGACTTAGCCCCTGCTCTGTGCCAAGGGTGGGGGACACATGCAATATCTAGGAAAAGACTGAATATATTAGGGATACAAAATTTACATTTTGAATCTATGTATTCAGTGTATCTACTGCATCCAAACCTGTTAAGAGGCAATTAGACTAAATAAAATATCTCATTTGGGGTATGCTGTTATGTGTACATTGACAAATCTCCCAAGCTCACATTATTATAGGGTGAATGTTTGGCCCTAAAGCCAGCATTTTCTTCATTACAGCCTCTCTCTCCTCTATTATATAAGTTTTCCAGTCTGCTTCCCCCGCTACATTATGGGTCCTCCAAGAACAGAGATTCTGTCTGGTATATAGCACAGCTCCGGGTACAGAGAGCACACAGATGCAAAGGGAAAGGAAGCAAGGTAGAGATCACACACGAGTGTGACCAGCCTCTATGCTCAAGGACCAGTTCTTAGAAAGTAGCCCTGCTGACCTTAAGGGGGATAGAGAGGAGAGAGGAGACCCAGGCCCTCCCCGGGAGAAGGTGGGTGCCCTGCACAGATCTAGCAACTATGCAAAACCAAAGGCAGAAGATGTGAACTGCTGGTCATCAACGGAGCCTGAGATGAAGACACTTCCCCGAATGCTGGTGCTAGATTAGAATGGGGAGGGGAGGGGAGGGGAAGGGGTGAGGCCCTTCTGACTCCACCCCAAAGCAGCATCCTTACATCAGTATGGGGAGGGAAGGATGAACTTGCCCAGAGCAGGACACTGCCCACCCAGGCACTGTCTCCCAGATGTGAGTGTTTCTTTCCAGCCTTGGTCCAGTTATGAGGCAGGAAAGAGGTGTCTCTGCCAGGGTCCTTGGGTGCAAGAGGAGTGGGCACAGTGGTCTCCACTAAGCGTGGAAGGGGCAGGGGTTCATGGGGTGGGGGCAGTGGCAGTCCTCCCTGCCCCCTCGAGCTGCGCAGCTCTGCACTTTCTCAGCCCCATTCCCCAGAAACCGAAGGACACTCACTGCTGACACCATGGCATTGGGTTTCCCCTGGGCTGGCTCAGGCTCCTGTCACCAGGCATGGCAGGAAATTGCTGCTGACACCTGGGGAAAGGCCCCAGGAGTGGGGAGGCCAGGGATTGGGAAGTCTGAGCCTGTGAAGTTCTGAGTGAGTGCTAAGTGGGGCTGGAGCAGGGGAGATAGCTGTAGGTCTGAGAGGGATTCTTGCCATGCAGGCTGGGCCCCTGAGTCTCTCCATCCTCGTCCTGCCCCTCCTGGGATATCCCCAGGAGGCTGGAGAACCTTGGAGCTTGTGACCAGCTTGGCCACATGGGGTGAGTTGGGCATGGAGGGGAAGGGGCAGCATCATCTGAGGGCCCCAGGACTCCTCCACATCCCCACCCCCAAAGTTGTACAAACTTGCTTCTCAGCCTCCTTTAGGGCAAAGTCAGGGCTGCCCCATGCTTGCTGGGCCACGTGCACAATCAAAGGTCCCCCAGTAGCTTTAACCTGCGGAGGATGGTGTCTTTCCCTGGCCTGGCTCTGCGTCCTGGCAGCCTGCCCCGCGTCCTCAGCCTGGGTCTGTACTCCAGCCCTTTCTCTCTCACTTCCCCGCTGTCTCTCTTCTCTGGTGTATTTGTGACGATAAAAACATGCCCTGGCTCCCAGGCACCTCTGAGCATTTCAAAGATTTGGAGAGAAACTACAGAGGGGGTTGGGGGTAAATGGCAGAAGGTGGGGAGGGATCCTCAGACGGGGAATTCAGGTCACCCAACTGTTACCACCCAATCCCTGTTCTACACTAGGAAGTGTGTGTGCGTGTGTGCACATGCATGTGCATGTGCATGCATATGTGTGTATGCATGCTAGTGTGTGTGTGTGCACATGGATGGAATGACCAGGGACACAGAGCACTCTGGGGCTTTCAAGTGCAATACTTATAAGAGGCTGAGCCCAACCTGCTTGCAAAGAACCATCTGTGGATTTCTCTCCCGTCTGAACTGCACCCATCCCCCTAGATGAAAGCCCTCATTCCTAGGCTGTGACATCCCCATAGCTTTGAACCTGGACTGCCCCAAGCAGGAAGATGAGGAAGGTCAGAGGTAGAGGAATGTGGGGACGGGCCGCCAGATGGAGATGGAGCGCGGGAGGGTGATGAGCGTCTGAGTGAGAATGGGCTGGTTACAGTGGGAGTCCACCCAGGGACCCCCCGAAAGCGAAGGACAGTTCCTGGTACAAGGCTGGCAGCCCGGAGCATCTAACCTCAACATCCAGCAACTTGGAGCCTCCTCCTTAGACAAAAAAAGCCCAATCTCCAGAAACTCCAAGGGCAGCGATGCACCATCTACCACTGGTGGTCAACCCATCAGCAGGTGTTCTAAACACCTGCCACAGGCCCAGCGCTGTGACAAACAAGCAGGATTGTCCCCAAACAGCCCACCTCTCCCTCAATCTAGGAGACTAAGGAAGGTACTGCTGAGGTAGGCAGGGTAGGGGGTGAGGGCTCTAAATTGCTGCTTCCCAAATTTGGTATTAACAGATTTTTTTTTTTTTGAGACAGGATTTTACTCTGTCACCCAGGCTAGAGTGCAGTGGTGATCACGGCTCCCTGCAGCCTTAAGCTTCTGGGCTCAAGCCATCTTTCCATCTCAGCCTCCTAAGTAGCTGGGACTATAGGCATGTGTCACTATACTGATTAAAAAAAAAATTGTTGAGACAGTTGCAATACTATGTTGGCCAGGCTCGTCTTGAACTCCTGAGCTCAAGTGACCTGCCTGCCTCAGCCTCCCAAAGTGCTGGGATAACAGGCATGAGCCATTGCGCCCAGCCGAGTCCATGAAATATTTTAATTTTCTTTTCATTGAATCAAGCAGAAGCATTAAAGAACAAAAAAATTAAGGTACTTCAGCACTTTTTAAGAAAACAAACAGGATTAGATAAAAGACAGTCTTTCCCAATGTCGGTCAATAGTGACAGGGGTTAGACTAGGAGTTACTTTCAAGGGAACTGACTGAAGTGATAGGAGGCAGCCTGGGGCACATTGGCCAAGTTCTGGCTCCAGATCTGGGAGGTGGATACACAGATGTAACACATGCAGATATTTGCTGAGCTGCGCAGTTGGCATCAGTGCACTTTGCTTGCATAAGATGCATCTCAATGAAAAAGTAACTAGAGGCAGAAGTCAGACATTAAGCTCATGGACCCAGGAGCCATATGTCATGGATGCAAATTCTAGCTCTACCTCTTAGTATTTGTGCAACTTTGAATAAGTTACTTAACCTCTCTGTGCCTCAGTTTCTTCATCTCCAAAATGAGGATAATAATTGTACTTACTTGAAAGAGTTCTTGTGAGGAGCAAATGAGTTAACACATGTGAAAACCATCAAATAATGTTTGGCATGCAGTAGTTACCAGTAAGTGGTTCACCATTATTATTCATATTCCAACCAAGTGTAGCTGATGGGCAGAGCCATGTGAGGATCAGGGGAGAGTGGTCCAGGCAGAGAGAACAGCAGGACAAAGTCCCTGAGGTGGGACGGAGTGTCAGAGCTGCAGAAAGCAGCCAGCCTGGCTGGCTCAGACTGACTGGCATGTGCTGAGCCAGGACAGAGGTTGTGAGGTGAGGAAGGAAAAGCAGGCAAGAGTCATAGCATGTAAGGAGACTGGATTTTGTTCTGAGTGTCATGAGAAGCCACTGGGGGATTTTGAGCCAAGTGGTGATACAATCACATTTAAGTCTTCAAAAGATCACTCTGGCTTTGGTGTGTGGCAAATGGGGAGGAGCAGGGAAACCAGCTAGGAGGAATTTGGGGTAGTCCAAGCAAGAGATGGTGGAGACATGGACTGGACCAGGAGGGCAGCAGAGGTCAGTGGATTCTGGATATTCTGGGAAGGTGGAGCCAACAGGACAGATGATTGAATTGGATATGGAGTGTGGGGACAAGAAAAGGGACATGTAAGCTTTTGGGCCTGAGCATCTGGAAACTGGCAGTGCCTTTAACTGAGAAGTGACCTGAGAGAGCAGCTGGTTTGTGGGGGAAATCAAAGTTGCTGCTTTGTTTGAACAGGTTAAGTTTGAGATGCCCACTAGGCCTGCAAATGGGAAGGACCAATGGACAGCTGGACACTCAAGCCTAGAAGGCAGGGGAGCATGTGGAACTGAGAAAATCATTTAACAACTGTCCACAGAGGAAGCGTTGCTTGAATTCCCTGCATGTTCTCATGCTTGGGGTTGTCGCACAGTCATTTGGGAAAATTCTCTGCAGCTCCACTGAGGAATGTGGAAACAATCCTTCTAGGGTTGCCTCATTAAAGATGGAATATTCTGGGCAACATCAGCACCCCCTATCTCCAGCAACTCCATTCGTTTTCCCCTTATGGGTTGCAGAATGTGGCTGCAGTGAGCAGATGTCTGATGGCAGGGTGCTCTGGAGAAAGGACAGTCAGGAATGAGCTGAGAGGGACACTTTAGGTCAGTGGCCAGGGAAAAATTCCTTGTGGAGAGGCCCAGGGAACCCCTCAGTAACCCTGGGCAGAACTTGAGATAATCTTAGCTGGCACCCTAAACACAGAGTGAGAAAATCATTCTTCTCCCGTCCTCTTTCCTGTCTGATTATAATGTGCCCTTTAAATGATAGCTACATCTGGTCACCAAAGATATGGCACATGGGTAGGGAAGAGGTTAACGTCCCTCTAACACTTGGTAACATTCCTGTTTAAGAAAGCAAACCTGAGACTAAAAGGCTTCCACAGGCATCTCTAGCTACAATATAACATTACTATGTTTCATGTATTTTTATAGCTACTCTGTTAATAATGACTGTTAATAACTACTGGTGTTCCATTTATAGTAAGGATGTAAATTTTCCTTTAAAAAGATGTGTGTGTGTGTGTGTGTCTGTGCATGAGTTAAAGAAAAATGTTAATGATACAAGTGACACTCAGATGTGGCAAAAATCATGAAAATTACTCAAGTCACTAAAGTCTGAAAAACACAGCTCTAAAAGATGCTAAAACAAAAATATGAGCTCTGCCTGAAATCCCAGCACTGGAAGGCCGAGGCAGGCAGACTGCTTGAGCCCAGGAGTTCGAGACCAGCCTGGGAAACAAAGTGAGAACCCCGTCTCTACAAAAAATACAAAACATAGCCAGGCATGGTGGCACGTTCCTGTAGTCCCAGCCACTCAGGAGGCTGAGGTGGGAGGATTGTTTGAGCCTGGGAGATGGAGGCTGCAGTAAGCCAAGATTGTGCCACTGCACTCCAGCCTGGGCAACAGAGTGAGACCTTGTCTCAAATATATGTGTGTGTGTGTGTGTGTGTATATGTGTGTATATATATGTATACACACATATATATACACATATATATATGAGCTCTGAGCCTCATATTCATATACAAATCTCATAATCACTCAAGCCACCCTAAGACCAAGGATGGAACATCCCCCTTCCCTTCACAGCTCCCTGCAGGCTGCAGGTGGATAACTTGCCCTCTTCCAGGCCACTTTGGGATTTGCCGTGCAGGGATTTCACCAAAGGGAAAAGTTCTCTGATAATTCTTACCATCTCAAGGCCACAAAATTGATGTTGTTAGCAATGGTATCCCTCTAAATGCTGCAAATCCATGAAATGACTTCTGAATCAGCAAAGATTACTGATTACTCTTTTAAAGAATAGCTGCAACTGATCACATTCTGACGGGAGTAGAAGTTCTGGACAGCAGTGTTCCCAGATGGTGCACTCTGCAAAAATGAGTGGGTTTTGGCACGTTTCAGTGCCTGGCCTAGGGCCGACCCTGAGGGGTCTCTGAGTCTTAGGTGGTCCACACACAGAATTGCCTGCCAGAGTCAGATGAGTGCACCCGTGTGGGGTCCACAGACACAAGCAGAGACAAAAGCTCCGGAGGAATGAGGTCAGGAGATAATCAGATGCGACTCCTGCGGCCTCTCCAGGACCCTGTGGAAGCCCCCACAGCCCTTCTCAGGAGACCTTTTGGCCCAGCAATGTTATACCAAAAGTAGGAAGTGTGGGTTCTGGGTTCTCAGCACCTCCAGCTGCAGCTGGGCTGAGGAAGGCACAGCTGTCCTGCCTAAGGCTGTGTCTCTTGTGAAGGAGAAACATCCGGTCAATTCCATCAAGAATGTCAGTCAAAATCCCAGGGAGGGATCAGTCAGCTCAGCCCTCCTATCCAGCCAGCTTTTGTGCCCTGGGAGCAGGCCCCTGGACTGTCCTCAGCCAAGACAGGAGAGGCCCATCTCCCAAGGGCTATGGCCTTGCTGCCCCTCATCCCACACTCCTCTCCCACCTAAAGCTTCGGGCTGGTAGCCTGCAAGTGAGCAGGGGTTGATGCAGTGGTGCACAGGCCCCCGCAGGATATGACCCAGGATGTGAGGACCCGCAGGCTGGAGGAGAGATATGCAGAGGTGAAAGGGCAAACCTGTTTCCAGTCTCCTTATCAGGAGTAGCCGAGTGAAAGGGAAGTGGCAGCCCCGGAGGTCAGGCTGGGGGGTTGTGGCTGGGGCAAGGCTAGGCTAGGTCTCCTGAGAGGAGACCCCGCTGGGCAGGGAAGAAAGAGAAAGGGGGTGTGGAGGAAGGGCCAGGGAGGGAAAGGGCTGGGAGCACTGACTGTATGGCCCATTCCCAAGGGGAGGAGCAGCAGGGTGACCAGCCACCCAGGCTTGCCCCAGACTGAGAAGCCTCCCAGGACACAGAAGTTCCCATTAAATACTGGGATGGTTGGTCACCCAGGAAGCAGCCCTGGCTAGGGGACTGTCAGAACCCAGCCACCTGCACCCCCTCCAGAGTCCCAGGCTCAACCACCACCTTGTCTCAATGCCTTCTTACTTCTCCCCCTTAGTTATTCATTCAGCAAACATTAACAAAATGCCTACTGTGTGTCAGGCCTGCTGCCAGGCTCTGGGAATTCAGCAGTGAAACGACAGGCATGCTCTCTGCTATCCCAGAGCTTGGAGATTATGCTTCCTTCAAAGCCACAAGGGACACTTACTCCCCTGCTGCCTGCCCCACCAGCCCATCCCCCGGGGCATGTTTCTAGGGAGCCCTCCCTCAACAGTCTTAGGTGGTCCACACACAGAACTGCCTGCCAGAGTCAGATGAGAGCACCCGTGTGGGGTCCACAGACACACGTGGGGATGGTGTCTAAATCACTGTCCCACCTGCCATGGTGCCTTGCATAGGGCCCTGTGCAGGGAGGTGCTTAATACATGTCTTTTGGTTGAGGAGCTAAGGTGTTGAGGGCCAGCTGGAGATGGGGGTCCCTCGGTCACCTGTCAATGCTCGCAGCCTCCCGCCACCACTGCCAGCACCCACCCATATGCGCAGGGCACGCCTCATTGTCAAGCAGCATTCTCCCTGCCCCAGCACAGTGGGGCTGACCTGTCCTCTCCTCAGCTGGGGAAAGTAGGCAGGCCTGTGGGCAGACCCCAGTCTAGCGTGGGGGTGGGGGTCCCCAGGATGGAGGAGTGGGACAGGAGCTGGTTTGTCTTCCCTGAGCAGAGAGGCCTTGGCCTTGGGCTCCAGCATCCTGTTCCCTCAGAGGTCCCACATGAAGAGAAGCCACAAGAGTCAATATGCCTCATGTGTGCCTGGGGGCTTCTTGCGGAGGCAGAGCCAAGCCTAGGCTCCTTCGGCCTCGGTCCTTGCCAGTGGAGAAGCCAGTGGGGACCCTGGGCAGAAGCTAAGTAGGTGAAACACACAGAGACGTGCTGTGGGGGCAAGG
The DNA here is from genome assembly GCF_000001405.40 of Homo sapiens. Classification (NCBI taxonomy): domain Eukaryota; kingdom Metazoa; phylum Chordata; class Mammalia; order Primates; family Hominidae; genus Homo; species Homo sapiens. The sequence continues at coordinate 110,088,481 of NC_000001.11, read as the reverse complement.
AAGTGGAGCAGTGCTGGAAGAGACTTGGGGTTCCAGCTACAACTCCAACAGACTCCTCTCCCCAGTTAAGGAGTAGGGGATTGTATCATTGAAGCCACTGAGGGACCATAAGCTTCTTGCAGGTGGGGGCCACAGGGCAGTGCTTACAGTAAGCTCTCCACCCTTTATGTGGAAAATAAGCCTGGCCCTCAGACAGCAGAGCCCCATGTTTCTGTCCTGCACCCTGGTGGCGTTTTATCATATTGCAACTCATGGGATATTACAGAAGAGGGAGTATGAGCTCAGCCCAGTGGACGCCCGTCTTTGGGGTCTGGCTTTGAGATATCATTAGGATGGGATTCCTGAGTGTTCTGGGAATAGCTGGAACCCAGCCACTCCCAACCAGCTGGGGCGTGGGAGAAAAGAGCAGGACTCGGGAAGACCATGCCAGAGAAAAGGGTAGCATGCGATCCGGTACACTCTCTATCCACAGGCCACAGACACACAGGAAAGGCACAGAAGACACCCTGGGACAGGGTAGGGGGACGTGGTGGAGGGCGGGAGGGGTAAATGGAAACTCAGGTGTCCAGAATTGGATTATGGCTTAATCATAGTCTTTGGTTACTGACAGGCTCTCAATCTTTCGTTAAGTATTCACTTAGGTAGTTTTCATAGTGCACAGGCGCCTGTGAACCAGGCATTATTCACTTAGCTTTCATAGTGCACAGGTGCCTGTGAACCAGGCATTATTCACTTAGTTTTCATAATGCACAGGTGCCCGTGAACCAGTGATTATTCACTTAGGTAGTTTTCATAGTGCACAGGCGCCCGTGAAGCAGGGATTATTCACTTAGTTTTCATAATGCACAGGCCCCTGTGAACCAGAGATTATTCATTTAGTTTTCATAGTGCACAGGTGCCTGTGAACCAGGGATTATTCACTTAGTTTTCATAATGCACAGGTGCCTGTGAACCAGGGATTATTCACTTAGTTTTCATACTGCACAGGTGCCTGTGAACCAGAGATTATTCACTTAGTTTTCATACTGCACAGGTGCCTGTGAACCAGAGATTATTCACTTAGTTTTCATACTGCACAGGTGCCTGTGAACCAGGGCTTTTCCTTCTTTCACTCTCTCTCTGCCACAAAACCACCCTTTTCGTCCAAAGGAAACTCCTCATGGAAACCCAGTACATGAAAAATGAAAAAGTGAAACTGGTCTGGCTGAAGTGGAGGTGGGGCCTGCCCACTGTCTACTTGGCCTCCCCGTCCACTGCCCCAGCAGCCCTGACTAGCCCCTGGCAGATTTGTGGAATGCGATCTACACCATCAGGAGCCAGGAAGGCAGGAATCTGTTTCCTCCATTCCTATGCCCAGTGACCAACACGTGCCCAGTTTGGTTACTCATTTCAACAAATGTTGGGTGAAATGTACTGAAGGAGATGAACTTGTTCCAACCACCACTCAGGTCAGGTTTGGGGAGGGGGCACTAGAAAGTGTCTCTGCCTCAGGATATCCTCCCCATCAGCCTACCACAGTGTCTAACATTCCCCATCACCATGCAGCCTAACCCTGCATGTCCTTCAGGACCCAGAGCAAACACTACTTCCTCCACACAGCTTTCTCAGATGTCTCCAGCCAGAGTCATCTCATTGCCCTTGAACGCTGTAGCCACTTGTTTATCTCTCTCTCTCCTGCATCCTTCACACTCACTCAGGCTTCTGCCTAAGTTCCTGACATACATGTCTCATTTCCCCAGTGGTGTAGACACTGCACAGCTCCAGGGTGGGAGATGTTTAACTGACTTTGGCATCCATCTCAGTGCCTTCCCATAGTAACGTTCCATAAATGTTTGAGGAAGAAAGAAAGGTCTTCTGGTGCTCCTTAGGACGCCGCTGTGTCTCCAGGAGAGCAGCTGGAACCAATTTGACCTACTATGACATTAGCATGAAGTTTATATACTGCAAACTGTCACCATGCAGAAAGAATAGAAGGGGATCCAGGAAAAGGAAGATTTGGTGAAAAGAGACATCTAGGGCTCCAGTGGTACCACAGCTGCATGCACAGGATGGGTCTCTGGCCCTGTGAAAGAGTCAAAGTGTGGCTGAGGAAGAGCTGGCAGTAGGGGTGGCAGGAGAGACGAATGCTGGAGGAGGGTCTCGTCCTGCAGCACTTGAGTTTGCCTCCCCACGCCTGTTTCCCGTGCCTGGCAGGCTGGGACAGAGGGAACTGGTTCCCTTTTTCTCCCCCAGAACATCTGGGGCTACATCAAACATAACAATCTGGTAGAGAAAATTGTTATAGAAATATGTAACTGTGAGACGTTATCAAAGGCGTTTTTAAAGTCCCCTTCCAACCCCCAGCCGGGTGGAGGGGACTGGAAATTAGAAAACTGGGAGACGATTACAGGACCATCAAAGTGGCCGAAATTCAATCCAATCTTCAGGTTTAAGTATGGCTAGCAGACCCCTGCCCCAGCCCAGAAGGCTGCAAACCCACTGTTTAAAAACCAAATCAACAGCATCATCAGATCCAGGTCTGGAGCAAACAAACGGCGCCCACAAAGGCTTCCCTGGATTTTCCTTGCACTGGGGAAACCTGAGAAGCAAGGCCCTGGGGAGGTGCCTGGTCGTGGGGAGGCTCCCAGTTTCCAAGGCTTCTATACTTTCCTCCCTCCCCCTAGTCTGGGCTGGGGTTCTTTATCTCTTCGTCTCTCTTGATGCTTTTCTTCTCCCACATCTTTTTGTACCTACTCTTTCTCCTTCCATTTGTCTCTTCTCCCGTCCTCTCTCTTTTTCTAACAGTATTCCATCTCTTTCTGTCCTTTTTCTCTGTACTGTTTCCCTCTCAGAATCTTTTATTTTGTGAATTTCCATCCCTTTTGTGTATTTCAGCATTGTGTCTGTCTTTATATTTTGTATTCTTTCTCTCTCAGCAAGAATCTTCTTTCCTTGGCCTCTAACTTTTCTGCCCTTTTTCTGCTTGTGAATTTCCTGCAACTTCAGACTGTGGAAGTGGTGAAGGTCCTCTTCAGCTGGTTTATTTACCAATAGGAGTCCTGGGTATTTTTCCCAGGTGTCCAAACATGAATGACCCTCTATGTCCACCCATCTAGGGACCCTTCTCCCAAGGTCCATCACCAAGAACTGTCCAGTGCCTCGTTATAACTGTGCCAGCACATGCAGGCACAGAAAATAGACATGTGGTCTTACCCATGAGCAGGCTCTGCAGGCATGGAAATTTGTCTGGAGGGGTGGAATTCTACAGGACATAAAACTGATAACACGCAGAAAACGTCCACAACTTACAACTCTTTTTTATGTGGGATGAAAGAGAATATAATTTTGCTACTAAAAAATTCTCCTTGTTAATCCTCAAGATGTGAGGTTTTATCTCCACTCACATTTCTCATGGCCATAACCTTGAAGGCTCTGTTAGACTGCAGGTTTATAATTTAAAGAGAGCCCACTCGCACATCTGACTGGAAACCCAGAGGAGTTTCATCCCGTCCTGCAAAAGTTGTCGGTGATCACGCGGTGTTAGAAGAAATCTCCATTTCGAGTCATTCGCCTTGAAGAATCATTCTGAGAAAAGAAAGGGAACCAGCACGTATGTTTTATCAGAATGGCCTTGAGAAAACGAAAGCACACGCAGGCACTGCGCCGCACAAGCCCAGTAGGGCGCGGGAACCCGATGGAATGCGGAACGTCGCTGCTCGGCAGCTCCCTACGGCTGGCGGCTGCGACCCGCGTGGGCCGCGAGTTGTGGCGGCGGGTTCCGGGGCCCCCCCACAGCATCCGTCCTCTTGTCCCACCGCCCGTCGGACAGTCGGTCGGTCTTTCGTGGCCCCGCGCGCCCGCGCTCCCGGCTCGTGCGTTTCCTTTGCTTGCTGCCTCCGGCTCCGCTCCCCGCAGGCCTGGCCGCGCGACGGGCACCCAGCGGGTTGTTATCAATTATTCAGGCCCCAAGTTCACGGGCACTGCATCCATTTCCCTCGCGTGCGCCCGGGGCCAACTCAGGCCGCAGGTTGCGATGCTCGAGCCCTTGGACCCGGCTGGAGAGAAGAGCGCAGTGAGCGGCAGCGGGCTGGACTCCTGGGGCTTCCTGAGCCCCGAGGCCCCCCAGCGATCTGGGAAGAAACCAAACGCCTGTTCCCTTTGATCTGGTTTTATAGAGACTTGAGGTTGACAATAAACTTTGCATGCTTACTAGCTATTTCGATCTTTTATTCCCATTTTGGGAAGGAGTCACCAACGCGGCGAACAATCCCTGCGGGCTGGCAAGGGTGTGCGGAGGACCCGTGCACGGGGATCTGCGCCCGGCCACGCGAGGGTGCGGGGGCGACGCAGGACGCACCCCCTTCCCCACATCCACGCTCAACTCCCGCTCGCCCCACATACCTCTCTCTCCTTCCCCTACACGCGCCCCGGACCTTTCCGCAAAGCGGGAGCGGGAGGCCGAGGAAAGGTCGCGGCGTGGCGGGGAGACTAGGGCGCCCGGAGGCACAGGGTGCGAAGCTGGAGAGGAGCTGAGAGCCGCCGCCACTGCCGCTGCCGCGCCTGGACCCTCCCTCCGCAGTCCCCGCACCCACGCCGAGACTCAATTACTTTCAGGTGTGGACCATTTAATAAAATAAATCTTCCGGGGCAGGAGGCAAGTTTTTAGGGGCCAAACTCAAAGCAGCCGATTTCTAATGAATAAAGAGGGGCTTCCCTAAAATATCATACGGTTTTGGCGGAGGGGGAACCGAAGTTGGGGAACAGGGAGTGTCTCTTCCTGAAGTGATACTGTCATTGGCTGGGTGGAGAGGCCCGGAGAGACTTACTTTCTGTCGCTTTCTGACTCTCCTTGTCTCTGTCTCCAGCCATCTCTGTTCTTGAGTACATCAGAATGGAATCAACGGTTTTTGCATCGAATCACCATTAAACCAGCCAGATCCTCCCCAAGCGGAGACCCAGTGAAACTGAAAGCTCTTTCCCTCACCTCTTTCTCTTTGTTTCTCCTTTTTCTCCATCATCCATTGCCCAACATTCTCTTCATCTGAGATTTCCAAACCCGGCTTTGCAATACTCCAGGGAGACTCCAATTTACTCTAGGGCTTTGGGAAATGCTCAAAATGAAATAAACTTTAATTGACTTTAATTATTTAACTGCAAGTTATAGACCCCTGATTGGTCAGGGGAAGCAGAGAGGATGTTGGTGAATCAAACAAACCATCCCAGGATGTCACAGCTCCCTGGAGGTGAGGAATGCTGGCTTCAGCATTTCGGGGCTCAGGAACGAATCTGGGCTCCGGAAGAGAAAACCAAGTTCCCAGGAGAGTGGGGATTTGATTTCTTAAGGTTTGGGGTCAAGGAAGGCTCTCACTGACAAGAGGGACTGGACACTCTGTCCTACCCTGGGCTGCCTCCCACACCCCCTTGCTAACCATCTCCATCCCGGTTTTTGGAGGATGAAGGGAGTGGGTTTCTTCCTTCCCACTGCATGTAAAATCCTTCAGTAAGGTCTAGTGACACTGGACAAACTGCTTCCTTCTCTGTTTGCTAGAAAATTCAGACCACAACACAACTTTTGTATGAATTTCCCAGGAATCGGAGCTGATGTAAACACAGTCTATTATGGTTCTGCTCTTTTAGAAGAGTTACTCACCCCAAAGTCTCAGAGGGCTCCTTCTGCCTCCTCACACGGCCAGATCTAGGAAGCTGGTGGAGGGCAACTCACTCTGATGCAGCACCTGACAAGGGCCCACATGTTTCCCGTGCAGAGAACAAATTTGCCCCATTAAAGCGTTACTCTGTTGGGGAAAAGACTGATGCAATATTGGAAACATGCTGGGCCCACTGTGAGAGCCGGAAGAAGAGGCAGATCTTCCCAGGAAGGCAGCAAAGGCCAGTGGGCGAAACTATTCTTGCCACATCCACCCTCACTTGGCCTGGTAAATTAAGGGAGGGATTATTGACCAAAACATCTGCACAGAGCAAGACTATGGTGCTGGTGGTGTCATTACAGGGAGGGCATCTGGGGACAGACAGGGGAAGATGGTGCCAGTGTCTTGGGGAGCAGCCAGGGGAGTGTGACTTGTCCACCTGAGCTTGGGGCCAGACTGGAAAGGGACCATGTAGCTACCAAGTCCACTTCCAAGAGCCTGAACTTTAATGGAAAATAATTCCATAGTTTGGGTCCCAGCGACACTACTGATCTAAGTAGCTTATTAACAAATGGAAAATATATAAACCACACAACAATTGCCTCTAAGAAAAAATGTATTAAAATCCCCCCAAGTTATTTGCAAAATAAATAGCTGAGACCATATGGGTGAGGGGGAGAGTGGCTGTATCCTAACTAGCTGTGTGCTCTTGGCAAAAGTTCCCTCTCTAGGCCTCTGTTCCCTCATTTCTAAGTGAAGATGGCAAACTAGATCAGGGGTTCTCAAATTTTAGAGTACATTAAGATCACCTAGAAGCAACTTGTGAAAACAAGGATTGTTGGGCCCCACCCCGAGAGTTTCTGATTTAGTAGCTCTGGGGTAGGGCCCAACAATTTGCCTTTTTTTTTTTTTTTTGAGATGGAGCCTCGCTCTGTCACCCAGGCTGGAGTGCAGTGACAAGATCTCTGCTCACTGCAACCTCCACCTCCTAGGTTCAAGCGATTCTCCTGCCTCAGCTTCCTGAGTAGCTGGGATTACAGGTGCCTGCCACTGTGCCCAGCTCATTTTTGTACTTTTAGTAGAGTCGGGGTTCCGTCATGTTGCCCAGGCTGGTCTATGAACTCCTGACCTCAAGTGATCCACCCACCTCGGCCCCCCAAAGTGCTGAGATTACAGGTGTGAGCCACCACACCCGGCCATAATTTGCCTTCCTAACAAGTTCCTAGCTGTTGCTTCTGCTGCTGGCCTGAGGCCTATACTTTAAGAACCTTTGGACTCGATGATGTTTAAGCTCCCATCCAGAACCAACATTCTGTTCTATCCCATACTCCTATATTTCCCCTGCACACCCTAGAGTGTTTACAGCCAAATACGAGAGGCCGATGTTTTTACACCCAAGCTTGTACCCCCTGTCATCAATGCAGAATAAATCTTTCAGCTGGCCCACAGAGACTGGTCACCCTGCCCACTGAGGGATTCCTGACCTCTCAGGAAAGATATTCCAATTTGAACTCCTCCTTCAGCTGGCTGACTACAGCGCCCGAATCCTCCAACAGTGGCTAATGCTGGTTTTCTTTTATGCTAAGCGTAGCTGGGCCTAATCCTAGCTCAATCCCAGGCAGGCCTGGTGTGTAGAGGGCTGCCTTCAGAAGGGTTGGCAACAGCCCAGGGTACATCTCCGGGCCCCTCGATGTGGCCTAGTATCTGCCAAACACTTGCCCCAACACACACAAACACATGTGTGCACACACACATGTTCACATGCACACACATGCACACACACTTCCCCACACACAGAGCACCCAGTCATCAAGAAAACTAGTTTTACTTTGATGTACCTCTCGCTGCACATTTGTTTCAGCTCCTCTCCTGCAGCCACAGTTTTATTTATCTTCTTGGCATGGCTTCTTAGGATACTTCCATTCAGACAACAGCAAAACCACTCAGCTCCACTGTTTTATGAAGTTTATCAAACAGCAAAATATCTGGCATCTTTGTCCAACAAATCTGGTGTGAATGTGCCTACAGAGCTGCTTTTCCCCAGACGTCCCAGGGGCTGTGTGTGGTTACAAATAATCTCCCCTGTGAGGACCCTGCAAGGGCTTGCCTGCTTCTTGCTGCAAGGGGCCCCCAAAGCATATGTAGGGCTACAAGGCATCTCCCAAATAGGGAGACACAGACACAGATACTCCATGCATGTACATGCTCTGTTTGCACCCCACTAACAGAGCCCCCCTCTCCTATAGCAGGCTTGCCTCCCTCTACACCTCCAAGCAACTGGCCTGGCATAGGGCTGTCCCAAAGACAGGAGCCACTTCTAAAATCATCACTGGGCGGGGCCGGTGGCTCACACCTGTAATCCCAACACTTTGGGAGGCCGAGAGTGGCGGATCACTGGAGGTCAGGAGTTCAAGACCAGTTTGGGCAACATGGTGAAACCTGTCTCTACTAAAAATACAAAAATTAGCCAGGTGTGGTGGCACACATCTGTAATCCCAGCTACTCTGGAGGCTGAGGCTTGAGAATTGCTTGAACCTGGGAGGCAGAGGTTGCAGTGAGCCGAGATTGCACCACTGCACTCCGGCCTGGGCAACAGAGCAAGACTCTGTTTTGGAATGGAATGGAATGGAAATGGGAATGGGAATGGGAATAGGAATGGAATGGAATGGGAATGGGAATGGGAATGGGAATGAAATGGGAATGGGAATGGGAATGGGAATGGAATGGAATGGAATAGAATGGAATAGAATAGAATAGAATAGAATAGAATAGAATAGAATAGAATAGAATAGAATAGAATAGAATAGAATAGATCATCACTGCCTCAATCCTAAAGTTTGGGACCTATGTGGAGAGAGCCACCGCTCCACCCTGTTAAAGGGTCCAGGTGTTTCATAACCTCCACAGGAAGACTCAAGCAGCCACAGGCCTGGTCTTTCCCTCGCTCCTCATCTCCCTTTCCCTCCCCCCCAACATCCTGCTTGCTTCCCAGCAATCGTCCCAATCCCAGGGGCTGGGCTCTCTCTCTCTCTAACCCCATTTGGGGCCTCTCAGCCTAGGCTGGGGGTGGCTCACGCTCTCTGAGGGACAGGAGAGCCAGCAGCCTGGCCTCCTCTCACTCAGTACTTAGTATGCCCAGTGCTGTCCCAATCACAGGATTCCTGAGCCTGGAAAGTCTACTCTGAGCTCTCTACCCTCTGCTCCCTTAAAGAGATCCCCAAAGTCCAGAGAGTAGTCTGGGGCTTTGCAGATGCCCTGAGTTTGCAGTTCACAATACTGGATGAAGAACTTCCTGCATAGAAATCTGGCTGAGAGGTTCCTGATGTCCACTGGAGACATGCTATCCCTCCCACTGATGCCAATGTGGGGCCTCTGTGGCCCCTGTTCTCTGGGCTGCTGGTCACCCACACACACACACCCACCCCACCCTGATCTGGCAATAAGTCTGGTCATTACTTCCCTCTAATACCTCTTCCCTCCAGGCATCCCTCTCCATTCTCTCGACCACATCCCAGTGCAGGCCTTTGTCACTGCACATATGGACCAATCCCTTACCTGCTGAGTGTTTCCTCTTCTCCTATGCCCTCTGGATACCTTGGGCAAGTTACTTACCCTCTCTGTGCCTCAGTTTTCTCATCTGTAAAATGGAGATAATGGTACCTCTCTCCTAAGGAGGTTAAAATTAAATAAAATAATGTACTTAAAGAGCCTGGCCCATGGTAAGTGTTCAATAAATATAAGGTATTATCATTTATCATCATTATTCTGGTTAAGCTACCAAAATTATCTTCCCAAAGCATAGCTCTCATTCTCCTGCTACGTAACAACAGCAGCAGTAATAACACCCACAATTATCGAACACTTACTACAGGCCCTGCCCCATGTGCTTTTCAACACTCTTCAATGGCTCCTCATTGCTCAAAAGAAAGTCGGCTGCATTTTCTGCACCTGCCACATTTTCATCCCACCCTGTCTGTCTGTCTCTGCTGCTGTCATCTCTGCTACTCCTTCACAGAACCCCCTGCTGAAGGCACCAAGCTCCCTGTGCCAACGCCCCAGGCCACTTCCCAGAGTCAGCACCTGCCTGCCTCTCCATCTGCCCGCATTGTCCTGGCCCTTCACCTTTTCTCAGGCTGCAGCTCACAGACCTCTTAGGATTCTCTGAGGTGGGTATGGCCCTTTCCCTTGGTCCCAAAGGTCATACAGCTGGGACTCCAGAGATTGGTACTAACATGCTCATGACCACACAATCGTTTCCTTCTCTACCTGGAAGTGACCTGGGAGTACTCCAGCCCCTTCCTGCTCACATTTGCTCCTCAGCAAGGGCAGGCCGTCTCATGCTTATTAAATGTCTTGTATTTCTGGGTAATTGGTCATAGGTCCAAATCTTGCTTCCCCAGGAGAAAAAAAAACATAGTAAGAAGGATCCACCTAGGCTGTGTATGGTGGATCCACCTAGTCTGTGTATGGAGGCACCATTTTAGCCCCTTCATTCTGCTGAGCACAGTCTCTGCCCAACCGAATGCTCAGATCTCCTGAATGGCAGGAGGAAAGGAAGGCAGAGTCCTTGTCCATCTGAGATGGCTCAAGGCAGCTGGGACTCTGACAAAGGTGCAAGTCTACTAGGCCACCTGCCTGAGGTCCTTCCTGGTTCAGTCATTTAGAAAGAGTATGACACCTTGGACAGTTTGCTTAATTTCCTGAGTTCTGTATCCTCATCTGTAAAGTTGAAATAATAATAGCTACCTCCTAACATAATTATTGAAATTTTAAAACGTAGAGTGACCAGTTCAGACCTAACTTATGGTGCGCTCTCAACAACATCTCCCTTCCCTGTCATTCAGTTCAAGGTCTAAGGCCAGGGTTCCCTTGGGTGAGCTAACAGCAGAGCAAATATGGAATCCTAATGCACTTTTCATACCTCTCCTCTGAAAAGCACAGAGAAAAGGTAAGTAGGTTTGCCTTCCTCCACCCAGATGAACTGAAAGACCTGGAGGATCCCTGAGGTCAGCTCTCAGTACTGAGGGAGCCCTCCAGGAGTTTGCCTGCTCTGACAGCTGAACAGCCAGGGTGTAGAGAAAGCCAGGGCACACCTTGGTCCCTTTCCAGGGTCTCCCCAGTCTTTCTCAGGATAGGCAACATGACTCTCATTGCCCAGTAATTATTTGTGAGAGTTGCTAACCTTTCACTCCTCTTAACCCATCAAGATAGCCACTCCTGACCCAATAATTAGCATTAGAACCTGGCCTTTGAAGTCAGGCCACTTGGTTTTGAATCCCAGCAGCACTTAGCTGTGGTGGGATATGGGGGGGTTTCTGAATGAGTCCATGGTAGCCAGCCTCCAGGATGACCTTCAAGGGGCCTCACCAAACTTGTATAATCCTCTCTCTCGTGCTAAAGTAGAGCTGGCCAGTGTGACCAGTAGACTATGGCAGCAGTACTAGTGAGTGAGTCAAGGCCAGGCCATAAACAGCATTGCAGCTTCCACTTTGCTCTCTTGGGCCATTTGCTGTGGGGGAAGCCAGCTACCAGGTGGTGGGGTCACTCAGTCAGCCCTGGGGAGAGACCCATGTGGAGAAGGATGGAGGCCTCCAGTCAACAGCCTACACCAACTTGCCAACCATGTGAGCAAGCCACCTTGGAAAGAGGTCCTCCAAGCTCAGTCAAGCCTGCAGAATCCTGCAGCCCAGCCAATATTTAACTAGCCGTCCTAAGAGACCTCAAGCCAGAACCACTCAGCCAAGCTTCTCCTGAATCCCTCACCCACAGTAACTGCCTATTGTTGTTTTAATCACTATGTTTTGGGGTGATTTTTTATGCAGCATAGACATAAATAGACAACTAACACGCAGTCTAATCTCAGTTTCTTCATCTGTAAAATGGGAATATGAACACCAACTTTATAACACTGTAAAGATTAGATGAGATGGTGTTTTCCTGGCACATGGTAAGTGTTCTGTAAATAGTGGATTTTATTATTATTACCTACACTCTACCTCTCCTTCCCTGGAGACTCCAGAGGAGTCTGGAAGCTGGGCAGAGGCCCTTCCACCCTCTTCTCTTGTTTTTCTTCCAGTTCCTTGTAAAGTTCAGATCCAATCTCCCTCTTCTCTCTTCCTCCAGTGCAGGAGCAGACCCTGGGCTGGGGTAGATGCTTCTGTGTGACATGGTAAGGAGCTCCTTCCAGAACTCTGGAGTGGGTTTCACTCACATTTTTCAGGGTGTTCAGTGGTGTGTGTTTGCATTTCCTTTGAAAGGCTCCAAATGTGATAATTACATACTTATTAGCCCTGTAAAATAACAAATCTGGAATCTGCACTCTGGAACCAATGGATTTCCTGGTGAAATGAGTTCAAGGGGTGCCCTGGCCAGCATTCCCTGTAAGAGTCAAAATATGGCTACAAAAGGCCTCACAGACTGCACCGCCCAGCCCATGTCACTCGTCTCTGCCCCATCCACTCAACTCTCCACCTCATGACTCCCAGCAAACAAATGTGCTTTCTGTTCGTCTTCCTGGAGGTGCTCTTGTTTTTGTGTTTTCTTAATGTCTCCTGCTGGTGTGGGTCCTGGGTCCCCCCTTTAGAGTAGGGGTGCTTCCCAGGGCGTGGGGCTTCTTCCGTATCTCCCTCTAGTGACTTGGTGCTTCAAGCTGTGCTTGGCAGACACTGCAGACCCAGTGCCTATAGCGCCATTCTCCCTACCCCAGAGTTTAGAGTCTCTAGATTCCTGTGGACTTTGTCTCTCTTTTCCCACCCCAACCCAAACTCTCTTCCTTCTCCAGGATCCAGGAAAATTCAACAAATTGAGTTCCCTGAGCTTGGCTTCCTCGCTTTCACTCTTGGGCCATTCTCTCTGGAATGCCCTCTCTCTCTGCCCCTTAGTACTCCTTCACCCAGGCATCCCCCACTCAACTTTCCAGATTTTCAGATTCAAACTTAAAGCATTCCATGACCAGCTGCCCCCAGCCCAAAGCTGGGACAGCTGCCCTTCTCCTAGCTCCCAGGCCCCCTGTGCTCTCCCAGCCTCAGCAGAGTCACACTCCATGGCGTAAATGCCTGTTGCTCTGTGTCTTTCTTCTGCTAGTCTGGAAAAGCCCTGGGAGTAAGTGGTACTCTCTCAGGATCTATTCTTACTGTGTGACTCCACTATCTGGCACATGGCAGGCAGTCAATAAATGCTTGGTGAATAAAGGAATGCATAAAATTAATCAAACTGTTAAAATGGCCAAAAAGTCTAACCTAAAACAGAAGGGTCTGTTTTATATCAAGAATTAGTTCATCAAAAACTCCTATACAAGACTCGGCGTGGTGGCTCATACCTGTAATCCCAGCACTTTGCAAGGCTGAGGCAGGTGGATCACCTGAAGTCAGGAGTTTGTGACCAGCCTGGCCAACATGGTGAAACCCTGTCTTTACTAAAAATAAAAAATTAGCAGGGTGTGGTAGTGCATGCCTGTAATCCCAGCTACTCGGGAGGCTGAGGCAGAAGAATTGCTTAAACCCACGAGGCAGAGGTTACAGTGACCCAAGGTCACGCCACTGCACTCCAGCCTGGGCGACAGAGACTCCGTCTCAAAAAAAAAAAAAAAAACTCCTCTACAAAATGACTTCTCTATGGTCCATGCCAGCACTTGCCACAGAAGAACCTATTCACCTTCACACAAAGGCAATAGGTCAAACTGAGGCCTACCAGAGAAGAGATACATCTCCGCCTCTCTGGCCCCCTCCCTCCATTACAACCCAACCTCAGTAAGCTGGGCAGAGAGAATGAGCAGAAAACCATAGGTTCAGTGGTGGATTCAGGCTCAAGAAACATGTGTATAATTACTATCACATTCATTCCCATAAAGCTGGAGTACAGACTCATTTCTTCCCATTTTCACATAAGAACCTGTGGCACAGAGAGGTTAAGTGTCTTTCCCAATGAAACAGATCAAATCAATGAAAGAGAAAAAACATCCCACAAATCTTATTCCAAAGCAGACTTCAGCCTGGGTTGTTAGAATCACAGCCAAGGATTCTGGGTGTCCACAACACAAAGATTTTTTCTTTTCTTTTCCTATCATTTTGCTTCTTCTCTCTCTCTCTCTCTCTGTCTTTTTCTCTCTCTGTCTGAGATCATGAGTGAGGAGGAAGCACCAGATCCACAGGTTTATTTACCATTCCTCAGCCTGCCCTTCCAGGAAGAATGTCACTAATGAGAAACAATCTTTTGGGTTCCCAAACCCAGAATTTTTATATGAATCAATTTAGGATTTCAGTATCTAAACAGGACAAAGGTAATACCAACTGTCTTTCCTTTGAAGGAAAAAAAGCAACTGAGTTTTCCCTGTTGGAAGGAAATTTTGTGTATGTCAAGCAAATCTCAGATCTGAGGTTACCTCTTTCTCATCGTCCCTATCCCTTCTGGAAATCCACTGGGGGAAAAAGAAGCACATGTCCTTCCTGTGGTGCAGGCTGAGGGAAGCAGAGAATGAAACGGAAAGTGGTGCTGGGGCTGATGTTTCCCTAAATGAAGAACTGACCTTACAGTTGAGGCCCAGAGCCAGGAACTCTTCTCACAAGACCAGATTCTATTCTAATTCACAGCCAAATGAGGATGATTTTCTTCAACGTGGATGAGACACTTCCATTCCAGCAAAGTGTAAGCACTGTGAAGGCAGGGATCACATGTCGTGTGTGCCACTATATCCTGGTACCAGCAAATGGGGATCACATGGTAGGCTCTCCTGTTAAATGAATGAATTAAACATTCAGCTGGTGTAAAACAGCTAGTAAGTATCATTTCCATTTAAAACGTAGCTCTTCTTAGCAGATGGAGAGGGGTTTTGTTCAGTTTTTTCATTACAGGGCCTGGAATTATCTGGATCTCGCCATCCACTCATCTCTTACTCCATGGACAATTTTTCAGTGACAAATGCTGTTATAATTCAGTTGGTTATTAAACAGCACAAATGGTGAATTCACAAATTCCCTTAAAATTCTGCCCCACATCTGGCTGCATTGGTCATAAACCTCTCAAGTGTTAAGCACTCTGTTTCATTTGGTCTCAGCTTAGCAGAAACCACCCTCTACCTACTGTATCAGTGGCCGCAGCTAGGCATACGAGTCTCAACAGATGCCATTTGCTGATCATGAAGGCAGCAGTGCAATGTCCCCAGGCCACTCTGGCCTCAGCCTTCCTTTCTGGAAGGAGTCCCAGCCTTCCCACTGGGAAAATGAGGGTGCACAGTGAATGATTTCAGCTTCGTTAACTGAAGAAGGACTGAGGAGTCGTGTGGAGTGGGGGACCGCGGATCTGAGTGTAAATTCTGGTTCTGGCACTAACTGGCTGTGTCTACCTGAACAAATGGCTCCCTCCTGGCCTCAGGCTCCTTCTCTAGAAAACAGGGTACCTATTTCACAGAGCTGTGAAGATTAAATAAACCAATCTTAGACAGGCATGGTGGCACATGCCTGTAATCCCAGCTATTCGGGAGGCTGAGGCAGGAGAATCACTTGAACCTGGGAGGTGGAGGTTGCAGTGAGCTGAGATCATGGCCACTGTGCTCCACCCTGGGCAACTGAGTGAGACTCTATCTAAAAAAAATAAAATAAAATAAAAATTAATAAACCAATGTACGTAGAATACATGAGCTAGCACCCAGCACACTGTAGGTATACGTAAGTGTTAGCTGTTGTTTTTACCTATAATATGAGGGCCTTTGTGACACTCCATGATCTCCCAGCCCCCCTAAGAAGGAAAATTTATTAACTCTGAGATTGCTGTTTTTGAGGTTTCTATGCACCTGCTCCATCAAACTCTTTCCGGACCACATACAGATAGATAAAAGTTTACACAAACGGCTTAAAAGACAAGTGGAAAAGTCTCCTCCCCGTGTGCTGATTTGTGTGGTTCTGGAAGAAAACTCTCCCAGGAAGGTCAACTCCACTTACCCACAAAACTCTCATGTAATCTAGGGTTTTCTCTCTCCTCAGTTTAATTGGTAACACCATCCCAGTATGGAAATTGGCTCTGTTCAGAGAGTGGGAGAATGTCAAGAGAAATTTCTGGGCTTGAAAGTGGATGCAGGTCCCTGTGTCTCTCTGCTCAGCTCCAGCCTTAGGCCCATTCACTCTGAAGTCAGGAGCCTTTCACCTATTCAGTGATGGAACCCACTGGAGATGGTAATCACCATCATCATCAGCATCTATTAAATTAACACAGTGCATCAAAACACGAATGCTTTGCAAATACCCTACTTCCATGTGTGGCCCACCTTTCTGATGAGGAAACTGAGGCTCAGCAAGGTTGTCATGGGAGGCAGAAGACTCAGCCTTTGATCCAGGCTGCCTTGTTTAAATTGTTGGTGACATTTTCCTGGGTGATATTTTCATCCTCCATAGTAAACTTCTTGATAACTGTTGAATAGAATAGGTATCCTAAATTGATGTCCTCCTAGAAAGTCAACAATATCCAATTTCGCAGGTATGGGGAAGAGAGAAAAGAAAACAATATCCAATCAACAACTATTGAAAAACCTTATTAATGGGCAAAGGTGATCGGTTCAAATTGGTTGCCCAGAGCTGGATCCACTAGATCCTGGAGAAAGGATCCCTCTGGTGAGGCCAGAAGGGAAGCTTAATTTCAAGCCGAGCCTCCCTCTTGACTAGAAATACCAGCCCCAGGTGCTCCCATCTCTCTGGCCAGTCTGCATTCCGTGATTAGGGGCCCTAATGGCCATAATGCCTCCAAGGTGGTGTTGAAACCAATAAGTCTTCAGAGAAGTTATGGTATGTTTAATAACGGCTTAATGACTCCTTGTGAGATGCAAGGCTTCTGGTTCCTGTTTGGTCTTGATTTACAGCCCAACTCTGGCTGAGGAGCCAAGAAACCCCTTCTAAGCCCCCAGCGGAAGAGGGAGGTGTTCACACCAGGCCTCTTGGATTCCTTTAAAAATTGAGAATTCAAATGAAATACAAATGATGTTTGACTCCCCACCTCTCTTGCTAGTCTCCGGGGGCATTGATAATAAAAACAGTTTAACGCAGCCCCACGGGCTCCTCAATCCATGGGAAGTGAGCAGGGTCCTCGGGTCCTTGGGTATTTCTCCCCAGATCTTAGGTAGGGTGGTGGTTATTTCTCTTTTCTGAAATTCTAAGCTACTGCTCTAATCCTGTCTCCTTTTGGTTGGGGAGACTCAGCTCTTAGAAGATGCAGTTCTACCCTCATCCCTTCTGAATCGTCAGGCCTGGGGGAGCACAGCCCTGAGGTCCGAGCTGCAGACAGTCTCTCCAGTGGGTCCCCAGACACTTGGGTCATCTGCCCACTGAAACGCATTCACTCCAAGCTGCTGCCAGAGGAAACACCAGCCCTTCTGCTCATCCTCCACCTGTTCCAAAGGCTGCCCCTGCAGGACACTGTTCAGTCCTGAGCTGCCCATGGGAGTCTCCCTGTCTGCTCTGGCCCTGTCTCTACTTCTGAAACACACCTCAAATACATAGAAAGACCCAGGGTTGGCTTGGCCCGACCTCCACAGTCAGATGAGGACACTAATGATTGGCGCAAGGAACCATAGCTAATTAATGATAGTGTCCAGGTCCAAGCTCCCCAGCACCCCATTCCCAGCTTAGATCTGCTTCCACACAACACTCCCAATAGCTCCTTTCACTGTGAGAAACAAGAGATCTCTAAGGGAGGTGTTTTTTGCTGAGGCAACATTTTGTCCAGCTCCTAGCGGAGACCTAAGTAAAACTGCAGCCTAAGGCCTGCCTGTCTGCCCGCCCAGGCCCTCATCCCAGGCTGATGTCCAGAGTCCAGGCCCAAAAGTGTTTGGGGGGGATGCCCACACGGCCTCACCCCTCTAGGGGCAAGTGCCTCTAGGCTGGATATCAGGACCACGGGTGCTGCTCTGAGCAAGAGACTCACCTGGATGGGTAGACAAAGGGATCCTGCCCTAGAGAGGAAGCTGCTTCATCCTCTCCTGAGCTGCCTGGGACTGGGCTCTGGGTGAATGGGGGGAGGGGGTTCCCGGGCTCCGAGGGGTTAACCCGCACGGGGCCACACGTGACGTGGATGGTTCCAGCATTAAGTCAGAGGCGCGGCCCCCTCCCCTGCCCCCCGCCCCCCGCCCCCCGCGGCGCGCGCCGCTCCCGGGGGCTCCGCGCCCCCGCGCCCAGGTCCCTCCCCCTTGGCGGGCGCTCACAGGCGGCGCGGGCAGCGCGAGCCCCGGAGCCCCGGAGGCCTGTGCGCCCTGAGCCGGCATGGACCCCGAGCACTGCGCGCCTTTCCGCGTGGGGCCTGCACCCGGCCCCTATGTGGCCTCGGGGGACGAGCCTCCGGGCCCGCAGGGAACCCCCGCCGCTGCGCCTCACCTGCACCCCGCGCCGCCCCGCGGCCCGCGGCTGACCCGCTTTCCGGCCTGCGGGCCCCTGGAGCCCTACCTCCCAGAGCCGGCCAAGCCGCCCGCCAAGTACCTGCAGGACCTCGGGCCCGGCCCGGCCCTCAACGGCGGCCACTTCTACGAGGGCCCCGCGGAAGGTAACGCGCGGCGCGGGGCGTAGCGCGCAGCCCGACCCTCTCTTCTTCTTCCTTACCCGGGCCCACCCGGGCCTTCCTGCTTATCTCTCCCGCTCGCCTATTTCTCAACTTTTTGCCCCTCTCGCCTTTCGCCACGGCTTCCACGGAAGCCGGGTTGGCGCTGGCCCGGGCCAGGCAAAGGCCAGTGTGGGGCGGGAGGGTGAACCACCGTTCCTCGGCGGCGGGAATGGAAGGCGGGAGGTCGAGGGAAGGTGCAGTGGCGACGGCCCGGAGTCCAGTCGGGGCCCGAAAGCAGTTGGACCTGGGAAGGAGAGAGCATGCTCTGCCGAAGTTGGACTGGAACTGCCACCTACCCTGAAGCCCAGACCCGGCCGAGGGCTGTGGAGCCACACTGAGACCTGACGAAGAAGCGCGGCTTTTGTGTCTGGCGCCCTTTGAGGGCCCTGAGGCTGGGCCTCAACCTAGAGTGGTCAAATCGGGGTCGGCTGGGGACTGCGGCCTGGTCTTGGCCCGTCTCTCCTCCCCGGGCCTAGCCTTCACAGGAAGGGTGCTGCCTGTGCGGCAGACTGGCACAGTCTGGCCGCGACTGGTCGTGCAATGCCAGGGCTGTCCTCAAGACGGAATAACTGTATTCTTATTTCTCATACTAAGCTGGCCTCCCTGCCGTTATGCACTATGATAGCCGCCCTTCTGGCAGTCTTGGCTTCCCCGCGCTGGATCATCACCGCTGGGCAGTCAGGAGCAGCCCTGGGCAGCCTAACCCCCTGGCGCCGCGGGCTCACGGGCCGGTGCCCTGTGCTAAGGCCGGCTGGACCGCGCCGGCATCCGAGAATGCGCCTGAAGGCAGGGGCCTGGCAGGCTGATCGGCAGCTCTGCGGCCGTCCGCCGCACCCTATGACCTGTAAGGCGTCTCGGCTTCCGCACTGCACCCACCTTATCTGCGCTGCCATATCCCGCAGCCTAGGCCCAGAACTGGATCCTCCAAGATCCGCCTCAACCCCCTGCCGCCGCCCGGCTGGCGCCTCGCGGGCCTCCACGGAGTGGCCGGGCATCTCCGGCTTTCGCCCAGCCGGGGCGGTGGGAATGTGTAGGGGAGGGCGGGGAGGTGTGTGTGGGTCAACGGAGGAAATGAACGAGTCCGCGGAGCTTCGTGTCTGTGCCCTTTGAAAGAGGCTTTCCTGATAAAAACCACAGTTGGGACTTAATGAGAAGCAGTTGGCCTGGCTCCTCTGATCCCAGCCAGACGGCAGAGGCCGCGCAGTGCGGTGAGCACCGCCAGAGACAGGTACCCGGCCTGGCTCAGCGCTCCGCGTCGGGCAGGAGCCACCCCCCCAGGCCCGCGTCCCTGCTAGGCGCGCCGCATCCGGCACCGACAGCTCGGGCCCCCGGACCACACCGGTGCCGCGCGAACTGCAGAGAGCGCTGGTGCGGAACGAGCGGCCGGGAGAAACCCAGCACCCCGGGATCCGACGGCAAGGGTGGCCTTGACAACGAAATACCGAGAAAGAAAACCAAAGAAAGCGAGCGACAACCAAGAAAAGGGGAAGGGAAATTGAACAAAACAACGGAGAGCGCGGCGAGAACGAGAGGGTAAATGGCAGTCGGCGAGCTGGGATGAACTAAAATGAATAAATGAGGAACGAACGAATAAAAAAAGCAGGAGCAAGATCGAACGAAACGGATAACTAGAGAAGGGGGAAAGGACAAAGAGGGAGGGAGCAGACTAAACAAAAGAAAACGGAGCATGTTTAAAGCGTAGAATATATCAAAATGAGAACAAGGGGGTAAGAAAATTAACGATTTCAGTTGAACGGAGGACAGGCCAAACGAAAGGGAGGCAGGCGGGTGCGAGCAGAGCCTGGTAGAGATCCTGGCGGCCGCTAGCCTCTGGCGCTCTTGCCGGTGTTCAACGGGCTGCCAGCGTCCCTGCGGCAGAGCGGACCTCGGCGCAGCGCGGCGCGCGGTGGAGCCTGGCTGCTTGAGGACAGTCAGCCCCCAGGGCCGCACAGCCTACTTGGTGGGAAGTGGCGGGCGAAGAGGGAACCCGCCTTATTTCCCGGTTTTTAAAATAACCGGCTCGGAGCGTTTCCAGTCCACACGAGTGAGCGCGCAGCTGCGCCCCATCTGCGGCGCGATCTTTCACGAGGCTGGGCAGTTGCGCGCCCCAGAGCCTGGCGCACCTCGCTCTTCTCCCGCCTGCAGTCCGCCGCCCGCGCAGCCCCAGGCCGCCCTTTGCTGAGAGCGCCCAGCCTTGCTCTGAACCCAGGCTGCGTGCTGGCGCTGCCAGCCACTCTCGCGCCGTCCGCGCTTGGCTAGTCTGTCCCGAGTTTGGCTCTGACGTCGAAACACGCCCTCGGCAAGAGACTCCTACTAGAGTTTTGCCCGCTGCCGCTGAGGCCCTGAGCCGGATGACCCGGCCGATCGCCAAAGTCGAGGAGAGTCCCAAGTTCTTAGACCCGGGCTGAGGCTTCTGGGCCAACGCTGAGAACCCCCAAGAAGGGCACCGAGGCCTCACCGGGGTCCTGCCCACGGCGTTTATGTCCACTCTGGCTTTGAGTCTTCGGCGGGAGCTGCAGGAGCCTGGGCCTCAGCGAGTTCTGCAGGTCGCTTAGTGACCCCACAGTGGCCGGAGGAAACAGTGCGGCGCGGGACAAGGCTGCAGCGAAATGTGAAAGCCAAGGCTGGTCCCGCGGTCTCAATGGATGCCTTCTGTGGGGACAGTGGAGCACTCGGGCCTGCTGCGGCGCTGCTTCCTGGCTGCACAGTGGCTTAGAAGCAGCCGCTGGTAGGGGCTCTGGCACTCCTCCGGGTGAGGGGTGCTCAGGGTACGGCAGGCCTGAGAGCTGGGTCAGGGACAGAGAGCTCCTTTACTACGTTAAAAGGCTCCTGGCTTTCACGCCCAACAGCTGCTGCTGTGGCCCTGCGGTTATGCAGGCAGAAGACACCCCAGCGTTGTCTCAGGCTGTCTCCAACATGAGTACCCCGCCTTAACCACCTAGTGTCCGGATCAGGTGCAGTGACTCCTCTGCACAATCCATACACACCTCAGATGTGCCCCGTGCTCAGCAGAGCAGCCCTCACTCCTTTACAAGCTTAGGTTCAAGCTGCTGGCTGCTATTCCTGGCCTGTCTTTCCTGGCTTCTGCCTTCCATTTGTCCCAGTTCTATCCCTTTCCTCTTCTGGGCCTTGCTCCTCAGGAGGCTGCTCTGTGTTCTCTGAGGAGTGCCCCTCTCCCAAAGTGGAGGGATGCCACCCTCCCTCTGGTGTTCTCCAGGTAGATCAAGGAGGTTTCAGGGCAATGACAATGAGGAGAGCAGTTCCGTGGTCCCTTGAGAGGGCTGTAGACTGGGCAGGCATGGGAGTTGGGCATAGGTCAGCAGGCTTAGCCTCTTCTTTGGGGAAGCTGCTCTGAGAAGTCCTACTGCACTTTCATCCCTTGTCCCTGGCAGCTTGGTGGCTCAAGGTCGGGAACGCAAGTCTCAGGGCCCCAGATCTGGTCCCTTCTTCTGGGCAGGTCCTATTGAGACCCAAGAGGCAGATGAGCAAGCCCCAGGGCTTTGGAGGGCCTCTGCCAGGATGTCAGTACTCTTGAACCCCAGCCCTGACCCTCAGCCCTGAGCTACCCTCACCCCTTTTCTGCCTGGAGTCCAGCACAGCCTCCCTACAAACACAAGACACCAAGACTCTTTCTTCTCAGGCTGAACATTTCCATGGCCTGCTGTGTGTATGCATGTGGTGGGGGTGGCGGGGGCGGGGGGGGGGGATGTCCCATTCCAGTGTCCCTAGTCTTCCTATCATTTTCAATTATTTGGTTCAACTTCTGTGAGTCTTCCTTCCTAAGCTTCTATCAAATGGAACTGCCTCTAAACCTGAAATGTGCTGGCCCAAGAATGGAAGTCAGAGACTGGAACACTTTCTCCCCTGTGCTCCACCTGAGTTGTGAAGGAGCCCTGGTCCCTGGGCTGTAGCTGTGGGCTACCTGTGTACAGGCCTGTGTACAGGCTGGGCATGGTCCAAGGCTAGGTAGCCCTGCTCGACTCTCCCAGTCCTCCAGGACACACACCAGGAGCTTATCTCATGGCCTGGGTAGTCCTGGAAAGTAACTGACCACCTTCCAGCTGAGGAGGACCCTGCCCCATTTGTCCTTCACAGTGCAGACAGGGACTCACCAGACCCAGATCCTGAGAGGCCCATTTGTCCAGTCCCATCCTCCCCCAACCACAGCTGTGATCCTGACACCAAGTCCTGGGAAGACACTGCCTCTTGTGCCAGCTAGCTGGGCCTCCTCAGGGCCAGGCCTCCACTGGAGATGGGCCCAGAGCCAGGCAAGAGGCTGTGTGAGTCAGTGGGGCGTCTTTGTGGCGTCTCAGCTGCCATCCCAGTGGACTGTTGAGGAGGGATTTCATGGGGACACCGCTGGGGGTCCTTGCCAGAGGGAGAGGGTGTGGGCAATCAGAGTGACCTATTTTTCACCATGCTCTGTCGGTCGATCCACCATGGTGAGGCTCCGCCAAGCTTCTGGAGTAGGGGTTAGCATGTCAGAGTGGGGCTGCTGGAAACTGTTCCAGTCTGTAATCAAGTCCTTCCCTGCCTGTTAAACACAGGCAATGGGGGAGCAGTTAGAAACTCCTGAGGAAGGAGGGGGTGGTCAATGATGGGAATGATGGGGACAGGGGCTGTGCCCTGTTGTGACACTGGTCCCCAACTCTCCTTCTTTGAGCACAGCCTATCTCAGCTCTGCTTCTCTATTGCTGGAGCTTAAGTCCTTGCCCAGATACCACAATTTTAGGAGGAATGGAGAGAAGCAATCCCTCTGGAAGCTTCTTTGTCCCATCTTGCCCTTCTTACACCAGAGCTGGGGAATTTGATATTGACCTGAGACCTGGGGTTCAGAGAATAAAGCTCAGCCAGACCAGCCAAAGGTGGTCTGAGCACCCACGTCCACAGCCTGCCTGGCCCTGGGAACAGAGGCGTGGGCATAAGGGCCTGGGAACCAAGGCCTGCAGAGTTAGGAACAAGGAAGCACTTTCTGGCAGGAGCAGGAGATGTCAACCACCCCATCCTCACCCCGCCCTCTGCCCCCATTCTTGGCCTTGCCAGGGTGGTGGTCCTGCTGTGGCGCCAGTCCTCTCACGTCCCTGTGGAACGCACCACCACAGAGCACTTCCCCGAAATGAACCCCACTCTGGCCCCAGCAGATCCGCCCAGACCACAGAGCACATAGTTCCCCAGGGCCCCCTCCCCAGCTGGAGGCTCAGCAGGCAGGCCTCTAAATGCCAGGCTCCCATGGAGGGTGGCTGCCAGGAGGAAGGGAAGGGAAAGGAAGGGGGAGGCGGAGACTGAGGCGTCAATGTTCTTCCCCCTCCCTCCATTCCAACCCACAAAAGCCCCTGGTTCAGTTGCCATCCTCCCTTTTGTGTTCTCCATTGCAGCTGAGGAGAAGACCTCCAAAGCTGCCAGCTTCCCCCAGCTGCCCTTGGACTGCCGAGGGGGCCCCAGAGACGGGCCCTCTAACTTGCAAGGCTCCCCAGGCCCCTGCCTGGCCAGCCTGCATCTTCCTCTTTCCCCGGGACTCCCTGACTCCATGGAGTTGGCCAAGAACAAGAGCAAGAAGCGTCGTAACCGCACGACCTTCAGCACATTCCAGCTGGAGGAGCTGGAGAAGGTCTTCCAGAAAACCCACTATCCTGATGTGTATGCCCGGGAGCAGCTGGCCCTGCGCACAGACCTGACTGAGGCCCGGGTACAGGTGAGGGCACTGCAAGGATGGGGCTCTCTGGCTGCCCCTATCACACAGTGACCAGAAAGTGATCTGGAAGGGCTGGGAGAGGTGGGCACTGGTGCCTCCCAGAGCTACCTTTCCCAGGGGCCTGCACCAGCCTTCCCCTCCTGGGCTCACCCTCATGCCCAGCTCTGCTGCAGCCACAGGCTCTTCTGGTCCAAATTGAAGCTTATGCCTGGGTATAAGGGCGATGGCCTCTGGAAGCCATCACCTGTGTGGGAGTCCTAAAGTCTACCACTTACTGGAGGTGATTTGGGGTATGTTAATAGATCTCTCAGTCTCAGTTTCCCAGTTCAGGAAAAGGGAATGATGGGACTGGCTGCGTAGGGACTATCCTGAGGATCACAGGGATGGCCGCATTTTGGAAGCGGTGAAGTGCTGAACACACATCAGGGCTGCTCCTGAGGTGGCTGCCTAGAATGGGAGGGTCCCTGTCAGGAGGTCTCAGGGTTAGTGATTCTCAAAGTCATCAGGAGCCACCGACCTTGGGTCCCTGCCAGCGCTCAGACCCTGGCTGGGAAAGGCTGGCTGGGAAAGGCTGGCTGGGAGCCCTTCCCCATCCTAACAAAATCCCCCATGGAGATCAGGTGCCAGGGCTTCCCAGAGGGGCCGTGGCCAGTTTTACATGGGGGGAGCCCAGCCTGTGGGTAGGTAAATGCTGAGAAGGGAGGAAGGCAAGGGAAGCCCACGTCCAAGCATGCTGGAAGTGTCAAGCACATGAAGGTGGCAAGCAGGCTGGGGATGGGGAAGGAGTTTCAGTAAGAGTCTGGCCCAAGAGGAAGATGGCCATTCACTGGCTTGCACTGAACCGGCTCGATCAAAGCAGGCTTCCCGATACCAAGCAGGAGACACTGGGAGGGGTGGGTTGGAGTTCTGGGGAAAGGTGAGGAGGTGACCTCTTAGGCAGAGGAGTCTCTCTCCCACCATGGAGGAGACTTAGCAGGAACAAAGCTCATGCTATCCCACCCTGCATGGGGCCCTTCCAGAGACCCTTTGTGAAGGCACTAGGGCAGGAGATAGTCCTGGCAGGATATGGGGACTGACAGGCCAGTCTATAAAGAGGCCAGCTGTCATCTAACAGAGAAGGCCCTACGGCTGCATCCAACAGGATGAGAGAGGCTTGGGCTGTTTCCCCTTCTCTGCTGCGTTCTCCTGCCTCCCTGCTCCTCCGAGGAGCCAAAACAGACTTCCAAGACTGTCCCCCAAGGCCTCCAGGGGCTGAGGTCATCAGGGCAAGAGGCCCGGCATTCAAGGCAACCCCAGATGATATAAGCCATGGGAATCAGGACCATGGAGTCACCTCAGCAGGCCTCCGGGGTGTGGTCTAACCAGCTCTTCCCAAAGCAAGTGTTTGTGGGAGGTGGAGAGCACTTCCTCTGCTCCTCTCCTAGGCCTTTTCAACCTGAGAGGGTGCAGGAGTAGCCATGAGGCCCTCACCCCTAGTCTAGAAGCTTCCTGAAGGATGGAGACCCTGGAGTAGGAATGTTTTCTCTGGCAGGGGTGTGAAACCCACCCATACACCCTGCCCTATGGAGAGGAAGAATGAGACTACACACCAGATAATGCAGAGGGCAGGTCCAGAGCCCAGGGGAGGCCTACAGCGGGATCCCCAAGGGAGAATGGGTGGTGACAGAAAAGTGAGTTCCAATAGCCAGATTCACTGGCTGTAAGCTCCCTCATCCTCTGTCAGGGGAGGGAGAGCAGAGAAAGGAAATCCAGGCAGCTGGGCAGGTGGGGGTGGCCTTTTGCTGACCTTGCTGCAGGCCTGCTTTCTTATCTTGGCAATCTGGGAGCTAGGGGGATGGGGTATGCACAGCCCCTTCACTGTTGGTGCCTTACCTGCCTGCATGTGTAGGAATGACCATGGGGGCAGGAAGCCTGATCCCAGCTGGGGTAGACGGATTACTCCACACACACACACACACACACACACACACACACACACACACAGCTTTCTTCTGTTGTGACTCCCAGCTAGATATCCCTGGAAAGCAGGGGTTGTTTTGTTTGGTTGGTTTTATTTTGACATTGTTAAATTTAGCTTAGAGGCTGACACATAAATGTTGATTAAATGATAGAAATACAAAACATATATACCAATACAGTTAAATGTAACAGTCACAGCACATATACCAAACAACGAATTCATCACAGATATGTACACAGATGTGCACAACACACAGATGTGCCACCCCTATCTGCCAAGGGCTCACAAATAAATGGGAGAAACAGATTCCAAAACAGATCATGGTAATGGAATGGGGTGAGTACAAAGAGAGGTCCAGGGTATTTTGGAAGTCCTGTGGAGGATGCCCAGTGTGGATGTATGTGTTGAGGGGATGAGTAGCCCAGGAAGAGAAAACCTAAGCAAAAGATGGAAGGAGCAAGATAGCAGTGTTTCAGAAGAGCTGGGCGGGAGCTTGGGAGGCAACCAGAAGAATAAATGTGTTTGCCTGGCAGGATATGAGGCTGTGCAGAGAGGCAGGGGCCTTGTTAAGAAGCTATGCTCTGGACCAAGGTCTCCAGGGAGTCACTGAGGGTTTAAACAGGACCATGACCTGAACAGAAATGTCTAAGATTCCTCGGATGCTATGAGGTGGGTAGCCTGGAAAAGGAGATGAGGCAGGGAGACTAGAAACCCAACACATGTACACAGTATACCCAGGAAGTACCTAGGGCCCCTGAGGCCCACAGATGCCCCCACAACACCCTTACTAGACACAGCCAGGCTGGAGGACCACAGTGATTCAACCTGGGGAGTGACAGCTGGAGGCCCATGGGGCCAATTACCCACTGTGGGCTTGGGCCTCTCCCAGGCTTCCTCCCAGGCTTCCCTGGCCTGGAGAACAGTGTGGATTAACAGTTGAGATCCTCCATCCTGGAGCCTGCTCCCCATCCCACAAGAGGACACAACCATCAGCTCTCCCTAGCAGGCTCCTTTCCTCAGGGCTGCCCTATCACCCCCTCAAACCCCCACAACCTGCCCCCAGGTCTGGTTCCAGAACCGCAGAGCCAAGTGGCGGAAGCGCGAGCGTTATGGGAAGATCCAGGAGGGGCGGAACCCCTTCACGGCTGCCTATGACATCTCTGTGCTGCCCCGTACTGACAGCCACCCTCAGGTAAGACCCCAGCCCTACCTGAACCAGGACCTGGCAGGGTCACCAAAAAGAATATGAGGTCTGGCCTGAAGAAACCTGGAGAGCGTCAGCGTTCTGTATGACAGTGGGTACACCACTTCACTTCTTTCTCTGCAAACCGGGGCTCTTGCCTGTCTCATGAATGACGCATGCGGAACACAAAGGAATCACAGAAGAAAATTTCGTTTTGAGAACAGTGGCAGGGGCCTCCTGAGATGCCACTGCCAGTGTTGGGGGTGAGAGGGGGTAGATCTGAGCCAAGTGGAGGTTTCCTGGAAAGTTTCTGGGGCCCCAAGGACAAAGAGAAAGCCCCTGGGTAGGGAAGTCAGCTCCTGAGGCTACAGGCTCATGGGCCTTCTTTCCCTCTCTTTTCAGCTGCAGAACTCCCTGTGGGCCAGTCCAGGATCTGGGAGCCCTGGAGGCCCCTGCCTTGTGTCTCCAGAGGGCATCCCCTCCCCATGCATGTCTCCATATTCCCACCCCCATGGGAGTGTGGCTGGCTTCATGGGGGTGCCAGCCCCTTCTGCGGCTCACCCTGGCATCTACTCCATCCATGGCTTTCCCCCCACCCTGGGGGGCCACAGCTTTGAGCCTTCCTCAGATGGTGACTATAAGTCTCCAAGCCTCGTCTCGCTCAGGGTAAAGCCCAAGGAGCCACCCGGCCTTCTGAACTGGACCACGTGATCGGTTGCATGGACCTGCAGAATGAGCTGCCCACCTCTTTTTCCATTCCCAGTCGCTCCCAGCCCACCTCTGCCTCCAAGCCCCAGATGGTTCTGGAGGCTGCGAGAGCAGCTGGCACTGTCAGCCCCCAGCAGGGAACACGTTACAGGGTCTTTTCTCTTAGAACAAGGTGGGGCTGCCTAGGAGAAGGGGCTTCGAAGCAGCCAGGACTCTTCCTACCACAAACTGAGTCCCCTCACCTGAACTCTGGGCTGGAGGCAGGGAGACACTGCCCTGCTTCCTCCAGACTTTGTCCAAGTCCATTGTCATCTCTCCAGCTAAGACAGCTTACTTGGCTCATCGTTCAGGGAACCCAGGAAAATGGGAGGAGAACGCCGCGTGGACTGAAGCTCTTCATGATGAGATGGAAACCAAAAGGGAGTCTCCCATGATGGGGTGGAGTCAGCCCTGCTTCCCCTCCCCACCAGCAGGGGGCGCACTGGTGTCTGACACTAAGGAGGGTGTAAAGGCCAAGGTCAGCATAGACTGAGGCACACTGGCTCCTCAGCTCCAGCCACCCTCACTCCTGCCATGTGCCTGCACTCCCAGCATGCCATGCAGTCATCTTCCCCTCCAAGGGGGCAGAAATTCCACCAGAAATCACCACATATTTGGAATCTCTTCCACGGGACCAGCCCAGAGCTATGCCATGGAAATGATATTGGATGTTGGTAAGAATAAAACAGATTTCTACAGACTGAGATCCTGATCCCCATTTTTGTACAGACACTTTTGTGTTTTTTTTGTTTAAAAAAAAAAAAAAGGAGAGAGAGAGAAAAAAAAGGCTGCCCAGCATTCTAATAAAGGTGGTGGTGTTTTTTATACCAGGTGACTGTCTATCCCCAGGGCTTGGCACTGGTTGCTTTGGGGCTGGTCTGTGTCCAGGATGCAGGCTGGCCACGACCCCTGAGAGGCCAGCAAGGAAGGGGAAGGTGGTCCTGCAGCAGAGCCCTCAAGGCCGATGCATGCCAGGCTGGGCTCTGTCACCTGCCTAGGGTCTCTGTGGCTTTGGCTGTGCTGGGAGGCAGGGAGAAAAGCTCAGCTCTAGGGCTGGGCTCATGTGGCAGGGAAAACTGAGGGTGGGACTGGCAGTAAAAAAGCTAAAATAATTTTGTGGCTAAACTGACAATGGAAAGGAGGTAGAATGGAAGAAAGGGGTGCCCACTGAGGTTCTGTGCTCCCCATGGGCTGGGACCCCAGGGTGGTGGGAGTGGGTCAGCTTCCTTCCAGATGCCCCAGGAAATGTCTGAGCTGTGGGGCAGAGACAAAAGCCAGAACTCTTTCTTGTGGTTTCAGAGTATTACCCATTCTATCCTTCATCCTCACTTTCTGCCTTATCTCCGAAGCCTGGAAGGCAGGAAAAAGGTCTG
This sequence comes from Homo sapiens, assembly GCF_000001405.40. NCBI lineage: Eukaryota > Metazoa > Chordata > Mammalia > Primates > Hominidae > Homo > Homo sapiens. The sequence goes on along the minus strand of NC_000001.11, from coordinate 110,059,323 downwards.
GCCCTCCCACCCTCCCAGTAAACACAACCACATTGCTCAGAAGAATTCAGCCTCAACCAGCAGCCCGGCCACCCCCACCCCACGCCTCATCTTTCAGGCACAGAGAAACCCAAGCCCACAAAGACACATCAGGGCTGAGCTGATTCGAGAGGAGGGGGTGAGTCCCCCACCAGATCAGATTTCCCAGCCAAGACAGTCGCATGTATCCCCAGAGGAGTCTGTCTTCCCTCCCTTCCTTCCCCTTCCCTCTATACAAGGGTCTGGCTTTTGGTGATTTCTTTCCTCTTGGTCTTGACGCTGGCTCTGAGGTCCACAGGTGTGAGCCCTGTATCCGGGAGGGGACCCAGCAGAAAGAGGAGAGTCAGGGTAGGAAGGAGAGACATCCCTGGCTGCCACTGATGAACAGAATCTCCTTCACCTGGCCAGGCAGTAATGAAATTGGGGCTCAAGCCAACCATTCTGACTCCAGGGCTCACACCACTGTATGAGAAGTTTCTTCATCCAAGGAGTCATCAGCAAAGTTTTGGACCTTCTTCCCCACCAAGTCAGAAAGATGTATAGAGAGAGTAGTTTGTTCTACAAACATTTTTGAGTGCCAACTCAGCCTGGCAATGTGCTGGGTGCCAGAGATAGAGCGATGGTTGAGGAAAAATATGATTCTTCTCTCTTGAGAGGGCTTAGAAATATGAAAGGAGGGAAGAGGAAAGGATCTGTGATAAACCCAAACAAAGAAACCAGAAGTGGGAAGAGACAGGAGAAAAAATAAAGGTGAGCCAGAGGTCAATGAAGCAAGAGTGGGAGAGGCTGGCAGAGGCCAGGAGGGGACCCATGGCGGGGTCGGGGGCTCCTAGGGGAGGGCACAGAGAGGCCAGAGACTGGCTACTGGCTCTCATCCAGGGGCATCTGCCCACAGCTCATATTTTTCTGTCCAGTGACAGCTAAATGAAGAGAAAGCTAACTTTACAACCGCCCACTTCACATATAATGAATATGAATGGGTATCCCGGAGCCTGTTTTGTGGGATTGTCTGTGAGGTGACAGGTCCTCCTACTTACTGGGCCATCCCAGCCAGCCTGTCCCCTGCCTGGGGCATGAGCAGCCCTTCCACCTGCTTCTCATTAGCTGTGTCCCTCCTCCTCCCACACACCCCTAAGACACGGCCCCGTCTCCAGATAACCCTGCCCTCAGCCTCACTCCAGAGCTAACCTCAGACCTCCGCCCAGGCCAGTGGTTCCTCAAGGCCAGGCCTGTGCTCTGGCCACTCCTTCTGGGAAGGGAAAGGGGAAGTGGCCCCTCCTGAAATCCCAGCTCATTTTGCTGAGGCTCCTGTCTCCCCCAGAGAAGATGCCAGAGCCCTAAATCTTGGTCCTGGCAGAAACACGGACACCAGGTCAGGACTGGAGGGCCACAGCCAGGGGGCCCATCAGTCTAGTCTGCCCACCTCAGTCAGCAGCTGGAAATGCTTCTCATGCAAGGCATTCAATCCTCCTTCCCCACCTCTCCCATTTACACTTCAACCTGAATTACAACCCCAAAGTGCAGACCCTCTGCAGCTCCAGATGGGAAGAGTCTAGCATGGCCAGGAACTGGGAAGACCCTAACATTTCCTTTATCCAGCAGAGGAAAGACTTCCCCTGCCCCAGCCTCCTCCACAGGCTCATCCCAGGCATTTCACCTGGAAGGTGGTGAGCATCAAGCGTCAGCTGTCAGAGCCCTTGATTCTGATGCTGGAGCCCCCTTCCTTCCCACTTAGCGACTGCTGGCTCCCCCAGCAATCTCTCCTCCAATACTAAGAGGCTGGGACCAGTGGGACCTGTGGTAAGCCCTTCAGACGTCTGTTACCTATCATGCTATTGCTTTTACTTGCTCTTATGGCTGTGTCTCCATCAACTGCGAGCTCGAGAGAAGTGAGAGAGTGTGGTATCCTAGTAACCTGGATATCCAGGGCATCTACCACAGGGCCTGGCCCCAACAGGCCTTCAAGGTGTGATGGCAGGTTGCTGGACGAGTAGCTGACTCTTCTGAGATGCCTCTGGATTCACAGCAGCCAGCTAGGTCCAGGGGCTTTAAGGAGGCCTAAGACATGGTTCTGGTCCTTGAAAGGGATTTCTGTCTTCTAGGGGACATAGGAAATGGGTACAAATTCATAGAACATTAGAGTTTGAGGGGCCATTGCCAAGACTAAGAACTGCTACCATTTATTGTCATCCCTTGTCAGCCAGACATGTAGGTTCATTTCCACAATCTTACTCAGCCCATGCAATACGGCTATTATTAAACCAATTTTTACAGATGAGTCAACTGAGCCTTGGAAATTGACTAGCTCAAGGTCCCTCAGTGAGTAAATGTCAGAGCCCGAATTGAAAGTCAGGGCTGTCTCACTCCCAAAGGGTGCTCCTCCCTTGTTTTATAGCCAGCAGCCTGAGGCTGACTGTGCCAAGTGCCAAATGAATGTAACAACTATTCTCCTCTGAGAAGTCAGCTCTTTGAGGACAGACGGAAGCCAGCCTCCTGGGAAATGAGCCTAACAGGTATAGAAGGGGCAGCCAACACAAGAGTCCTCTGGGACCCAGAAGAGAAAAAAATTTAGGCTCAGGCTGAAAAGAAAAAAAGACGGCAGCAACAGCCAAGTTACCCTGAGGAGGGCATATTCAGGGAACATCAGAGGCTAGGCTAAGGCTAAGCTTAGGTGGTCCAGTTAGGACCTAAAGCAATGGACATTTACCATGAATCTTTCATGCCGGGGACGATGCTAGAGCAAATGTGAAGTGTTGGCTGTGGTGAATAAATGAGCAAATGAAGGCACTGGTGGTAAGTGCTGGGGTATGACAATGACTAATAGCAAAGGGTGTGAGGGAGTGAAAAAAATGCGTGCGCTGAGACAGAGGCCTGGATTTGAATCCTGGCTCTTGCCTTTATATGACCTTGGGCAAGTTCTTTATCCTTTCTGTGCCACAGTTTTCTCCTGTGCAAAATAGGGATTAAAATGGCATGTATCTTTCAGGATATCACAAGGAATATGTAAGATATTATACATCAAGTGGTTAGAACGCTGGCTGGCACATTGTAAGTACTCAGCATTTGCTGGCTTTGTAGAAAATAAGGCTTTGAGAAGCATCTAATATTGTGCCTGGTACCTACTTGGCAACCCATAAGTGGTAACTCTTACGATTAACAAGGGACAGCTCCCATCCTTAGAGTGATACTGCCTCAGGGTAATCTGTCCCTCGGTGGATTGAAGGAGCAGTGGACCCTGACCCTGCTTAGCAATAAACAACATTTTATGTAACTCAATCAAAGTACAAAGGGTCTTCATGTACTCTGCCCATTTCATGACCCATATGAGATTTAAAAAGCCACAAAAACTGTGTGGCTCCAAAAGACATTTCTGTACAAAGACCTGAGTTCAAATGGCCAACCTGCCACTAATACACTCTGTGGCTGTGAGAAGCCCCTTCCTCTCCCCAGGCTGGCTCCTGGGCCTACAGCTGAAAGGATTTGCCTGCCCAGGCTTTATGGCCCTTGCAGCTTTGATAGTCCTGCATTCTCTTTTGCAGGTCAGAGGAGAGACAGGCCTCGACCACGCAGTTTCAGTGACTCAGGCTTCATGGGAGAGTAAGAATGTGAAAAATCCATCTCTCCCTAATTGAAATCTCAAGATACATATTTCCTGTCAGTCCTGGAAAGAAATAGCAGAAAATCCATCATCCACACATAAATTGTGTCAATTCCCTTGTCCTGTACAAGTTACTTTGGGGCACAGGGCCCATCAGTCACAGATGGGACTTCCCATCTCACAGCTGTGTGACCATCAGGAGTACACTGCTGCCTTCCACCCCTGCTGTCCCTAACCATGCTGGCACATCAAAAGGCCTGTCCTGAGGCTCAGCAGGTCCCAGGCCAGGCAGGCATGAACACAAGACCCAAAGAAGGGGAGATGCTCCCCAGAACATGTTTCCTTTACAAGTCAAGACCCCTTGGAGATTTAACAACCTACAAAACAACTGCCTACAGGTAAAATAAGAGCTTCCAGGAATTCTAAAAAGGAAACACTCCTTTCACCAGCATCAAAACACTAATATCTTCTCAGGCAGATGAAACCAGGGGTCTGGAGGCCAAAGTGGAGGCGCCAGGTGTCCACTGACACCTACTACAAAGATTTTCCTTGCTTTTCTCTCAGCCACAGGGGGCTCCTGGGCCCTCCAACACTTTTTCCCACCGTGAACCTGACTCCTGATGGTCTGCTTCCTAGGCTCTGAGTACTGAAGTTTCCCCTCAGTCCCAACCACCTGCCCCAGGGAGGACCTAGAGCAGCAGACCCCCTTGCTTTGACCTAGCCCCTCCCTCCATAGCACTGACACTGGTTTGGCTGAGGCCAGCTCAGTGATGTGATCCAGAGAAACCTGGGGCTCCTACTGAAATTACAGCAAACCCAGGGGTGCAGGACAATGTGTCAGTAAAGTAACCTAGTGCCCTGGAGTTGGGCTAGAGCAATCCCAGATTACTGTGGGGTTAACTTACACTGGATAAATGCCAACTCTCTCTCCTCTTCCCCCAGGATGGGAAAGGCAGGCAGCTTGACAAGGACAAGCGTTGACCAGCAATGCTAGCAGAAAAAACCACTTTCTAGACCTGGAGGAGATACGTAGAGGCCATATTTCCTGTAGACAAGCCAACGGGAATTATTTTTGCTTCTTTTTAATGTAAACAGAATACACAATCACATTAAAAACCCCAACATGACACAGAATACACACAGAATTATATATAGATATTTACAGGCCCTCGAAAGCCAAAAGGAAAAATGGCCCCTCTGGTTAAGGGAAGCTTCTCTTCCTACCTTGTCCCTGTCCAAAATCAAAGTGCTGAGGCAGCTGAAGGAGCCTCCGCAATTACTTCTGGATATAATGTAGCAGGAGGCTGGAATAACATCAGAAACACCCCACCCCCACCCCAGAGCACAACCAAGATACCGACTTTCTGGCCCTGGCCCTAATCCTAAACTCTCCTCCTTTGCAAGCTGACAAAGCAAGGATTTGTATGTCTCGAGAGGCATCAGCATGACCCCTGAAATTCAGATGCACGGCGGAGGGGTTCCCATCCCATTCCAGCTTTCCCAGCCTTGGGCTGATTGTGAAATGAGCCAAAACCAACCATATCCAAGAGAGGAGGGTGGGGGAAGTAAAGGAAGAATGGATCTCAGGCAGAGATGACTGCTTCGGAGCAGGACCCTGGGAACCAAGGGGAGGTCAAGCTGGGCTCACCCAAGCCCAGGACAGACTGCGGAAGACACAGTGGGGCTGTGCTGCCACCTGGTGGGGGATGGGAGCACTGCAGCAATGAACTAGGACAGTCCCACAGGTACCTTCAGATCATCTTTTCTCTCCATTTCAGTCCCCTAACCAACAGCCTCACTGCAGCAGCTCTTCCCAGGAAATGGGCTTGGAGAAGACCTCCCTTTCTAACCAGAGGTCATAGTTCATCTGAAAGTCCTCAGGGAGGTCCACCCGTTGGCCCAGGACACTCTGCAGGCAGTTGTCCACTGGCAGGAAGTCAGGGTTGCTGTGGGCCCGGTCATAGCGCCGGGCGTTGAAGCGTTCAATGTTGGCACGAAGGGCACACTCCTCTGCCTGGAAGTCCCAAGGCCGGGCATCAAGATCTGAGACAAAGCAGGAAGAAACACCGTTAGGAGCCATGCCCTGTAGCAGCTCCCCATGGATTCACTGGCCAGGAATATTGAGTGTCAACTAAGAGCAGGATACCTCCGAGCTCATCCTCAGAAAGATGCCAGGAATTCCTTCCTAGATCCAAAGGAGAGTCAAGTACAAGCAGAAAAGCCAGAGGTACTGAGAAAGAGGCTTATACTGTAGGGATTATGTAGACCCAGAGAGGGAGAACCATGTGTACAACACATTTCTCTCAAAGTGGCATTCTCCCTGGCTCTCTGGGGTCAGAGGGAGGAACCTGGAGATCTTCTCCTTTGCTCATTCTCTCTCAACTCCCCAACCAGGTACCGTGTGCCACTGTGGGCCTGCACACATTCACAGGGCATTGAGAGTACAGACACAGTCATTCAGCCATGGTGGTATATTCCAGAAACGCAACAACGCAGCAACACGCACACACAGAGCAGCCCAGGTGGGCAGGGGAGACACACTGTGGGCGAAAGAAGAGTGCCTGCAGAGGCCTAGTAGTGGGAACCACACGGCTATGTTCAGGGACTGAGCACTCCCTGTGCCTGGAGCTCTGGGTATGATGGAGGCTGGACTGACAGCCCGTAACAAGGTTGAAAAGGAAGCTGGGTCAGATTACAGAGGAGGAGAATGAAAAAGGACGAGGGAGCCTCACATGCCCTGCCTGAGTCTGAATCTAATTCTAAGGGAAATAGGAAGCTAATGAAGGATTTTACTCAGGGAGGTAACAGCACAGGATCTGCATGTTGAAAAGATTCACTAGGGGGCCGGGCGCAGTGGCTCACGCTTGTAATCCCAACACTCTGGGAGGCCGAGGCTGGTGGATCGCTTGAACCCAGGAGTTCAAGAACCCCCTGAGAAGGCTGGGCACAGTGGATCATGCCTGTAATCCCAGCACTTTGGGAGGCCGAGGTGGGTGCATCTCTTGAGGCCAGGAACTCGAGGCCAGCCTGGCTAACACAGTGAAACCCCATCTCTACAAAAAATACAAAAATTAGCTGGACATGGTGGCGTGCAGCTGTAGTCCCAGCTACTTGGGAGGCTGAGGGGGGAGAATCGCTTAAACCTGGGGGGCAGAGGTTGCAGTGAGCTGAGACTGTGCCACTGCAATCCAGCCTGGGCGACAGAATCTCTGTCTCAAAAGAAAAAAAAGACCACCCTGGGAAACATGGTGAAACCCTGTCTCTATAAAAAAGATACAATTAGGTGGGCACAGTGGCATGTGCCTGTGGTTCCAGCTACTCAGGAGGCTAAGGCAGGAGGATAGTTTGAGCCCAGGAGGCAGATGTTGTGGTGAGCCAGGATCGCACTCTAGCCTGGGCAACAGAGCGAGACCCTATCTTTAAAAAACATCAAAGTAAAAAAGGATCACTAGGGAAATCTGAGACACTGATGGAGGGGAAGAAATTAGAGGCAGGGAAGTCAGTCAAGAGCTGTAAGAGTTTAGGTGGCCAAAATGGGGATGAAAAGAGGGGACACAGTCTTATGACAATTTCTAGAAAAGGAATGACTTGGAGGTACAAGGAGAGATGGGGATGATCGCAGATGCCAAGGCTGGGTAGCTTCTCAAAGTCCTTCCTAGAGTGCCCATCCTGATGCTACAAAAGCAGGAGCTGGGCTCCTTCCTGTTCCTTGGGGGGAAGCTCAGGGCAGAGAAGTACCTGAGTACCACGGGCAGGGAGTGAAAGATGTCACTTTTCCCGACACACTCCCACCCAAATCTGGCTGAGTGCAGAGTCTCACCATTGCCGTATGCCCAGTCGTCGTTCAGCCGATGCCGCACCTTCTGGTAGATGGCAGACATGGTCTTCATGTTGCTCTTTCGCCACTGCCGCCCCAAGTATTTGGTCTGTACCTTGAGCAGCTTCAGCACATAGAGCTGCATCATGGCTTGTTTCACCTTTAGGGCCCGCTTCAAGATGGGGGCTGACTTGAACACCACCAGCATCTGGGAAGGGAAACAAGCAAGCAGCCCAAGTTGAAGACAAAAATAAATGCATACATCCCAGGTCACACTGCTGCTTAACCCTTTGGAAGTTACTGTCAGGGTGACAAACCATCCCAGTTTCCCTTGGACTGAAGAGTTTCCTGATACATAGGACTTTAAATGCTAAAACCAGTAGAGTTCCAGACAAACCAGGATGGTTGGTCACCCTAACTATGTGTCACTTTGGAATCTGAAGAAAGCTATGGATTCCTTCCAGAAACATTCCGGTGTACATGTACACACAGTTATCAGAGGATTCAAGGACCTCCCCACCCCAAAGGCATCCACAGACCCAGAGTTAAGGAAGATTCTCAGAACCCTGATTATGTTACCAATCAAGATTAAGACGACATGGAAAAAGTTCTTCTATAAATGTAGATTTGTTTCAGTGCATGACTGGGCCTCTTCCAGCTTCCAGTTCAATTCATCAAGGAACTGGGAATTGGCCCTTAAAATGCAAGGATACGGCTACAGCAAAGTTAAGTGAGAAGGCACAGTGAGCCCCACCCTGGGGACTCCCTGCTCCCAGCACTCTTCTTTGAGCTCCAAGTTCCAAGCCTGCTGACTACACTGACTCACTTACCATTGTCCTTGAATGCTTCCACTTTGTCAGCTTGTTCAAGATCCGAAGCAGATTGATACAAGAAAAGAGGTTCCTCCAGCAAAATTGGTTACTGTCACCTGCTTCCTGCAGGGTAAACCCAGGAACAATCAGCCCTCATGGCTGCAGTGTGTGCAGCAGTTTCCAAAAGTCCCTCACACATGATCTCAGGACAGCCGGGTCTCCAGGCCTCTACCAGGAATCCCCTGCTCTCAGAGCAGCCCCAGGACTCCATCCCAGAAGCTGGCAGGGGACTAGGGGAAGAGGGAGGCTCCCTAGACTTTTCCTGCAGGAAATATGAACCATGATACTGGGAGCTGTGGCCTTGGGCTGCCCCAGAGCTCCTACTGCCGAGTCCAGTGTTGAGGGAGAGAAGCCCTCTACTAGGTGAGCTCTGGATCAGCAGCCCCTGAAGACCACACTCCCTGACTAATCCCTAAATCCAAATCTCTCTGCTCTGCAAGAGCCCTCCTCCTGGCCCTTCTGTACACTTACAGTGCTTTAAAAGCCGGGCACTCCACAGTGATTTCACCTGCGGGAGACACCTCTATTCCTGCAGTGTTGGGGTAGGCAGGCTCTCTACCCACTGACCCTGGTGCCAAAAGGACAGCTGAGGAGAGCCCAGCCACTCACCAAACTCTCCGCCGTCAGCTCTGGCAGCTCATGCACCACGCAGTGAGGGTAATCCAGGACAGAAATGCTGCAGAGGGGAGAGGAACCAGATGCCCACCATGAGCAAAGGCCCAGGGCCTGGTGGAGCAGCCGTGCCTGAGCCAGCTCCCAGCTTTCCTCCCTCACTTGTTGGAGCAGAAGTAGGAATCTACCTGATGTGTCCCACCCCAGTTTCCCCACCTATAAGATGAGGAAATATCTGTTACAAGAGAACTTGTAAAGCACCCCTGTAGCCAGAGGCCAGCTTGTTGATCTTGTAAGGGGAAGAGACCCTCACAGCTTCCCCCACAGCAATCAATGTGGGGCGGGGGAGGAGATAGCTCAGGGCAACTAATTTATGCCAAACCTTTCTGGAGACAGGGTCTGGCCGGCGCCCTGTGGTATATCACACTGACGAGCAAGTAATGTCAAGCACAGCTGGCACCAGGCCAACAGCAGGGGCTAAGAGTCAGCAGATAGGGCATTACAAGGCACATGGCCGAGCCCCTTAGAGACAGCAAGCAGCCCATGGACTCCTCAAAAAAAAAAAAAAAAAGTACAGAAGGGACAGGGAGGAAAGTACTAGATCCTGGGATGAAAACCCTCCTGCCCAGGCACAGACCAAGTCACCTGGGGCAGGACTAGCTAGACTCAGATTTGACACAGTGGGCTCTCCACAGGCAGAGGCCATGTCTCATTTATCTTTATGTCTTGATGCCTAGCACAGTGCTGGCTCGTAGGTGCTGGAAAAATGGACACAGTGGGAAATACCAGCTGGGAACTCTGCCGTCTGACCATATCCACCCCTTCATGGTCCCTGGCCCTCATCACCTGTTCTTGGCAGTGATGTAGGACATGATGTTTTGATTGAAGAACTTTAGGATCAAAGGAATGCAGTTGGCAAACACCAGGTGCTGGGCCATGTATTCAAACTGAAGCCAACAGGAAAAAAAAAAAAAAAAAAAGGCGCGGCCCTTGGGACCTTGCCCTCTTTCCTCCAGGGATGAAAGGCCTTGGCTGAAGGGCCATGTCTTAGAACATTCATGCAGAGTTCAAGTGGGTCAAAGGCCAAGGCCCCCGTTCTTGTGGGCTGGAGGAGCAGCAGTGCCCGAGGCCCCAGCCCACAGGACAGGAGGGAAAGCCCTGTGGGTACCTGGTAGACATGGTTCAACTTAAAGTGCTTGAGCAGCAGCAGCAGGACAGCAGAAATGGCCTTAACAATGACCTCTTTGTGGCGGTTTACATCCACCCCCAGCTTCATGCTCTGCAACACTGTGGTGCTGGAAACATAATTGCCTGGGTAAGCCACCAGCATGCGCAGTACCTCATTTCTAGGTGCCCACAGAAAAGATGGACTCCGGAGCCTCCCTGGGCAAAGACTCCTACCTCCCCACTCACCCCAAGGACATCTCAGAAGTCAGCCGAGGGCTCCCCCATCCACCTCCCAAGCAATGTAGCCTCGCACAATTTATTTCTTCCCCATGATGCCCTCAAATACATTCTCAGTCTGTTTCTCTGCCTTTCCTCCAAAAATGAACTTCTTCTCCTTTCCAAGATCTCCCCTAAGCTTCTGCTGCCATATTAACCTGAGTTCTCCAAATGTGTTCTGTGGAATACCAGGATATTGGCAAGTTTCATGTCATGGAAAAAAAGGGTTTTGGAGTAAGATAAATTTAGGAAGCACTGAGTTACATTGGTTTCTTAATTCAGGACTTCTCATTGTACATCTTTGTAAGAGGAATTCCTCCTTATAAGAGAAATCCATGAATCAAATATACAGTATTTGACTCTAGAACCTTTTTTCCAAGGACCATCACATGATGGCCTAGTGTTCTGTGATCCTCCCTCTGGTGTTAGCCAACCCCTGCCTCCTCCCTCAGCCGGCCATCACTGCCATACTCCGGGGCCACAGCCACCCAGGAGCTGGGCTCAGGGCTGGTGGCCCAGGCAGGCAGAAGATCAGGTCAAGGTCCAGGTCCTTCTCAAAGTAGAACATGATCTCAATCTGGACTCTCACATGAAAGACAAGTACAGGGCACAGGGCAGAAGAGCTCTGAAGAATCTCACTCTATCGCCCTGAGACATTTGCCAGCATTCTGCGTGCCCAATCACTGGCGAAAAGGGATGTCTCTATACCTGGCACAGGTTCAGCTGTTGCTGGCAAGCTGTCTACAAACTAACCCTCCTCATCCTGGGTGTCTCAATCACAGCTGGAGAGTGGGGCTTTGGGGAAATGTCCAGGGTGGCCCCATTCATTTTACAGAGGAGGAAATGACTTTCCCCAATTCACTCAGGAGTTTGCTCAGTGGTAGAGTCTACACTAGAATCCAGGCCAACAGGACCAAGCCATCTCCCCAACCAGTGAAACTCTTTAATCTCGTAGTTTCCTTTTTTTGGGTCAAAAATACCTACATTTAACCTGTAGAGCTGGGCCAACAACAACCAACCTGACAAGAGGAAAATGTTTGCCCTTCTCCATCTATCTTCTGCCCCACCTGCTTCATTCACAGAATGATACTCACGGCATCTCCTCAGGCAAGACGTCCGCTAGGATGTTGATTGAGTCTGTTTTGGCTTTTGAGGTGGGTGCTGCAGCCAACAGGATCTTCAGGAGGGCAATCTGGGAAGAGTAGACCATTCAGACACAGGTCTGAGAGCCCAGGGTCAAAATTAAGCTCTGAGCAGTCCTCCTGTTGGTCTGCAGGTGGCAGGAGGACGGCAGGGCCTGCTCTAAGGCCAGTGTAGTGGGAGTGTCCCACTGCAGGCACCACTCACCATATACTGAGGCAGGCTGGGGAGCAAGCCTTGGTAGAGGGTTTCTGCAGGGACTTGCTCAACTTCTTCTTCTCCCTTTTAACATAATGAGTACAAGCATAAAACCCCAGCCCAGAATACAATCTCCTGAGCCAGCTTCCTAGCTGGCTGGAGGAAAACCTGTAAACAGTGATGTACATAATGATGTTAATGATGATAACAGCAAACCCTGAACACAAACAATGTGCCAAGCATTTTACTTGTAATAACTCAGTTCATCCTTATTATTATAACCCTATAAAGGTATTATTATTCCTATTTCACAGACAAGGAAATAAAGCATAGAGAGACCCAGTAACTTGCCTAAGTTGCCATCCATAAAGTGGTGGACCCAGGCATCAGAGGCAGGTTCCTGACTCAGTCTGTATTCTTAACCCTGCACTAGACGTGTCTCAGCCTGTGCACTGGGAGGTGGACTGGGAGCTCTTTGAGGGCAGGGCCTGGGGCAACCTTGTGGTCTAATCCCAGCACAATGCCTGGGAAGAGCTGGGGATCCCGGGGGCTGAAGAGGACCTCTAACTTTTTTTTTTGAGATGGTCTCGCTCTGTCGCCCAGGCTGGAGTGCAGTGGCGCTATCTCGGCTCACTACAAGCTCCGCCTCCCGGGTTCACGTCATTCTTCTGCCTCAGCCTCCTGAATAGCTGGGACTACAGGCGCCCGCCACCACGGCTGGCTAATTTTTTTTTTTTTAGTAGAGACGGGGTTTCACCATGTTAGCCAGGATGGTCTCAATCTCCTGACCTCATGATCTGCCCTCCTCGGCCTCCCAAAGTGCTGGGATTACAGGCGTGAGCCACCGCGCCCGGACTGAGGACCTCCAACTTACCCCTGAGAGAGGGGAGCGGAGGTATTCCTCCTCCATCTGTGCCTGGACCTCTGCAATCGACGTGTACTTGTGCTGGTGGGAGAGATGGGAAAAGAAGGGCTGGGGAAAACATTCTCTGGCCAAACTCCCTGCACTCTAGCAAAATCCCCACACATTTGTCTTCAAACACAGTCTTCTGAAAGAGGATTAAGTCACCACAAAAATCCCTAGCTAAAATCCCAAACCCCAGATATTTTTTATTTTTATTTTTTTGAGATGAAGTCTTCCTCTGTTGCCCAGACTGGAGTGCAGTGGCATGATCTTGGCTCACTGCCACCTCCGCCTCCCAGGTTCAAGCAATTTTCCTGCTCCAGCCTCCCAAGTAGCTGGGACTACAGGTGTGCACCACCACACCTGGCTAATTTTTGTATTTTTAGTAGAGATGGGATTTTGCCATGTTGGTGAGGCTGGTCTTGAACTCCTGACCTTAGGTGATCCACCCACCTTGGCCTCTCAAAGTGCTGGGATTATAGGCGTGAGCCACCATGCCTGGCCCCAAAATATTTTTCTAAAAGGGCCCCTTCCTCTTGCAACTACAGTAAGAAGCCCATGGTAGATAAGAAAAAAGTAAATTAAAGGAGGGAAATGGCCTTTCAGATAGCTACAGCAACAGGAGAAAAACTGAAAGCAAAATCAAGTACTCAAAAAGCCTAGCTGCAGAGAGACCACTTAGTACTACAAATTCCAAAAATATATTTCAAAAACATAAAAACAGTTTCACTCCAGATAGCTGTTAGGGGAGATGCCTCTTCCCCACTCTTAATGTTCTCTCCCGTGTGGAGGGACAGGGGTTTGCGAAACACCCCTCATCTCTCTCTGCCCCGTCCACACACTCACTCCTCCCTTCTCTGATCGGAGAGTATGGGAGGGGACACAGGGCGGACTTGTCCTCACCCTTCTCTTTTCTCTTTAGAACCTGTCTGCCTGCTGAGAGTCTGCTCTCTTCTCCTCCCCGCCACCAAGCTTGGCAGAGCCTCCCCACACTGCCTGGGACTGGTAGGTAACTCTGCCTAATTCTGGAACAACGTATTAGGACACTACTGCTGTGTTCTTAAGCCTCATTCTCCATGGCTCTATGAGCTATAAAGTTGGCATTACAATCTCCATCTGCCTACTCCTCTATTTCAACCGCCTGAGAACGTGGGCAAGGAAAAGGAGGGCTATTTATTGAGCTCTTTAGAATTTCAACAACTGTCAAGTAATATAATCCTTTTTTTTTTTTTTTTTTTTTTTAAAGAATCCGGGTCTCACTCTGTGGCCCAGGCTAGAGTGCAGGACCATGATCATAGCTCACTGTAGCCTTGATCTCCTGTGCTCAAACAATCCTCCTGCATCAACCTCTTGAGTAGCTGGGACTACAGGTGCATGCCTTGGTGCCCGGTGGTCAGGTAATATAATCTTTAAAGACTTCCCAGTCAGTCCCAAACAAAAGCTCAGCTAAAACAAGTAAAACTTATAATAAAACAAGCAAAACTTACGAAAGACTGTTTGCAAGGTTATTGCAAAGTCCACCCCGGCCTCTACCCCAGGTTCTTGCAGGCAGACAACAGTCTTAAAAGGCTTCTCCCTACAGGCTGGTTTCACTCTACTCACTTAGGACCAAACAAGCCAAAAGCTCACCCAAAGCCACTCACCTGTTTCAGAGTCTTGATGCTTTCGTGGATTGGCCTGGGCAGCCCCACCACTGTGTTCGTGTCACTGGAGAATAAAGAAGGCCCTGTGTTGAGCCTCGACATCAAATCACCTGGGATCCCAAACACCAAAGGCCGGGAGAGCTAACAGCAAAATGAACTCGGCTTTTACTCACCTGCCTAGAGTGTAACCTATAAATTTGCTGCGGCTGGACTCAAGGAACATCTCAATGTCTTTCTCTCTGCCACATCACCAAAAAAGAGAGAAAGAAAAAAGGTTTTTAGCAAATGCTATTTCAAAGTGTTACAGTTAACAAAAACACAGCATCCAGAAACTGTGAAGCCAGGAGAAGTCTCCTATAATTGTTTTTCTCTTTGAAAAAAGGGAAAAAACTGAAATTTTCAGAGAATTTTAATGTTTCTTATAATTTTGCTGGATCAGTAACCTGGAAATACATGTTAACTAGTTTATTCATAAAATTAAAGGGATATATCAAACTTAAAAACATGCTTTATTCAGATAGTATGAACAAGTTTGTCAACAGACTTTCTTAAATATTAAAACTTTTAAACAATTAAAGCTATAGGCTACTGATTTTTCATATAGCTCACTTTTCCTATCCCAAACAATCAGCATACCTTGCATTTTCTGATGATCTGTTTTGCATTCCCTTCACAGATCACTGAAAACTGAGGCTTTACCTGGATCAAGAAAGCGACTTCTATATCCTCTCACATGTTCATCTATTTCTTAAGCTGCTGCCTATCAAACAGACACCATTTATATATCTCCAGGTACCGTCCCATCCATCGATTTACCCACATATATCTCAAACATTTTCATTATGGCTCTAAAGAAACTCTTCCTTAATCTATCATTTTTGTTAAAAACCATACACAACCCCAGGATGGGTGGAGACATGTTTGCTTAAATGCTTTTGTTTTTATTTGTTTCCTATCCCCCTTCACTAGCACATCTAACCAAGAGCTAACTCCAATTACTGCCTCAGTAGCCACATGAGGGCCATGTTGTGTGAGACCAGCAAGGCCGGCCTCCCTGAGACCCTCAGGACAGCACAGGGTGCTTTAAGAGAGCCTCATCCCAGAGCCACGGTCAGCCTGCCCTGCAGAGGACCACACATGGTGACACAGGCCAGGTGGCAGGCCTGAGGGTGTGAGGGCTCTGCCTCAGGAACTATGAGTGCTCTGGAGGTCTGAGACTCACCTGACCTTGGGAGCCCACGGGAGCCCTTTGGGGCAAGTCAGCCTGTCAGTCTGTGGGTGCTGTAGCGGGGGAGGCATCACTTCATCCCGTTCCAGGGGAAACGTCTCCCCCTCCAGACTGTTGTCATCATCATTCTCCTCTTCCTCTTCTCGAGAGTCATCAGCCTTGTAGGGATCCCGCTCGTTGAAGGCATCTAGGTTGTCCTGCTTTATCAGAGCCTGAAACCAGGGAAGGGAGATGAGACAAGAGCCAACTGAGGACGCAGACCAGGGAAGTGCAGCCAGAGGAGACACAGCACATACAGGTGTCCAGTAGAGGCAAGAACAGTGGAAAAACCACAGTGGGAGTCAAGACGGGGGCCAAACCATCAACTACTTCTTGCTCCAGTCCCTCAAAAGCACCACGTGCTGAGCACTCACCATACACTGGACCAGAGCTGGGGACAAAGTATCCTCGCTGTGGAGGCATGATTCTGACTGGCTGATCAGAGATCATTTCCAGCAGCCCTGCTCCTCCAAGGACTGTGCTGCTGCAAGCATGCACCTTGAGGGCCCTCAGGAGTCACAGGGACCTCTGTCGTCCTCACCTTGTGCTCTCGGCGGCCCCGTTTCTGCTGCTGCTCAATCAAGTCTGAAGCAGATGCTGGTGGAGAGGCTGCTCTCATGTTGCGAATCACTTTGATGCTGTCCTCAGGAAGCGGGGGGAGGCCCAGGATGCTGCGCTTCTCAGCCTTCATGCTCTGCAGCTCCTCAAAGCCGCCTAGCGTGCACTGCATCACAGACAGGGAAGCAGAGCCAGGGTCAATGTGTCCACAGGCTGGCCCCTGACCATTGTGTCAGGCTCAGAAACATTCATGACATCATGACCCATGTCTTTATAGAGACCCAGGCAACTCCTGAACAATGGACTGAAGCCACTCCCAAGGAGAATTCCGTGACATCCGCAAGGGAAAGGAGAAAAAGGAACAAGGAAAGAGTGGAGATGCAGGCTGACTGACCCTAGTGCAGATACACTAACTCTGCACCTATGACATACTCTTCAATTTAAAAAGAAGCAAAGAGCCTAACCCTGCAAGTTCCTAGAAAAGTTGGTGAGACTCATGTTTCACAAGTTGTACATGCAAGTCTTTCAAAGTCAAATTAGAAATACTGTTGGTTGCTCAACTTTAGAAGAAGAAAAAAAGCTTCATCTAAACATCTCCCAAGAAGCAGAAACGCCAGCAACATCCAGCTTTAGACTGCTTAGTTTTACTGTTTCTGAGCAATTCAGCTTTCCTCTCTAGCCTTAGCAAGGCTTTATGAAGAACAGAATGTGTGGCCAAGATAAAATGTGTCAATGACTTTTAAGAAATCCTATACTTACTGAGCCCTGGCTCCAGAGTTGACCCATTCTGAAAGGAAGGATGAGCCCCAGTGTAGCAGAGGCCCAACTCACCTCCACCGCCTCCCCATGTCACTCCTCCTGGGAAGGCCTCCTGGCATGGCCTGGCTGCTAACAACGCTCCAAGCCCAGTGTGCTGGACGGCCCACTCTGGCACCCAGTCCCTCCCTACCTAGACACAGAGTCGGGCTGACACCATACCCTGAAGAAAATGGAGGCTGGCTCAGGGCTCACTCTTGCCCCTTTAAGTGATATCCAACCAGGGCCCCAATTACATCAGCTGTAACTTTGCCTCAAATCCCTTTACAAACTCCAGGTCCAGAGCTGCTTGCTGAGAGGCAACTTGTCTGGGGGAGAGCTGTTCTATGACAGAAAACAGCTTCCGGGGTCAGAGAGCCAACAGCCTACTCTGACTCAAGGCCTATGTCCTCGTTGGCTGCAATGGGACAATAGTGGCCCTTCTTTTGTCATCTCCTTTTAGCAGCTTTTTAAATAATTTTTTTTACCAAAGCAGTTTTACAGTCACATAATTCAATATTCAAAAGGATATTCAAGGAACAGTCTCCCTACTGCCCATCCCATAGCACCGTTCTCCTCCTCCAAGGAGGTGCTCACCAATACTGTCTTCCAGAGCAGCAAGAGAACTTTCTTCATGGGAAAGTGAGGGGCGTGACCACTGCAAAATTTGGTCACCATCCCAAACAGCATGATGGCAAATGGCTCATTGTTGTACAGCGGGGAGCCTGGAGGTGACACAAAGGTATCAGGACCCTCCCAAAGCCTTCCGCCTCAGCTTCCAGGCAGGGCCTCTAGAGAGGATCCCCAGGGTCCTACCCAGCTCGGCTCTGAAGGTCTGCCGCATGGTCCTCCACTCAGCCTTGTCACCCTCACACTCCTGATGAACGGTCTCCACTATCAGGTACATGATGTTGAGCAGGACCCTGAGGACAAGAGCCAGCTCACAATGGAGTGGGATGGGGGGGTCAAAGGAGCACCCTAGTGTCTAACAAAGTGCTTACACAAAGCAGGGGCTTACTATTAATAAATGGTATCTGAATAAATGAGTATGAACAAGAATGGCCAAAAGCATTTACCACCCTAAGCTTCCTGAAAAGAAAAAAACCACAGAGGTGGTAGCGAGCTGTAGGGTCAAAGCAGAACAGGGTCACAGTGAGAACAAAAACAGGGTTTATGATGAGGAAATGGAAAGCAGGAGCTGAGAGGTGACGCCCAGGGATCCTAACACCCGGGAGGCAACACTACAACCACCTAGTCTAAAAACTTCCAAATTCATAAAAAGAGCCAGATTTCAACCCTCAAAAACTGAGGGGTGATCTTGGTGGTCAGCAGTTGCTGTGAGCTCCTGGGCAGCCATGAAACATTAGGAAGCTGTCAGGTCTAACCCAATGAAGATGAGCATCAAGCTGTGTACACAAGAAGGTGGGAGTCCAGGGAACACCATCAAGTGTTTCATCCAAATACAAAATACCCCACGACCAGGTCCTGAGTAACAGTGTGAGTAGGAGGCCACACTTAGCTGTGGCTCTAGTAAGTCACTTGACCCTGGATTGCCTTTGGGAGTCTCAACCCAGAGTCCCACCTAGGACGAGCCCTCAGCAGTTCCTACTAATCATTCACACTGAGCCCATCACACATGCAGATGATGTGTACAGAAGCACACACAGCAATGACACCCACAGACAGCCTCCCACACCCTGCTCTGATCTCATCTCTGACTAACGCTCAGGAGCCCAGGCTTGCTGCTCGCCTCACCTGAGGTCTGTGCTGTCAGCCAGGGAGATGGCAGGCTTCCTCACAGCACTGCTGCAGGCGGCACTGTTGCTGCAGGAGATTTTGAGAGTCAGCATCTTCCTCCAAGAAGGAAGATAAGTGATGTCCCTGACAAGTACTGACCAATGGGGAAACAAAATGCTGTGATACGTGCTTGGACTGCACAAGAGGCCACAGGACACGGTGGTTAAGAAACCAGACCATGGCTGGGCATGGTGGCTCATGCCTGTAATCCCAGTACTTCGGGAGGCCGAGGCGGGTGGATCACCTGAGGTCAAGAGTTTGAGACCAGCCTGGCCAACATGGCGAAACCCCATCTCTACTAAAAATACAAAAATTAGCTGGGTGTGGTGGCAGGCACCTGTAAACCCAGCTACTCAGAAGGCTGAGGCAGGAGAATAGCTTGAAGCCGGGAGGTGGAGGTTGCAATGAGCCAAGTTCACGCCATATCACTCCAGCCTGGGCAACAGAACAAGACTCTCTCTCAAAAACAAAAACAAAAACAAAAAAAACACAAAAACAAAAACAAAAAACCCAGCCATGCACTGGACTGCCACGGTTTGAATCCTGGCTCTAACTGCGCCTTAGTTTCCTCATCTGTAAAATGGGGATGACAGTAGTACCTATATCCTTAACATGAATTAGCACATGTAATATTCTGAGAACAATGCCCGGGACACACAGGCACTCAATGAGCTGTCTTAGCTTTATCATTGATGGTGTTATCCTTAGATGAGCAGCAGCTGACCTGTCCACTGGACAAAGGTGACACAGGCAAGGCCAGGCACTGGTTGAGCCCATATGTCAGTCTTGTGCCTGGCCTCCTGCCAAGGCGGAAACTGCAGGGCGAACACAGCAGTGTCTGCAGGTTCAAAAGAGAGCTCAAAGTGAAGAGTCTCCTTCTGAGGAGCACCCCAGGCCTGGGCAGGGCCTGCACTGTCTGGTGTAAAAACTCTGGCATCAGGGAGCTGCAGGGACCTGTCATTAGTCTCCATTAATCTTCAAGGTGTAAGTGACCAACTCCGTTATTCAACCCAGGTGGTCAGAACACAGCCTGGGACCAGAACTTCTGCCCCATTTAACCCTCTCAAAGCCAGTTAGTTCTGCAAGCTCTGTCCCCCTTCCCATCCCAGCCTCCCCTTCCCTACTCAGCCTCTCAAAAATGCTCACTCTATTTCCATGTTCAGAAGCTCCACCAAAGCATTGAACGTGCCCACCTCCAGGAGGAGAAAGATGTTGTAGCGCATCCAGGACTGCACCTCTGCCTCCGAGCTGCACTCCCCAAACGTGCCTGCAATGCAGGGTTCAACTCACTGAGCCCCTCCCTGCATCTGAGTGGGCAGAGGTGCCAGGGAACCCTGGGGAGGTCCACTCAATACCTTGAGCAACATAGAGAATTGCTCGAGCCACCTTGAGTCTCTTCTCCCTGGCAGTGACTTCCAAGCCATCCAGGAGCCTCATGGCATGGGTCCGGTGCTGGTTGGTATCCAGCTCAGTCCACTTCTTGTCTGTCACTGCAGGGCAAGAAACCAGTTACACCTGAGCCTAGAAAAATCCTCACAATGGCATGGACCCATGTTAACTCACCAAATTCAGGACTGCCATAGGACCAGAAAGATAAGTTACACCCTATGTAAGTGGTAAGATCATACTGCTGCTCTATGAATTTGATTCCAAACTGAAACGCTGGTATTTTGGGTGCAATTTTAATCACATGATTTTTTTTTCTCCCCTAATATGCACATTCTGAAAAGCCCCCACCGATGTGCCACAAGCCCACTCTACATGTATCTGGCTTTGAACCATCAGGGTTCAGCAGGCTTCTCAGGCTGTTCCAGGATGACTCAGGTCATTCAGATGCCTAAAAGAAACCTGCAGCTCTCGTTATGCAGGGCAAAGGAAGCAAGAAGTGTGGGAAATCATCTCACCATGGATCCGGAAGTCCTCCTCAAAGCATTTTCGATTCATCAGGAATTCTGGCCCTTCCGTGTAGCTGTAAAGCTCTGTCAGAACAAAGTCTCGTCACCATTGGTTCCATGTCTGCATTGCACACCAGGTCTCACAAGTGCAGAGAAGGCAAGGCATTTGCTTCCACTCTCAACTCTGCCCCTGAGTCATAGTGACTCCTGGAATAAGCTCTCTAATTATGAAGGGGATCTTAGTGCTCTGATGTGCACAATAGAGACAACCAGAGTGCCAGAATGCCATCTGGACACTTCCAGTCCGATGTGCATCCATCCCACCATGCCATGCCAGGGCTGACGGCCACCTGGGATGCATCTCTCAAATGGCTGCTACCTCTTGAGCAGGATGTGTATTGTAGAGGCTGGAGAAGCAGCTCACACCGACCTCGCATTACATGAGAGTGGCAGTGGCAGCAGCAGATGGGCACAGATGCAGGCATCCCTCATGACCCATTGCTGGAGGAGAGACCACTGTCAGGGTCACAGTGGATAGCCAAGGAACATCACTGTCTCACAATGGGACTGGGCTCTAGCCAGCTTCATAAAAGTAAAGGACAACACAAAGTTATAAGATACACAAGGCTTGAATCAAATAACATGTTTTATACATATATATATATATATATATATATATATATATATATATATATTTGATAGAACTAGGGAAAGCAATGAAGCCCTAAATGATATTCATTATTAATTTTATTAAAGACCAATAAGGAAAAAACCACCCCCAAATAACACAAAGGTCTGTGCGTTACCCGAGAGCTCTGCAGCCCACTTGTCTGTGTCAGCATACTCAAACTCCAGGTCTGGTGACTCCGAATAGCCCTGCTGACAAGAGGAGAGAGCTTTAGGAAAAAGGATCATTCTATTTATCAAAGAAACTCATGCTTCGAGATGCTGTTGTGTTACAGGACACCACTGCCTCCACTTTTTTATGTTTTTTCACATTTTGTTTCCTAAAACCTCTCAGAGTATCCTATACTTTTCCTTCAGAGCATTTATCATAACTTATCATTATAGGATGTGTTTACTGTCTGCCTTTCCACAAGACTGTAAGTTCCCTGAGAACAAGAACATCATCCATTTAACTTACCAATGATTTCACAAGGTCCAGCATGGTACCTGGCATGAATAAGTGAATGAATGAATGGTCTATACACACATATTTGTTAAATGAATAAATACAAGGTTTCTATGTATTTTGTGCAGTAAATGACCATTCCATATGATGCTATGATTCCAGAAGTCTTAACTTCTTTCTGGCTAGTGGACTGTCAACAGCTCAGGACAAAAATGAGTATTGAAACCCTCAGCTTTCCCACCTTTGTCTCAAATTTCAGTGAGAACTGACAAAGAAGGCAGCCGCCAAACAGATCAACTTCCCTCCCACACATAAGAGAAAATGTGACAAAGACAATCTTTTTCCTGCTGGAAATAGGTGATTACTGAGAACACACCATCTTGGAAGCCTTGTACTGGGAAGAGAGAAGTGAGAAACAAATAGGTAAAGTCCTTAGGTTTAATTACAGTCTACCTGGGAAGACAAAGACCAGCCACAAAATGACACAACATACCCACAATGGCCAGGCGAGGTGGCTCATGCCTATAATCCCAGCACTTTGGGAGGCCGAGGTGGGCGGGTCATTTGAGGTCAGGACTTTGAAACCAGCCTGGCCAACATGGTAAAACCCCGTCTCTAATAAAAATATAAAATTTTTTAAAAATATATTTTTACATGGTGGGGCGTGCCTGTAGTCCCAGCTACTCGGGAGGCTAAGGCAGGAGAATCGCTTGAGCCCCGGAAGTGGAGGTTGCAGTGAGCCAAGATCGCGCCACTACACTCCAGCTTGGGAGACAGACAGAGACTCTGTCTCAAAACAAAACAAAACAAAACAAAAAACATACCCACAAACAAGAACTCCACGTTGTGTTCAGAGATAACACAGTGTACACTTTCACAAGTTACTGAGCTTCGGTTTCTTCATTCATTGAATGGCAATGATGAAAATCTACTTTGAAGATTTTTAAGGACTAATCAAAATTATGTAGTACATAGTGGGCTCTCATCAAATGTGAGCCTCCCTGTCCTCCAGGCATTCACTGATCAGGCTCCCAAACTACCGATTTCAGCTATGACTAAAGAAAGATCATGGCATCAGACTCTCTATAAAGAAATGGATTTAGACAGGTCTCTGCTTAAATGTGTCCATTTGACTGGTCTTTCATGTAATGAGTCTATGAGGAAATTTTTTTTTTTGAGACGGGGAGAGTTTCGCTCTTGTCACCCAGGCTGGAGTGCAATGGTGCAATCTCGGCTCACTGCAAATCTCCACCTCCCAGGTTCAAGCAATTCTCCTGTCTCAGGCTCCT
The DNA here is from genome assembly GCF_000001405.40 of Homo sapiens. NCBI lineage: Eukaryota > Metazoa > Chordata > Mammalia > Primates > Hominidae > Homo > Homo sapiens. The sequence goes on along the minus strand of NC_000001.11, from coordinate 110,036,345 downwards.
GAGTAGCTGGGATTACAGGCACCAGCCACCACGCCCGGCTAATTTTTGTATTTTTAGTAGAGACAGGGTTTGATCACATTGGCCAGGCTGGACAGGAACTCCTGACCTCAGGTGATCCGCCCGCCTCGGCCTCCCCAAGTGCTGGGATTACAGGCGTGAGCCACTGCACCCGGCCTCTATGTGGAAATTAAAGGGTACAAAGAGAAATTACAATTCGTCAGAGGGTATCTATTTGACCATTCGTAGCTACTCTGGAAAATTTTAAACCATTTTTCAAAATGATAACTCCTCTCATGATGAAGGTAGGTTCACCCCCCTGCACTTTCGTAATCTTCCACTTGAAAAACTGAGTAGTTAACACTGATGTCCGTCATCCCACCATGCCAGGGCTCCTAAATGGTCAGTGTTTTTGTTTTTTTCAAATAATTCACTCCAAGCTCAAATTACGTCTACTTCGGGCTTGCCAATTGTTGACATGTTTTCTCAGGGGTTTAGCCTTGCTAACAAAAAATAAAAGCTTCTGAGGAACTGATTCCACAGGTCTAAAGGTAGTATCATTGCTCTTTGGTATGAATTGGTACATTATGCTTGGACAACTAGGAATTCCCTCTCATTAACTTGGCTGATCAGTTTGGCTGCTGATCAATCTAGGAGATGGCATAGTAAGTGCTCTGGGAACCTGCTCATTAAGAAGCCCTAAAACTCCGCGACATGAGTATCTTCATTCATGAATTCTGCAAAAGGAGGCAGTGGGAGGAATTCCTTAACTTGGGGTGAGGTTACTAGTCAGTTCCAGACTATGCCATCTCCAGAACGGCAGGAACGGCTCACTAGCGAGACAGGAAGGAATGTTGGGTCCTAACGCATGCTTAAAATGTCTATTTCTCATCTTTAACAGTTCAGTATCAGGCGCACTGGGCACAATAGCCCACCACAGGTACTGTTAACCCATGGCCTGATCTGGCTCAGGTCAGAAGAACAGGACATGTTTCCCCCTCCTACTCTACTCTCAATGATAATTAGCTCGGTCCGGCTCTAAGTTCCTTCCAGATCCTCGCCGGCGCCTTCCCTGCCCACACGCGCCTTCCTCTGCGAGCGGCAGGACCCAGGAGCTGGAGCCCGCGTGCCAGGGACAGACGCCCGAGATGATTAGGTTGGGGGCGCGGCAGCCCAGCGCCCTGGAGTGCACCAAGACCCCCGACTCCTCACCCCCGAGCTGGGGCGAGAGCGGCTTCCCCAGGGGCTAGGGCCTCGAGGCCACGCCCACAGTCGGGGCCCAGGGGAGCAAACCAGCAGTCGCCGGCCACGGGAAGCTCTCCCGGGCGGCGGAGCTAGAGCAAGGACTCATGCTCCAGACCCCAGGAGCTGCCAGCCTCGCTTCCTGCTCCTTTCGCTGTATAGTGACAGTTCTCGGCCGGACTCTACCGAGCCCTCCGGGAAGCCCAACCTGGCCCCTAGAGTGGCCCCGGGCCCGGGACCCCCGGCGCCGCCCGACCCGGTGCGAGCCTCGCCCCCCGAAGCTCCTGACCTCTGAGTCTTTGCGCTGGTTGCGGTTGAACTCGCGGGCTTTGCCCCCAGGCAGGAGGCCCGCGGCGGCCCGCGGTGCCCCGGGTGGTGGCTGTGCGGCTGCCGGCGGCGGAGGTGGCGGGGGCTGGGGCTGTTTGTTGTTCACGATCAGTGGGCCCGGACCGCCGACTGCCGGCTCCATCTTGGCTGCTCCACACCCCCAGCTTAACTCGCGCACAGCCGCCGTGATGCAACTCTCGCGTGATTTTCTCCAGGAAATTTCCCTGGCCGCCATATTAAGTGTGGCGGCCAGTGTTAGAAGCCATCTTGGCTGACCAATACCTCGCGATATTCTGTCTGCAGTCCTTCCCTTGTTGATCTTTTTAGTTTTCCACCTTCCTTTCAGTTTCAGTTTAGATGTAATTTTATCTGTGAGGCTTCCCTTAGCTTCTTCAGTCAGTTTAGTTACCCCTCCTTCCTCTAAATCGCTTTGCACTTATAACTCATAGCCTTGTTCAAGGCTTAGGCGGAATTTTGTAATGAACAAAATGGATAGGATCCTAGTCTTCACAGAGTTACCGTTGTGACAAGTGCTTGTCATTCATTCATTCAACAAACATTTAATAAATGTCTCCTGTGCACCAAGCAGTGGGATAAAATGAGGAACAAGTGTCTGCAGTCACGGTACATAACAGTGCTTGGTGGGTCAGACAAACAATAGACAAATATAGAGAAATAAATGCTGAAAAGTGTTAAAGGAAAATTTGTTCATGGCACTAATTAAAGATGGTAAGGCAGACTTTATGTAAGAGAGCCCATGGTGATAGTTACAGGGACCACTACAACCAGATCTTGCAGTGAAGAAGAGGAATTAGACTCAACTCTGACTCCAACAAGATATAGTGGGGATTTATAACCAAAGAGCAGGATGAGGGTCAGTGGACGGAAAACTACTAAGAGAAACATCAAGGATAAGAAGTTTCTTGCTAAACTGACCTAACAGGATTATTGCTGAAAGCAGGACAGGGTGCTAAGATGTTGAGGGTGGTCAGATACCGAGTGCTATGGTTTGACTGTGTCCCCCAAATTCCATACGTTGGAAACTCAATCCTAAAGTTCATATGTTGATGGTATTTGGAGGTGGAGCCTTGAGGGGGTGATTAGGATTAGATAAAATCGTCAGGGTAGGGCCCCTGTGATGGGACTGGTGGCTTTATAAGAAGAGGAAGAGTGATCTGAGCTGGCACACATGCTCTTGCTTTCTCACCGTGAGAGGCTCTCTACCATGCAGTTTAAGAAAGCCCTCACCAAATGCAACCCCTCGACTTTGGGCTCCCCAGACTCCAGAACTGCAAAAAATAACTTTCTTTCCTTTATGAATTACCCAGTGTTTTGTATTCTGTTATAGCAACAAAAAATGGATTAAGACGCCAAGAGTGGAGAGTCCCTGCACAAACTGGATTCAACAAGGACAGAAAGGAAGCCCAAACGGTTAGTCCTAGTAGGCAGAGGACTCACAGGAGCCTGACTAGAGTTTTGGCCAAAGAAGAGAATCTTTGTCAGAAGTAACAAAAATTGAGAGGTTAAAAGGTGGCAGTGGGGCGGGGGGCAGGGGTTGGTGGAGGCGGAGAATGTGGCTATAATATAAGCATGCTGCCCAAGGAAGGCAGGCCTGAGGGTGTGATTTTAGATGAGTTCTGAAAGAAGTGAGGAGAAGCCCTGCAAAGTTCCAGGAAGGGCACACAGACAGATGAAACAGCTAAATGCAAAAGCCCTGATGTTAGTGTCTGGAATTGAGTGAGCCAAGGGAGGGATAGTAATTGATAGAGCCATATAATGATAATGCAGGGACCAGAAGAATGCAGGGCCTTGAAGGTAGTGGGAAGGAGTTTGAATTTTATTCTAAGTGAAATGGAAAACCATTCGAGGGTGTTAACCAGGGAGATGTTATGGTGTGATGTTTACAAGTTCAATCTGGCTGCTTTTGGAGAAGGGATTGGAGAGTTGCAAGAGTGGATAAGGCAAGACATGTTAGGGGACCATGTAGATGGAGATGATGGTGCTTGTACCAGAGTGGAGCATTGGGTTGATATTTCTATATTGTGTAGGTAGGGGGACAGGATTTGCTGGAATCTTATCAGCTGGGTAGGGGAAATAAACAATGACCCCCTTGATCTAGGTTTGGGCAACTGAGTGGATGGCTGTATCACTTTCATAAATAAGTAAGCTCGAGAGTAAGAAAAACAGGTTTAGAGGAAAGATCAAGACTTCAGTTTTGGACACATCAAGTTTGAGATACTCATCAGACATCTTAGAAGTGTTGCGTAATAATAACTCTTACTATTATCTGTTGTTATACTGTGAAATCCTTAAAGGCATTTTATCCATCTTTGTCTCTCCAGCTTTACATATTGCCTGCTTTACACCCCAGGCTCAAGTCCAGAAAGTCCCTGTGATACAACTCTCCAGTGATTTCCCCTGAGGTCCAACCTAGTAGGTGCTTAAAAAGTCTTTGTTGTAAATTAATAAATTAATCCAAAACCACCACACTGCTATTTCCTCCTACCTATCTTCCTGTGCCTATCATAAGCTGTATCACCCGGGGAAAAACATTTTTCAGCTAAATTTAGAACAGGGAGGGTTTTGGTTCCATAATTCCACTTCTAGTAATAGATTCTAAGGAAATAATCAGATTTAGATAAAGATAGGTGTATGATAATATTCAGGCAATGGTGTTTTCAATAGTGTAAAGTTGGGATCAACCTAATTTGAAAAATAGCCAATAAGAAAATGGCTAACTTTGAGGGGCCAGGCACCGTGGCTCATGCCTGTAATCTCAGCACTTTGGGAAGTTGAGGTGGGAGGATCGTTTGAGCCCAGGAATTTGAGACCAGCCTGGGCAACAGAGCGAGACCCTATCTCTAAAAAAAAAAAAAAAAATCAAATTAAAAAAATTTTTGAAAAAGAAAAATGGCTAACTAATGGAATGGGGCATGCATAAGACAGAATATACAGATCTAGAAGGAAAAAGAATCCCAAATGTGAAGGAGCAGAAGCACAGCTGGAGAGCTCACTACTCTAACTTGCTAGGAAACTTTGCGAAAAGCACAATCCAGTAGAGAGTAGAAGCTGTAGAAGTGTCTTCATGCACTTCTCTTTTTTTTTTCCTTCCCCATCTGTAAAATGAGAATAATCCCACCTGTATTTTTGTCAGAGATGTGTGAACCACAGCAACTCCATCTTGAACAGGGGCTGGGTAAAATGAGGCTGAGACCTACTGGGCTGCATTCCCAGGATATTAGAGCATTCTTAGTCACAGGATGAGATACGAGGTCAGCACAAGATACAGGTCATAAAGAACCTGCTGACAAAACAGTTTGCAGTAAAGAAGCCAGCCCAAACCCACCAAAATCAATATGGTGATGAGAGTGACCTCTTGTCCTCCTCACTTTTACACTCCCACCAGCACCATGACAGTTTACAAATGCCATGGCAACACCAGAATGTTATCCCAGATGGTCTAAAAGGGGGAGGCATGAATAATCCACCCGTTGTTTAGCATATAATCAAGAAATAAGCATAAAAATGGGCAACCAGCAGCCCTCGGAGCTGCTCTGCCTGTGGAGCAGCCATTCTTTTATACCTTCACTTTCATAATAAACTTACTTTCACTTTACCCTATGGACTTGCTCTGAATTCTTTCTTGTGAGAGATCTAAGAGCCCTCTCTTGGGGTCTGGATTGAGACCCTTTCCTGTAACATTTTCAGCCATGGTGGCATGCGCCTGTAATCCCAGCTACTCAGGGGGCTGAGGCAGGAAAATCGCTTGAACCTGGGAGGCAGAGGCTGCAGTGAGCCGAGACTGCACCATTGCACTCCAACCTGGGTGACAGAGGAAGACTCTGTCTCCAAAAAAAAAAAAAAAAAAAAGAAAGAAAGAAAGAAAGAAAGAGAAAAGAGAAAACTATAAAGCATTGTTTGTTTTGTTTGTTGGTTTGTTTTTTTAAAAAAAGGAGAATTATTACCAAGAGGTGATACCCAAGGTGAGAAGCCCTTCCTTCACCACGAGCAGTCATTGTTCAAGAGACTGGAGGAAGAAATTTCCTATTTGAGCCATTCTAGTATTGCAGGAGTTGCAAGAACATAGTGGCTGCTCCAGTTGGGCTCTGTAGAAGGAAACTGGCATGTATTCTGTGCCTACAGGGTGTCAGGTACTGGGTAAGATGTTTCACATTCATTGATACCTAAGTATATGCTGGGATGCAGAGTGAGCCTGTTTCTAGCAATTTCCATCCTAGCCCTGGACTGTAAATACATTGCTGGTCACTGAAATGCTCAGTATTAAAGTAATCTGTATAGCATATAAAACATCTGTGGGTCCAGTCTTACCCTCTAGTTACTGTGTCACATGGAGTTCTCTCCATTAATGGTTATGAGAAGAGGATAATATTAATAATGTTTTGGTTAATTAACTAATAGGGCAGATAACTAATAGTTAATTCTGTCTTCCAAAGGGACCAGCCAGCTTCACTCTGTCTCAGGTCAGATTAACTTATAAAATCTCAGCTTTCTTATATAAACATGAATTAGTCAAAAGACTAAGTCAAAGCTGGTCATGGTAGCTCATTCCTGTAATCATAGCGCTTTGGTAGGCCAAAGTGGAGGGATCACTTGAGATCAGGAGTTTAAGACCAGCCTGGGCAACATAGTGAGACCTGATCTCTACAAAAAAATTATAAAATTAGGCATTGTGGCGCGCCTGTCATCCCAGCTACTCAGGAGTCTGAGGTGAGAGAATCGCTTGAGCCCAGGAGTTCTGGGCTGCAGTGAGCTGTGATCCTGCCATTGTACTCCAGCCTGGGAGAAAGAGCAAGACCCTGTCTCTAAACAGAAAAACTTTTTTAAAGATTAAGTCAAAGTATTATGTAATATACTGTGTCTTTAACTATTTCCTAAACACCTGGGAAATTCTCAATTTCAAAACATAGGAGATTCAGAGAAAGAATTCCAGACCTGTATTTTATTATCCTTTGTTGGCAAGAGACCCTGACAACCAGATCACATGAGAAAACGCGCCATCTGGTGGTTGTAGTGGAGAGCTACGCCACAAGACAGCCAGATGAGGAAGAAAGGCCTGGATCAAAGACAAGTACCCTCAGGGCCACAACCCAGGACAATTCCTTCTGGAGGACATTTTAAAATGTCTTCAAAGGTCGGGCGGGGTGGCTAACGCCTGTAATCCCAGCACTTTGGAAGGCTGAGGCGGACCGATCACCAGGTCAGGAGATCGAGACCATCCTGGCTAATGCAGTGAAACCCCGTCTCTACTAAGGACATTTTAAAATGTCTTCAAAGGTCGGGCGGGGTGGCTAACGCCTGTAATCCCAGCACTTTGGAAGGCTGAGGCGGGCCGATCACCAGGTCAGGAGATCGAGACCATCCTGGCTAATGCAGTGAAACCCCGTCTCTACTAAAAATACCAAAAAAAAAAAAAAAAAAAAAATTAGCCAGGCGTGGTGGCATGCGCCTGTGGTCCCAGCTACTCGGGAGGCTGAGGCAGGAGAATCGCTTGAACCTGGGAGGTGGAGGTTGCAGTGAGCTGAGATTGCACCACTGCACTCCAGCTTGGGCAACAGAGTGAGACTTCTCAAAAAAATAATAATCATAAAATAAAATGTCTTCAAGGGCTGCCTGTGTGGACAGATGAGATGCTATTTCAGCTTAATAAATTAATATTCAATATATTAAAGTAACAAAAACATTACTTAAGCTTTTCAAAGTTCAGCTTATAGGCCAGGCGCGGTGGCTTGCACCTGTAATCCCAGCACTTTGGGAAGCCAAGGCGGGTAGATCACTTGAGGTCAGGAGTTCAAGACCAGCCTGGCCAAGATGTTGAAACCCCATCTCTACTAAAAATACAAAATCTTAGCTAGGAGTGGTGGTGCATGCCTGTAGTTCCAACTACTCAGGAGGCTGAGATGGGAGCATCGCTTGAACCCGGGAGGCAGAGGTTGCAGTGAGCCAAGATCACGCCACTGCACTCCAGCCTGGATGACAGAGAGAGACTCCGTCTCAATAGAAAAAAAAAAAAGTTCAGCTTATAAATCTTATTGTAAAAACCCAGCAAATATTAATGACTTCTAAGGGGTTTTGAATACCCCACTTAAAAACTTAAACTCCTTTAAACCCTTTCAAATATGTTTATACATTTAATATATTAAGTTACCTTTTGGGATTACTTCAATTGTCTGGCACAAAATACAAACAAAATAAAAGCAAACAAAATACTATTCTTTTTTCTTTCTTTTTCTTTTTCTTTTTTTTTTTTTTAATTTGAGACAGAGTTTTGCTCTTGTTGCCCAAGCTGGAGTGCAATGGTGCAATCTCAGCTCACTGCAACCTCCGCCTCCTGGGTTCAAGCGATTTTCCTGACTCAGCCTCCCAAGCAGCTGGGATTACAGGCACATGCCGCCACACTCGACTAATTTTTTGTATTTTTAGTAGAATCGGGGTTTCACCATGTTAGCCAGGCTGGTCTCGAACTCCTGACCTCAGGTGATCCGCCTGCCTCGGTCTCCTAAACTGTTGGGGTTGCAGGCATGAGCAACCATGCCTGGCCAAAATACTATTCTTAAAAGTTCTGATACTGTGTACTTATATGTTTCCAATACATAATATAAATTTCCAATACTGTATGTAAAATTGGTTGCAACTTAAAATTGCAAGTTTAAATTGATTACTCAAGTACATATTCTAAATTGCAATAACAATTACCTTCCCAAGCACTATCTGAGTTGCTTTATCAGTTTGCTGAGATTTCCTAATCCTAAAGTGAATCCTGGCCAGGATGCAGGTGAATTTAGCATCTGCAACCTAGACTGGAAAACTCTTTGATATCCTTTTCTTTCTAATATGTTCATTCTCTGTTTCTGCTCTCACACAGAGATCCCTCTTCTTACCTAACAGACTGCAAATCAGACACATTCTGATACATCTTTCCCTTCATACTTGACACAACCTTTATACCTGGGATCAGCAAACTTTCTGTAAAAGGCCAGATAGTAAGCATTTTGGGTTTTGTAGGCCATTTGTTTGCACCTATTCAACTCTACCACTGTGGCATGAAAGTAGCCATAGACATTTCATAAATCAATGAGTGGGGCTGTGTATAAAAGTTCCATTTTTGGACACTAAAATTTGAATTTTATATAATTTTCACATGTCACACAATATTGGTGATTTTTTTTCCAACTGTTTAAAAATGTAAAAACCATTCTTAGCTTGTGAACTACACAAACACAAGCGGTAGGCTGGTTTGGCTGGTGGGAGAGCTATAATTTTGCCAACCATTGCTCTAACCCAGTGTTTCATACCCAGTTAGCAGAGAAGTACCGACGTTAATTCTTCTTTTACGTTCTTTCAAAATTTACAAATTTCTCTAGAAATGTCCTGAATTCAGAAGTTATTTGGTGGGGAAGACTTTGTTCAGTATCCATAACCAAGGAACACTCTGGAGTAGTTTCTTGCAACCCCACTCGTCACTTTTTTTTTTTTTTTTTTTTTTGAGACAGGGTCTCACTCTTCCACCCAGGCTGGAATGCAGTGGCGTGATCAGGGTTACACTGCAGCCTTGACTTCCTGGGCTCAAGCAATCTTCCCACCTGAGCCCTCAAAGTAGCTGGGACTACAGGCGTGCAGCACCACACCCGGCTAATTTTTTAAATGAGTCTCACTAATGTTGTGTAGGCTGGTCTCAAACTCCTGAGCTCAACCAGCCCTCCCACCCTGGCCTCACAACATGCTGGGATTACAGGAGAAAGCCACTGTACCGGCCTCCACTTTCTTGTCGAACCCCCAGGTCTGTGTATTACTTTAGTTGTGACGTATTGTCAATGAAATACTTTTTTTGTATAGACATGTGAAATACTGTTTTTCTGTTGATTTTTATTCTCCTTTACTAATCCAAAAGGCTTCACCTTTATTTTTGGTCTAAGATGTCCCTAAATAGAGCACAATTGATTTTTAAAATTTTCTTGATCAAGCTGGTCTGACTTTTTTATCTTCAAATTCTCATTGAACAAAATTTTAACTTTGAAATAATCAAACTAACAAAAAAGTAGCAAGTATATTACAAATAATTTTTTTCCGGACCCATCTGAAAGTGAATTGTTGACTTGATAACCCATCACTTCTAATACTTTAGTGTTGATTTCCTACAAACAAGCATTCTCTATAACCACAGTTCAGCCATTAACATTTGGAAATTAACAGATATTACTATCGTCTCATCCTCCAAGCCCTTTCAAGTTTTACCAGCTGTCCCAATAAGGTCCTTTGTATCTTTATATAGCAAAATGAACAAGTTCAGGATAGCATTTAGTTGTTGTATTAGTCTCCTGCAGTTCTTCAGTCATTCTTTGACTTTGATACTTTAGAATATTATAGGCCAGTCCTTTTGTAAAGTGTCCTTCAATGTGGATTTGTCATAGAAGGGATGCTGGCCGGGCGCGGTGGCTCACGCCTGTAATCCCAGCACTTTGGGAGGCCGAGGCGGGCGGATCACGAGGTCAGGAGATCGAGACCATCCTGGCTAACACGGTGAAACCCCGTCTCTACTAAAAATACAAAAAATTAGCCGGGCGTGGTAGCGGGCGCCTGTAGTCCCAGCTACTCGGGAGGCTGAGGCAGGAGAATGGCGTGAACCCGGGAGGCGGAGCTTGCAGTGAGCCGAGATCGCGCCACTGCACTCCAGCCTGGGCGACAGAGCGAGACTCCGTCTCAAAAAAAAAAAAAAAAAAAAAAAAAAAAAAGAAGGGATGCTGTGTTCTTCTCAAGCAACTTATCTAGATTTGTCTAGATCTTGTGAAGATCTAGATTTGTCCCATTACTGAAGTTCGTTTCTTTCCATTGATTAAGGTGGTCTGCCAGCCAGACTTCACTACTGTGAAGCTACTCTTTTCCCCATTATTTTATTTAAGAAATACTTTATGGAAGGCTACTTTGAAAGTATACATAGGCCAGGCACAGTGGCTCACGCCTGTAATCCCAGCACTTTGGGAGGCTGAGGCAGGTGGATCACCTGAGGTCAGGAGCTCAAGACCAGCCTGGCCAACATGGTGAAAGCCCATCTCTACTAAAAATACAAAAATTAGCCAGGTGTGGTGGCGGAAACCTGTAATCCCAGCTACTCGGGAGGCTGAGGCACAGGAATCGCTTGAACCCGGGAGGCAGAGTTTGCAGTGAGCCAAGATCATGCCATTGCATTCCAGCCTGGGCGACAGAGTGAAGCTCCATCTCAAAAATAAATAAATAAATTAGAAAAAAAGTATATACATATACAATTCCTCATTAAACTTCTGTTTACTTACTCATTCATTTCTATTAGCAGAGTCATAGTTTTCTATTTTGTTCAATGGATTACAAATCATTACTATGCTGATGCTCAGGTTGTCTCAGATTTACCCCATGTAAATCCCTTACAGCTGGCTTATGTATCCTTTTTTAAGGCCTTCCTTGCTTTCTGGTTTATCTTGTACTTTTTTTTGCTCTGCCATGGAATCAGTCATCTCTCCAACGAGTCCTGGCTTCTTTCGGTGGAGAATGTAGTGCCTAGACCTCGAGGTCAGGTATGTGCACTGGGGGAAGAGGGGAACTGCTGCTCCAAGGCTTGCTTAGTAGAGAGAGCTAGGGAGTGTTTGTACACACACACACACGTACATTGACATCTGTATTTCTTTAACTAGGTTGATATTTATGACTTCACACTATCATCTCCTATTCAAACCCAACAGCAGAGTTCATTCTAGTGTTTTCCCTTTCCAATGTGTAACACCTTCCTCCAAAATGAGACAGCTGGCTTCCGCTACCCTTAATATTTTCACGTACAGTGATCAAATCCCTTATCCCTAACTAATCTGCCATTGCCATTCATCCCCTGCATAGATGCATTCCCCACGCCACTTGGGATCTGACTCCTTGTACCAAGCTACATCCCCAGTTCCCACAAGGATACCACCCACACTCACAGGCTGCAAATCCACATGAATCCCTAGCTTGCTCTGTCTTACCTAATGGCCAAATTGTGGGTAAAGGAAAAAGGGAAGGAATTTGGATCTTGTTGGAATTTTACGTAAACACCACAAAGGAAGAGATCATCTGATTTAAACTGATGTATCCCCAGTATCTAAAACAGACTTTGGCATATATGAGGTAATAGTTAGGTCCTTTTTGCCCTTCTACCTTCTGCTATATGAGGATGCATAAGAGGTACCATCTTGGAAGCAGGCAGCAGCCCTCTTCAGACACCAAATCTGCCAACGACTTGACCTTGGACTTCCCAGCCTCCAACTGTGAGAATATCAATTTCTGTTCTTTATAAATTACTCAGTCTCAGGATTTTGCTGGAGCAGCAGAAACTGACCAAGATAAATACTTTCTTACATCAGAAGACACTGGCCAGTAATCCCAGCACTTTGGGAGGCAGAGGCAGGAGGATCACTTGAGCCCAGGAGTTTGAGATCAGCCTAGATTTCATGGCGAAACCCCATCTCTACCAAAAATACAAACAATTAGCTGACACTGTGGTCCCAGCTACTTGGGAGGTTGAGGTGGGAGGATCACTTGAGCCCGGAAGGCAGAAGTTGCAGTGAGCTGAGATCAAGCCACTGCACTCCAACCTGGGTGACAGTGAGACCTTGTCTCAAAAAAATAAAGAGAAAAAAAAAAAAAAAAGACACTGAGACCACTTCAGAAATGGATACAGGTGTGGGAGGAGGCTGAAGCTTACATAACTTTGGGGGCATTCTTCAGAAATTAGGTCTTAGAAGGACTATGCAAATGAGGAACCCTGAGGCTTAAGCAGCAAGTCTGCTTCCTGAAGGAAGTTAGGAGTGAAAGTACCCAGGCCCGGTGCTTGGCACAGAGCAGGCATACAAAACTTCAGGTATTACTTTGAAGAATCCTGTATCCAGCCTCTATATATTAGGCCCTCAACAAATCTCTATTAAATGCTACTGACCTATAACTTGTCACACCCTAGAAAACAGGTTCTAATGAAGTTTTGCTGTTTAACAAAGAATGACACATACGGACTGCCAATAAGGTCTTATCATTTTAATCGATTTTAATGATTATTGCTCATCTGCAAGGATTAATATTGCATTCATTAAAAATCATTCAATACAAAATGAACTTGTTCTTCCCAAGTTGCTCTCCACATGCTCCCTCTGATGCCAGACTTTTTTTTTTTTTTAACAGTGTCCTTTGTTACATGGCTTGACAGAGACAGAGCCCTTACCTATTATTCCTATGGACACGGTAATAGATATGGGATCAAGGGGCAGGTCAGAGGGCAGGTGAATGTGGGTCCCTTCCCTCCAGCAGGGCTAACGTGATGGATACACTGTTGGCCAGGTTACCTCCCCTAACAGATGTGGTGTTCTGATTGGTTGGTTAAGTGCCCGAGGAAAATAGGCCTTAACTGTTAACATCTACAGAGAAGAAAGCATGGTCACACTGGCAAGGAGTAAGAAGGGATTGGGTAAAAGAAAATGGGAGAGAAAAGGGAAAAAAGTTTTGGCAAGACAATTGTTCCCTGCTAAGAAGCTGCAGGGTGAAAGCTTTCCTTTCTTCTATTTTTGTTTTTAATGTCTGTCTCTCTGATCAGTGGAAAAGTGAAAATTTCTAGTATCTAGCACTAACGTATGACCCAACTTTGAGGGATCACAAGCTAGAACAAGTTGAGGATTTAAAATCCTGGATAATTATATACTTAAAGCTCATGAGCATAAAGCTCACTTGACCATGCAGAAATGCTGGGAAGCAGGGTGCATGGCATGGGAATACATCTCCCTGATCTTTGAGAGAGCCTCTCTGGATATTCTTTCAGAGCATGAGCCAGGATGTACTGACTACTTTCTTCACACATCAGTTGCCCTTTATGATCTCAGTTCATAAACTCTTTGTGGTATGTAGCAATCAAAAGTCATATTACTTCTGTAAAACTAACATTATATAGGGTGTATAGTCCCAGACAAATTATATGAAGCTAGATTTTTCTTGCCCTGGCCCAATTTATCATTCCTCCTCCTGCCCACACCTACCTCCCTTTAAATATTTTAGGTTGCAGAAGCACAGCTGACCAGAAATTTGCTCTTAAAGATAAATCCTAAAGATAGAACTCAGTGCTTTATACTGAGTAATGGCTCAAGAAATTCGCCTTCAGCACAAGCTGTATGGTACACAGCTGATAGAATTTGCTGTTGTGGCTCCAGTTCACTGATGCTATGAACTACGGGCTAGAAACAGAGGGACTTAACAGGGCTTGAGACTAGCATTTCTCTAGACTCAGCATCCTTAGCTCCAAAGGTTCAAAAGAGAAATTGGTAACAACTAACCACTCAAGCAATTCCTCAGCATTAACACCAAAAATTCTCCTTAATTTTTCTTTTCTTTTTTTTTTTTTTTGGACAACAGAAATAAATCCTAGAGGACAAAATTAAACTCAATAGAGTGTAGTCTAGTTAAAAACTCGAAAAATGAGCAAGTCTGGTGGGAGTGGAGGAAGGGCTATACTATAAATCCAAGTGGGCCTCCTGATCTTAACAAGCCATGCTCATTATACACATCTCTGAACTGGACATACCACCTTTACGCAGGAAACAGGGCTTGGAACTTCTAAGGGAAATTAACATGCACCACCCACATCTAACCTACCTGCCGGGTAGGTACCATCCCTGCTTCTCTGAAGAAGTGAAAGAGCACTGATTTCAGCAGCTAAGAAATGGGCTCTTTTAAGGCGATTTAGACATTGCAGATTGTTCCACAGAGAAGGTACCTTAGCATTTCCTGTTAATAAGGTACCTAATTAAGACTAAAGTCCCCAGAAATGGTAAAGAAAGAATCACCTTTCTGGGCTGGGAGAGTAAAATCCTTCTTTAGTGACTAGAGTGAGGAACCCTGAACTTCTATTTCATCTAAAGAGCCATGAAGCAAGTTCCTGTGTGGTCTGCAGAACTTGGATAATGAGATGAAAAAACAAGAATGAAATTATAGGAAAAAAATCAAGAGGAAAGGAGTAAGAAGAAAATAAAAGTTATCTTAAAAAATATTTCTTTAGAGTGTGTGGTTCAGGTGGACTGGTCCTTGGTAGTATGGTCCATTAGTATCTGTAAAGAGAGAGAGTGATTGGTTAACACTTATGTCTTCCATATGAGAATTCCAAAAAACAATCGGAAACAGAGCACCTTCTCCAGGGCCCCTCCCCAGCCTGGGTGGGATCCCTGCAGTCATTCCCCAGGGCACCAGTCTCCCTTATTCTTCCACAGGGTCTCTGACAATGCCATTTCTGGTGTTACCGCCTGTTCCCAGGAATGAGTCAGTGTTTTTTCAACCCTGACTAAACATTACAATAATCTGGGGAGGTTTTACAAAATAATGTTTTGTAAATTTGGTCCCATCGCAGACCAAATATATCAGAATCTCTTAGGGTGAGGCCCAGGCTCCAAAATTTCAAAAAAACCCTAACTCCCTGATATCTCCCACAATTTCTCTATCTACCTTGTTAACTGGAACAGTTTTTTTGTTTGTTTGTTTGTTTTTAAGACAGAGTCTCACTCCATCACCCAGGCTGGAGTGCAGTGGCATGATCCCAGCTCACTGCAACCTCCGCCTCCCAGGTTCAAGTGATTCTCGTGCCTCAGCCACCTGAGTAACTGGGATGACAGGTGCCCGCCACCACACCCGGCTAAGAGATAGGGTTTCGCCATGTTGGCCAGGCTGGTCTTGAACTCCTGACCTCAAGTGATCCATCCGCCTAGGCCTCTCAAAGTGCTGGGATTACAGGCGTGAGCCACCGTGCCTGGCCTGGAACAGATTTCTTGTATTCTTCAAAATCAGGTACAACATTTGATCTTTATGTCAGAAGCAGGCTAGCCTGCTTGGTTTAATACTGGGAAAAAGAGCTTTTCACTTGCTTCTCCCCAGGTTACCTGTAATAATTAGGTTTGAATGGCCCATTTTTGTTGAGTCCCAGATATTTTGCTTGGTCATCTGTCAGCTCTGTAAGGTGGGCATCAAATGATGGCAGATGCAAGCTGGCAACGTATTCATCTAGGAAGAGCAAAGTGGCAGGAGAGCAGACTCCTTTTCAAAATGTCTCTCAAGTTATAACTTCCCATTTTCATTTGAAGCTTTTTTAAGAAAGCAGACAAGGGATGGAATAACTCTGAAAGAATCCACAACTTGAAATATTTGCTTAATTAAAAAAAAAACCTCAAAGCTGCCTTTCTGGGCAGGATGCTTCTCTCAGCACATGTACAGTGCGTTCAGAAAAGCCACTTACCAGGGTAACAAAAGGGAGTGGGCTTTTACCTCTCTATCCTTCTCTGGCAAAGCAGGGGGCTTCCCTGCAGTGGCCCACATGTCACATGCTACTCCTACCTTCCTGCAGCAACCTCCTTAACTAGATTATAGTCAAATTAGCAATCAAAGTGGACACCAGTAAGCTAGAAAGACCCTGTGTCAATAACACTCATTTAGGATAAGATCCATGGATCTTAGGATCATGAATTTCTAAGGTAGTCGGCACAGAATTTTTACTTTTCCATAGATAAGCTTCCCTTTTATAATTATACACTGAAAAAAAAGTCTGAAGTAAGCTATTGGAGGAGAGGAGAGCAAGAAGTATTTTAGCATTAAGAAGTCAGGGATTTGGGCTAGCCAAGGAGATATGGGAGATGGGTACACCGTGCAGAAAGGCAAAGGACTAGAGATGATGTATTATGTCACATGAACACAGCATGGGTTGCTTACAAGAGATTGGATGGTTTGCATATCCTCACAGAAAATGGACAATAAAACCTGTGTTTGTTTCTCTCATTTTGTTCCAAGGCTGTATGTACTCAGCTGCACTGGGAAGTTTACTGAACTTCATAAGGCTACTTAGAGTAAGAACATCTCCCTAAACCATTGTGTTAAGCACTGTTACTCATTAGCTGTGATTCTCACACAATTCTACAATGTATGTAGTATTATTTTCATTTTACCAATCAAGAAACTGAGGATCATAGAGATTAGAACTTGTCCTGAGGTCAAACAACCAGTAAGCACAGGAACAGGAATTGGAACTCTGACTCTAAATCCAATGCCTTTCATGGCAGTCATTTTACCAAACTATGCAGCTGTCTGCATAGATTTCCACTGTTTTTCACTCACCCATTTTCTTAGGAAGCAAGTACACATCCTGCTTGTATCGCCCCTCGGGTGCATTATAGAGTTCTATCAGTGCCAAAGCCTAAGGTGGGAAAAGAAGGCCAGAAAGCACAAAAATATTTCTTAGACAGGCACATAAAAATAAAACCAGGTTAAACAGCATTTGGGTAAGTACTACAGTGATCTACCACAGTCACAGTACCTAGGACTTTGCCTATACTAAAGGGCAGCACACATCCTAAGAGGATTTGTTGTTTTTGTTTAGTTCCTAACGAAAGAACAAATCAAATAAAACTAAGCTGGAACATTATATTCTCAACTAAAACAGCCAATTCAACGAATACTGACTTAGTGACTCTTTTCTATACTTAAGAATACCTGTTTCCACAATTTATTACATCAAAAAAGAATAGGATGATGAGAACATAGTACAGTACACCCTCACTGGAACTGATCTACGCCCAGTTCCACAAATTGCAGTGCAGTGTAAGCAGGCATTTTGCCACATACCTGTGTTGTGGCTGTGATGGACAGAACAAAGGTGGGAACTGTGGAGCAGCTCAAATTGAGTAGACGACCCTGGAAAGGTAAGAGAGAGCCCTGGGATGAGCTCTGTCTCAGATTCCAATGGCATACAAGTCAAGCCAAAGCGGGAGAGGACTTTACACCCCTCTAGACTCAGTTGGAAGAGGAAGAATTACAGTTCCAGATCAGGACTCTAGGCTTTTTCCTATTTTCTGCAAATCCATCTGAGTCTGAAAGGTTAAAGAATCAGCTGTGGTTAGGAAATAGTGTTACTTAGTAAAAAGTAGATTTTTTTAAAGTGGTTTTATTTTGGGGACCAATTTGTGAAATATCTCTCTCTCCAAAGATAAAATTCAGGGAAACATAGGCCTAATATTTGTTTCCCTCCCCTCCCCCCTCATAGATCTAACTACTCTGCTTGTGCTGCTCTGCCAGGGTCCTTCTCTGTGTGTACCTCTGCCAGGAGGACAACTCGTTTGCCATCTGGCCAGATGACATGGTCCACCTGAGAACGTACTCGCTCCCACGTCAGCTCCGGAGTGCGGAGGCTGGTCTGAAAGGAAGAAAGCACAGTTGACTATGGTTATTAATGAAAGGTAGTAGAGAAATGCCTAGCAACAAATGAGAGAAGCCTTACCACATCGATTTCTGTGTTGGAGTGGCCCATATTGCATACGATACAACTGTTTTTCATGCGATCCAAGTGCTCCCGTGTCACTACATTCTTATTTCCTAAAAGAAAAGATGGGTGGTTAAGGAAAGAGATGCCGGGCAACAAAGGTACTGGCTGGCTTTCAGGTAGAACATAGGAGACCAGAGGCTTGCTGGCATTAAAGAACATGTAGACATTCTGAGAGAAGACATGCATAACCGCTCCTTAGGCTATCTGGTCTTCAGATCAAGCAGTATAAAAAGTCACCAGGGAAAAAAGTTTTTTACTCTGGAAAACATGTTAAGGTTCTGATAGCTTATTCTAGTTCTGAGACCTTTATACTGAACAGAGGTCTCACCTCCTTTGTATGAAAGTCACTCAGACTACTTTCAAGATTTAGCCTCTGAATAAACACTTCTCTATGCAAGTTATTTACCTGTGCAAGTTATTACGACATCGACTTGCCGGATGACTTCATTTAGCTTTACCACCCTGAACCCATCCATGCTGGAAGAAAAGAAAGGAACACTATGAGTAAAGCAAGAAGGCAGTGGGAGGGAAGATGGTCATGAAATGAGACAAGATCCCCTTCTAGTTGGATCCAGTGCCACCTCACAGGAATGGTGAGTGATAAGCTCTGCTAAACTATATACACTGGCCTCTTCAGAGTCCCCAAGACTCCCTCTAGGAAGGAAAAATGCCAAGAGGCTCTCAGAGAGCCCTAGGGTTAGAGTGAGAAGAACAGAGCAGTCCTAGCCTTCTCTTCCCCTAGGTGATTTCTGCAAAAATGATTAATATACTCAATTATGAACTCTCAATAACATAAAGCACCTAGAGTGAATCTAATAGTATTATCACTCTGTTCTTACCAGGCCTGCAGAGCACAGATGGGGTCGATTTCGGTAATGTAGACAATTGCTCCAAGAGCTTTGAGAGCAGCACAGCAGCCCTTGCCTACCTGCAGAACAAAAGAAAGGTCAAGTCGTTAGGTTCATTAAGTCATGGATATTTAGGGTAGGTAGGTTATTTGTGAGACAGGAATTAACCTTCATGAAATAGCCTGTCATCTGGTGAGCAGCTGCACAGACGCTCCAATCCCAAGCAGAACAGAAACAGACCCAGATTACGTTGTGAACCTCAGTTAGAGAGGTAATTTAGCAGACATGTCATAGGAAGGACTGGGGCTTTGCATAGCAGTTTTCATCAGGGAAACAAGACTAAGCAAAAGCAACTTACTCTAAGCAACCTCTAATTTCCTATTCTCTTACTTGAGAAGAATCTACTCAAGGATACCCTCGTAGCTCAGGAACTTCTTTGGGTCATTGCTGAAGACAACAAAATATGTGACCTATTCCAGTTTGGAGATATTCAACTATATGCCATTTCAGATTCCACCCTTAATTCTACTGCAAGTCACTTGTGGGGCTAAAATGCTATATATTCACTTGAATTAAGTCTCATTAAAGGTTATTGTTATAATTGGGGAAGATGATACTAGTATCTATTCCACAAGGCAAAATGGTAAAATCTGAAAACTCAATTCATTTTGTATGTTTCTATTCATAAATCTGAATAAAAGGCTTTTGCTATTGTTTGAGATACATTATCTAAAAAAATTTAAACCTTGTATCAGTGACTCTAGATTGACAGCACAAGCCTCCTTTACCCAATATTTCTAATAAGTACACAAAAAGAAAGAGACACTGAGACCCAGCTATTTACCTCACCATAGCCACACACCACCACTTGTTTCCCACCAAACATCACATCTGTGGTCCTCTTCAGGCTGTGGAAACAGACAAGGGCTCAACTCAAACGTTAATAGCTCAAACTCAGTCCCTCTTCACAAAGTTAAAAGTGTGGGCCAATGCCCATGAGAATATCAATTGGAAGCTGGTTGAGCTCAGTATGAAATGGTCCCTCTAATAAACTTTTAAAGCCAAAGGAAGACCAGAGCCCCTAGAAGTTTGAATATATATACATTCAACCTACCCATCCAAAATGGATTCTCGGCAGCAGTACAAGTTATCAAACTTCTGTTTGGTAACAGAATCATTGACGTTCATGGCCGGAACACAGAGCTTCCCAGCTTTGGAGAGCTGATACAGCCTAAAGAGAGAAGAGGTCACAAAAACAAACAAAAACCAAGTTAGCTGGCACAACATAATTTGTGGCAAAATCTGCCTAATTCTCTTCAAGTTCCATGCTGCCCTTCCCAGTCTCATTTATTGCCCAAGGATATTAGAAAACATGATTATTTCCTTGTCATCCCTCCACACTTCTTTTCATTTTCTTCTCCCTTTACCCCTTTTTTGGAAGAAAAAAAAAAGCCTTTCAATTGAAGAAATGTACTTCTCTTCCCTTTATAGGGAGTGTTATTTCCTTTGATCAGCATTTTTCAATAGAAACCCATGCCTACTTCTGATAAACAAAGACTATCAATGATTCTGATATGGTTCCGTGTGTGTGTGAGTAAGCATGCGCAATGTGCCCCCAAGAAACACTCTTTCAGATATCTTTTCAGTATTCCAACAAGCCAAGAATATTTTGCCCAGTTTTACTTTTTGTAGTGTGTATAACATGTAGTTTTACAATAGGATTGTTTTTCATATTTCAAATATAAAATGATAATACAATATTGAATACAGTTTTTCAAGATACATTTATTCCCTACCCGCCCCTCAACACTAGTTGAGAATCACTCAATGGAGTAAATGGGAGAGAAAAATGTATGAACTAGAACCTGAAATAACTTCCTTCTAGGATCAACTTGATTTTTCAAAAGTAAAAACTCAAAATTTTATCTAATGAAGATATTCCCATTTAGTTATAAGTCTGAAACACAGTCCTAAAGCCTAACAGAGACCAGGAGAGTTTGCTGAGGCAAGGACACAAGGGGCAGCTACTCCAGAATCTGTTACCTGTGAACACCAGTCACGCTCTCTTCCACAATGCCTCGGATCTTCTTAAACACGTTTGGATACTTCTTATAAACCCAGTGGGTTAAGTCTCCCCCATCATCCAGGATCTATAGAACAGCCAGAAGACTTCTATGGGCATTCAGGCTGCTAGGGCTGGGGGGAACTTTGAACCCACTTTCTGTACTAGTAAGAGAGCCCTGTATGTTTTGGAAGAGTACTCCTCAGAGCTCCCTAGAGCAGGCTTAGAGAGTGGAAATACAGTCAAATTTGTTGGTGTAAAATGGTTAAAAGGATTCCTAGGTTTGCTTTAGGCTACAGTGATGAGTATTAAGCTAATCACAGACTCATTTTTAGTCTAGAGTCTTGAAATATATAGCCCCTTTGAATGCAAAAGGAGAACTGGGGCAGGAAGGAAAGAAAGCAGAATCCTACTCCAAAGAAGCACCACTATTTTGTTCTGGTGTGTTTGAGCCATGTGTTCAGCTAGTCTTACCCTTCCCCCACCTTTCCATTCAGTACTCAGACCCATTCTGAATAGGTATCAAGCTAAACACTTTAGCAACAAAGTCAGTGCATAAGACCAAACATCCAAAACATATTTAGGGAACCATGCTTTGAGGGAAAAAAAGGAAATAAATCTATTGTCAAAGTGTAGGATGTATATGCATTATTACCATGTTGGCCTGCCACCCATCCATGTTCACACAGCGGTCAATACACCACCAGAAGTCATCTTCTGACTCGCCCTTCCAAGCGAACACTGCAACTCCTGTAGAGACAGAAATGAATCAGCTGATTCCTCCTTTGAGGAGTGTCCTGTACCAAATCACTTTCTGAGATCCATGTGAAGAGAAAAAGGCAAAAGAAACAATTTCAGAAGGGAAAAAATTCAGAGCCAAAAGTCAAAGAATCACTTTTGGTTCAGAAATTAATTAGGTTAAGAAATTAAGGAATTTTTGCTTTAAAAGTAGTTTGGAACCTTAAAGTGTTCCTTTCTCTGGACTAATTTTATACTTAGAAGGAGATAAAATGAAGTGGGAATTAATAAAAGTTGTTAACTGGAGCATTATTGATATTAGTAAACATCTTGAAACAACCTAAATGTTCTCCATTAGGAAAATAGTGAGGTGAAATCACATAGCCATATGAATGACTATTACAAATGATGCTGTCAAAGTTTTCAGTGACATGGAAAACTACGTCTGAAAATATTGTATTTAGGTTATAAAACTGTATACATATTAGAATTTATGTAAAGTAGAAGAAAGGAAAAGGAAAAACATTAATCAAATACTCTATGTAGTGGGATTGTAGGGTTTTGGGGAACTTCCTAAATTTTTTGCAGTGAACACTTATCAGAAAAGAATAAACAAAAAAACCCAAAAGTATTATAAAGTTGCTTTCTGAGGATCTTAAAAAGATGAGAGGTCCGGCTGGGTGTGGTGTCTCACGCCTGTAATCCCAGCACTTTGGGAGGCCAAGGCAGGCAGATCACTTGAGGTCAGGAGTTCGAGACCAGCCTGGCCAACATGGTGAAACCCCATCTCTACTAAAAATACAAAAATTAGCTGGGTGTGGTGGCATGCCACTGCAATCCCAGCTACTCAGGAGGCTGAGGCATGAGAATCACTTGAACCCAGGAGGCAGGGGTTGCAGTGAGCCGAGACTGCGCCATTGCACTCCAGCCTGGGCAACAGAGTAAGACTCCATCTTAAGAAAAAAAAAAAAAGAAAGAAAGATGAGAGGTCCTCAAAGAAACTTCACGGTGATTTTCTTCTGAATATTTGAATAATAAAAATTATTATTATTGTTATTAATTTTTGAGATGGAGTTTCACTCTGTCGCCCAGGCTGCAGTGCAGTGGCATGATCTCGGCTCACTGCAGCCTCTGCCTCCCAGGTTCAAGTGGTTCTCCTACCTCAGCCTCCTGAGTAGCTGAGATTACAGGCGCACACCACCACTCCCGGCTAACTTTTGTATTTTTAGTAGAGGTGGGGTTTCACCATGTTGGCCAGACCGTTCTTGAACTCTTGGCCTCAAGTGATCTGCCCGCCTCGGCCTCCCAAAGTGCTGGGATTATAGGCGTGGGCCACCAGGCCTGGCCTGAATAATAAAAAATTATTTTACGTTTAATTAAACTCACAAATAGCTCATATATTTTCAATGCCATACTGAATACCAAATTATTTAATGCACTATCAATATGAAAGGTACTTCTTACTTGTGCTCTCTCACAAAATTGATGGCACTTATATAGTTTAACATTCTTCCTCGTTCAACTAACACTAGAACTGGGCATGACCCCATGCCATTAGATTATTTTCAAAGGCCATTTTTAATGACTACATAATATTCCACCATGGATATCCATCTTAATTTTATTATCCACTTTCTTCCTGTTGAGGTTTTTATCATGCACAATTTTATAGCCTCTAGACATATATGATATTGTAATGACAATTTTGATACAAAAAAGTTATATGTTTGGATAACTATTTTGGGGCAAAGTTGGTGGGAAAAAACCGAACTTACCAGCCTCAGCCAGTGCTGCAGCTACTTCATTCTGAGTTGAGTAGATGTTACAAGCAGACCAGCGGCACTGAGCCCCCAGGGCACAGAGTGTCTCAATCAACACCTGTGTAGAAGTGTAGGAAGACAGGGTGAGGAAGAGAAGGGCCACCCAGGAATGGAGAGCAAGCCTCATCAAGATAGCAATACCTATCAACTCTGCACCAACAGGTGCTACACTGGAAAGTTACAAAAGGGTGTACTCCAGCGAGGTGGTGCACTGGTATTTAACTTTGCATAAAACATAGGTTTCTAAAAGTCTTTATAACATTTTATAACAATCATATGTTTGCAAATCTAGACTTTCCTAGGTCAAGTTTGCTGAAAGTGGGTTTACATATTAAAAAAAAACCCAGAAAACCCCATTATTGTGTAACAGGGAGATCCTATTAATAGTTAGCATTTGGAGGTTGGCGAGTTAGGAAAGGAAAAGTGAAAAAAAAAAAATTGATTTCTTTCTTCCCCTTATCAGAAGTCCCTCTTTTCTTCCAACAAACTCACCGCTGTCTGGGCTGTGATGTGTGTACAGCCCACTATTTTAGCACCAGCCAAGGGCTTCTCCCCCTGAGCACGTTTCCTGAGTGAAATCAGAGCAGACATGTCTGTGAAAGAACAGAGGATTTGAGCTAGGTCTGCACTAGCAGTATCATCAGTTCCTGCCCCAGGGCTGGTCTGGATCTGTTGAGATATGGTGAGATGAGGCAGAAAAACTTTAAGCCTATTTCCATGACGACTGGCAGCTTCAACGGCACAGTAATAGTGGAGAGCAGTCATGCAACCACTTGGAGTTTCTCTCTTCCTCTACTGCTTCAGCTTTATACACAGAGGACTGAACAGAGAATGAAGTAAATCCTTAAAACTGATCAAAATGAAGGGTGAGTCTCATCATTCATTTGGGAAGAGAGGAAAATAGTTAAGGCATTGGCTAATAGATTCCTATATATAATCATCAGACCAGAAAGACTGTACCCTCAGCCGAAACCACTAACTTCTGTTTTTCTATGCTGTCTTACCATGTCCTGTCAGTCTGTTTGGTTTCTCTATTCTCTCTCAGTATAGAACATGCCTTCAATGTGTAAACAACACAAGAGTAAAGAGGACCTTACTGGGAGTGGCTGGGGTAGAGAAACCAAGATTTAACTGTCAGTCACTTTTACTCTGCTCCAGCAGAGGGTGCTCAGGACCAAACAAGACTCTAGGTCACCACATCCTTACCTTAAAACCCTTCCTCATCAGCTGCTTCTGGGCAATCTGGGTCTCTGCCATTGGCAGCTATAGTAAGATCCCATATAACCAACTACCACGTAGTGATCTAGGACTTGTCAATTCTGCCATGTAGATCTTTGAATACAGTGGTGGGGTGGGGCAAGGAGGAAAACAGAAACTACTCTGTGTGTAATCACCACATGCTGAGAACAGAAGGAAGAGAGAACAAAATCCCAAGACTTAAGTTCCATAGAGAGAGAAGTGTTTATCCGAAAGTCCATAATACTGTCTTTCTTCCCAGTACACTTTCAAGTCAGCTTTCAAGTCTTAAGTTGTTTGTGGATTCTGATGGCCAACAAGAGGGTTGTTTCTGGTCCCCTAACCCACTCCCTTTCTTTACCTTGCTCTGCAATCTCAATCTCCCGGCGTCCAAATTCTGCCTGCTTGATGTTCTTCACACAGAAATTGCTGCTGCCCTTGGAGTTGGTTTGCTGCTTCTCTCGGGGAGAAACCTCATCATCAGAGCTATCTGTGTAGGATGCAGCTAGAGCCAGGAAAGAAAAAAACAAGGATAGAAAAACCTCAGTGGTCCCCAACTCTACAGAGTGCAGTCCCCAAGGGACTTTCATTTAAGTTAAGGGAACACCCTTAATTGGAGCTACCTTTTACAACGCTCTCAGTTCTGCTCCTCTAGGTTCTAATAGGTGGTATGAATGAAACTGTTGTGGGTACTTCCATGTTGCAGCTCTTTCACCCACCCTAACAATACTGTGCTATTAGTGCCTATGACAAGGGACCACTGATTATAAACCTGCAGCTATAGTAATCCCAGATAATAGAGGTACTTGGTCCCATCTGGATTGGAACCAGACCTGGCAAAAACAGAAGAATAATTTAGGGCAGATAAGGAATGCTATTTCTATAGATCACTGGTTCTCAAATTCAAGCATCTATCAGGATCACATGGAAGGTTTGTTAAAACATATATTGCTAGACCCTGTGGCCAGTTTCCCATCTGGCAGGTATGGAGTGGCACCTAAGCATTAGTAGTTCCAACAAGTTACCAGGTGTTGCTGATGCTGCTAGTCAGAGGATCACACTTTGAGAACCATGGATATAGACAAAAGTGATAAGATAGTCTTACAAGGGATTTTACACTAAGTTGTGCTCAAGGAATAGAGAAAGAAAGAAATGGCACAAAAGGCAAACAGCTCTGGTTCTACTGATAGCCCTGGGAAAGTCTGTCAAAATGATCAACTTTAAAAAGTGGTTTCACATAAAAGCTAAAAATACCACTTATCTGACAGATATGCAAGAGGATATACAACAATCATTCCTTACCTCTCAAATCACTTCTTTCCTCTCTGAATTGAGTACTTTCCTCATCACGGTTTCTGCTAGTATACCTGGACTCTCTCACTGACTGACTTCTATGTACAGGTCCTCCTCCTGTCCAGCTAACACAAATACTACTAAAGATTATCTTCCCCACTATGACATTTTAACCATATCACTAAGCTTTTTAAAAGGCTCTAATACATTTCTGTAACATGGCCGTCAAGATCTTTGAAGACTTTTTAAAAGCCTTCTTCAGTCGTTTTATCGTTCTTCCTCTCATAACTCAATTTTTCACAATTAATTTTTCTTCTTTCTTGGCTACAGTTAGCCTGCTTGTCACACACCACTTTTTATCTGTCACTCCAGGATCATATATAACAGCTTTTCATTTATGTTAATCCTTAATGTTGATAATACAATGCAAAAGGTATTCTGGCAAAGGACAATGAATGGCTTTTGGTACAAATATCTCTGCTGACATTAATAGCAATCTGTAACCTCTTAATCTTTTAACAATGAGTCTTCAGTTAAACAATGACAAGGTTGTATTGGATGCCCCATTAGATGTCCCTAATGTTTTCTCCTGTATTCATCTGCCAAGATTCTATATTCTTTTCCATGCTAATTTTCTAATACATGCTCTATAGTTGGGAAAGACACAATACAAAACAGAAAAAGACTTTATTTACAGAGAGTTAAGACAGGAGGAGAGAACTAAAAAGAAACAGAGCTGGAGTTACATTACAGTAGTCTGAATCTTTCCTGCTCCAGAGTCTAACAGGGGAGGATATTCCAACAGAAAGAATAACCTAATAAATAAGAGAAGCCAAAATACTAATTTTATTGTTACAATCTAAGCAGTCTTGGAGACAAGAAAGAAAGAGATAGGTGACAGGGTATATTTTACACAAAGAAATCGTGCTTCAAAATGCACTTCTTTTTTAAGTCCAATTCTGTCAGCCAAAATAGCATTGATTTCTTCCTTTTGAAATGGGCGGATCAATGTGGGAATGGGAACTAGCCCAGTCCTACCAACTGGGCACTGGCCACAGACCACACACACAGACAGCCAGGGGGAAGAAAGTCTCGAGTCGACAAAAGCTTCCCCAGCTACTAGCTTGGCTGCAGAACATTCCCACTGCCCAGCCACTAACAGTTTTCAGCACAAAGGTGGGCAGTCATAACATGAGGTATTTTCAGATTGCTAAGTGAAGAGCACTGGTAGCAAACAGGGAAGAGAGATTAGAGAGGACATGGAGTTCATTCACACCTACCTGAACTGTAGCTGTCAGTGGAGGACTGTGAGATCGAGCGAGACAAAGATCTTCGGCCAGTTTTGGTGGGGAATTTGGTGAACTCCTGCATGTCATCAGCAAACTGGATTTGCTATACAAAAGGAAGACAAAAAGTTGAAAACTTATAAGGAAAATCCATGAAATGTTTTTTTTTTTAAGGATACATTGTCTTTCCCTAAAAGCCATGTAATCACATGGTTCCTACTAAGCCAGCAACTTTCCCACCAGAAATGGGGGAAGGCCGAGGCTACTCTCTGACTTCTCCCAACACGTCAATCACTGTCTCTTCCCAATTGTTTCTGCAGGATTTGGGAGGAGGGGCTAAGGTTAAGAACCAATTTCGTTTAGTATATGTTCAATTTTATAAATCTTTCTCACATTCCATCAAGTTTTTTTCCCCTCTTATAACCCTGACAGATTAAACTCTTTACCCTTCTTCCCAAATCTTTCAGAAAACAGAATCTCATAGTGCTACTGGGGTTTTTTGGTTTTTGTTTCAGAATATTCCCTTGTAGCACATTCCTAAAGTTGGCAAATGGTCTTGCTTTCTGAAAGAATTATGAAGAGATGCCTAGAAATGGTGATGGGCATTAGGGTGCCAATACTCAGAGCCCAACCATATGTCTATACTTCACAAAGCCAATGTAATATCTCTAGAACCTCCTATCCTATTAAAAATTTAAAATACCAGAATATAATGATAAAAAGAAAATTAAAAACCCACATACACTATAGTAAATTCTAACTCATTAGGACTAATCTGAAGGAAGGAGAAAATAATGACTTGGTAAACTTTGTATTAAAAACTTCCTTAAATGGGCCAGGTACAGTGGCTCACGCCTGTAATCCCAACACTTTGGGTAGATCACGAGGTCAGGAGATGGAGACCAGCCTGGCCAAGACGGTGAAGCCCCGTCTCTACTAAAAATACAAAAATTAGCTGGGCTTGGTGGCGGGTGCCTGTAGTCCCAGCTACT
This sequence comes from Homo sapiens, assembly GCF_000001405.40. NCBI lineage: Eukaryota > Metazoa > Chordata > Mammalia > Primates > Hominidae > Homo > Homo sapiens. The sequence goes on along the minus strand of NC_000001.11, from coordinate 110,008,147 downwards.
TGGGAGCCTGAGGCAGGGAATTGCTTGAACCCGGGAGGTGGTGGTTGCAGTGAGCCGAGATCGTGCCACTGCACTCCAGCCTGGGTGACAGAGTGAGACTCTGTCTCAAAAAAAAAAAAAAAAAACCCAAAAAAAAAACTTCCTTAAATGAAATAAGCCAGAACTAGATAATTCTTTGAAGAATAAAACTGGCTCTAATCAATAGCAAATAGCTTGCAATTGATATTATTTATAGATTTATAAAGTGTGTAACACTTTTATTACATGGTTTAAACCTTCCTCCCGAACTCCTGTTTAAACTCTGATAAACCCTTTCTTCAAAATAAAATAAACTTCACCCCTGAAATAAGCAGGATGGTTTGAGTATGTGAACTGAGATTCTGTTCACGATCTGACTAAATCTGAAAAGGTTCCCTTGGAGAATCCATTAAGCTAAGTCTTTAGCAAATACTCTGGAAATGTAAATGACTACAGATTAAAATCTTCTCTGTATAATACTGGCAACATGGTTACAGCCACTTTAAAGCCAGGAACAGTAAACTACCCATTAGTTACAGCTGCAAAAGCTTCTCCTCCTCTTTCACATGTACCCTTCAGCTAGGGGAGCACCAGATTGCAGTGCAGCAATCAGGTTTAAGCGGGCAGCCTAGGCACAAGCAGCTAATATAAACAAATTGGAAACTGATTTCTACAGTCAGTAAAGCTAGTTTTGCTGAAGAAATTAATCCAGGACCAAGGTAATGACTTCCAACTCAATATGCTGTTATTTTGATGATGGAAAAAAATACACAGTCAAGAGACCATCAACCCCTCTTAACACTCTCCAGAGGCAGCCCTTCCTCCACCAGCCTCCCTGCTGCTGGCATATGCAGCCTATTCTATTTGGAAGCTACTCTCCCCTCTGCTATGATTCCTTCCCCTGTTCGCCTTTTTTCAAAGGGTTCTGGGCATGTTCCCAGATACCAGGTACATGGAGGGTGAGGGTGGGGGAGGGAACTGCAATAACACTTGCAGTTTTTCATATAGAAAGGTGGCTGTGGCAAGAGAGAAATGTGTTTCTTCAGCAACTTAAAAACCGAATAGTCATAATTTCCCCTTATATTAATAAAGCTCATCAGTAGCCTAAACCTAAGCAAAATCTTTCCCATCTAAAAATACTGGACTGTGTTGCAAGCAGCTTAGCAGCTTACTAACCAGTGCAGTGCCCCTACCTCCCCATCTCTCAAATAATGAATATGGTCCATATTTGAAGTGGGTAGAATGTAGTTAACCCAAGCCATGGCAAGGATGAATGGACTGTGTATTCTTGCAGCTGTTTGACATTCTCACCACTTATAAGGTGTCCCAGCAATACAAAGATGCATGAAAACCTGGTCTTTTCTTCCACCCCAAATTACAGCCTGAAGAGAATGTGTGTTACAACTGATGCTGTGGAATACATCTGCTCTGCCAGTTTCCTCCAGACCTGCTAGCTCCACTGATTATCTTCACAGCTAGTAGCTCTGTTTTCTCTTGGTGAAGTATCTCCTGGAGCATTGTTCACCCTCACGTTGAAAATATAAACACTGCTGCCAAAAGCAACTTTTGGATATCACAAGTTTTCTCTCCAGATCTCAACAACAGCCTTCTGATTGGGTTGGACTCACTCATTTAAGGCAAATATGATAATCTGGGTAAGACGAAAAGGAAGACTACAAAGTTGTTCTGTTTCTATTAATTCCTATCATCATAATTTCTTCCAAACATTAAGTCTTAATTACTGTGCTTTCACCTTTCTTCAAATCTACATCTACAAGGAATACTACACCTAAGTAAAAAGTAGGATTGGGAAGAGAAGGAATGGAAAGGAAATAAAGTGGCTGAAATGCAGAAAGTATCTTTAAGTAAAAAGTCTTATGTTAAAGAATGATGTTATGCTTGAGTAACTCACCACCCCATAAACAGCCTTACCCACAACTGAACAAGCATACCAGTGTTCCATTCTTACACTAAGAGCATATTTATGAAAGGCTAGAAGGTCAGATTGACCCATTCTTCAAATAGCACACCCAAATACAGAAGTCTACTTGCTGTGTCTTAAAAACCCAATTAAATATCAGGCCAGTTTAACATGCTATTTAAAGCACCTCTTCAAATAGCTTAGCAGGTACAATGGTTGACTTTCTTCCATGTGATACTGAGAATGGTAAAGAAAAGCTCTACCAAACGAATAATTTGGGGTATATGCACTACCTAGTGGGAAGTCTGCTGACAAAGTGAGCTGAAAGAATTGTGCAGACCTTACCAAGAGAAGGGGATCAGAGACAATCCAAAAAAGTTACATACCTCAAGAGAAGAAAAATTGTATGCTATTCCTTTAGTTGATCCTAATTGATTTTTTTTTTTTTTACCATTAGAAGCTGAGTTTACTTTCATAAACACACATCCTATATTCTCAGATGTTAAATAGCCCAGCTACACTCCTTCCCAGGGCCCACCCAATTTTGCCTGCTATCTCCTGAATGAGAAAGAATTAACAGCCACCAGAATTCCACTACAACATTTTAGCCAAGAAATGGTGATCAGGATAATATCTGTGATGCATTATATTCTTTAGTCATCACATTTGCTAGGCACCAACTAAGTATCCAGTGCTACTCCAGGAAAGTTCTATGCAAGGAAACACGGTCCCTTAAAATCTGTAGACATGTTTTGACCCACAGTATAGTAATGTAAGTGGCTTTGGCATGGAATTTCACTGCTCCATGAGGAACATGCCAGATATTATAGTCTTCACAGCCTTATCTGGATATTGTTTAACTTAGGTTTAACTTAGACATCTTGTCAAATTCGTTATTTCAAATACCAATCTAACAGCTTTTAATTTCCTCAAAAAGGTTTCTTCCTAAGTGTCAAGAACTAGATTCAAAGATAAACAACAATTACTAGGAAAACAAATCATTAAGAAAGTGTAATGTAGAAGTGAGCAGAGCAGTCTTTCTTACTGCAGAGAATTATTTGAAGGGCTAGGATCCCTCTTTTGGTACACTACTGATTCTCTGGGACATTCCTAAATTTATATATTCTGTCCCATTGTCTGTCCTAGCATATTGTGTGCAGAGATTTTTCTGTTTAGAAATTATGGTCAGCATATTTCTTAGCAACTGAGCAAAAAAAAAGTAACAATAAAAAACTAGATATTTTAACAAGATCATCATTACTAAGCATAGTGTGTCAGAACACTTTTCAAGATTCCTACATCTTTTCTAATCCCTTTTTCACACATATTTTCTGGTTAATTTATTTTTTCTTCTACAGATTCTACCCTCACCCACTCCTTTTTCAGAGGAAAGGAAGAGAATATGGCAGACAGCCAAAACAGGTGTAACACCTTTACTTCCTTACGTTCTCTCTCTTTTTAAAGAGACAGGGTCTCACTATGTTTGCCAGGCTGGCTGCAAACTGCTGGGCTCAAACAATCTTCCCACCTCCTGAGTAGCTAGGACTATAGGCCCACACCACCATGCCCAGTTTTTCTTGATATTTACCAGTCTGATTCCCACTTCAGATGAACCCAAAGAAACAGTTATCAATAAACACCCACTCCTTGGTACAAGAAATACACAAGTCTGAATACCTTTCACTTCAAGTAAAAAAAAAAGTGTTTCCCAAAGAAAGGAATTCCCTTCCCAACACAATGCTCCCAGACACACCCACCAGAAAACAACTTATCTCAAGGGAATCAATCTCAGGCCAGAGTTGAATCCACAGCCACCTCCAGTCACTTCTTCCATTCCCTTGTGCAGAAACCAGTCTTCTGAGACTTAGCAGGTTTTGGCTGCTCCCGGCTCTCCTTCCCTGTCTCAAGTTTCTTAAGTTCTCACTCTCCCCAGATGGGGCCTGAGTTTCTTGGGGGAGAGGGAGGGCAGGCTGACTAATCTCAGCACATATCTTCCCCCGCCGACTCCCGCCTCTGTGTCTCAACAGTAACAGGATATAACACACACACAGCTAGAATCCAATTCCACAGTCAGAAGCAATACTCCTTTCAAAGTAGGACTCAACTAGATCTTCTGTCAATGCTCGCGGCGAGAAGAGGTGAGGCAATACCAGGCCCCAAACTGCTGAGTCACTTAAAAGGTAAGGAACACACAGCTTGAAAAACTCTGCCAAAGAGTAGTTTGACCCTTGTGAGCTACTCCCCTCTCTTCCTGTAAGACTAAACACTTCACTGACTTCACTTCACTATTATCTCCTAAAGTGCTCCAGTCAATGAGTAATCGAGGCCTGCAACTGCCAACTAGAAGTAAACATAAGAAGTTAGAAAAAAGGCAGTAAGTAGGACAGAAAAGGGCTTCCCAATCTTTTGAACACCACAATTTGCAACAGAATGTAACACACACCCAGACTGTTTCAATGCCTATTTAGCTATCTACTACCTACCTAGTTGCCTGACCTGTCCATACTTCTTTTCTCAGTCCCACCACCAATATTATATAAACACATGCCAGTCATCTCTGTTTCTCCCGATATTGATTTATCATCAATTCTAGGTTTAAAAAAAAAAATCAGTACAGGTGACTGAAGAAATCCTGGTTCCTGGAACATACCCACTACTTTAGTGACAACATTAAAGTCTCCTCTCCCACCCCCTACCCTCCATCCCCACTCGCTAGCACCATTGTTGTACTTTACTTTTCCAACTTTATTATAATCATTTTCAGCACATAAAAAAATTCAAAAGCATAGTATAATAAACACCTGTACTCTCCACCTAGAATAAATCTTTCCGTTTTCCATAATAGGTTTTTTCTCTCTCTATATATATACACATACACATGCATACTTTCACATGGTCCTGTAAAAATAAAGGTTGCAAACATGAACATTACCAATAAATTGTTCAGAATGTATCTTCTAAGAATAAGAATATTCTCCTACAGAACCATGATGACATATCACACTTAATATTAACAATTATTCTATATATTCATATATCCAGACTGTCCAGATTATATTCAAATTTCCCCAATTTTCTCAAGAATATTTATTTATATCCCAACAGTCTCCTCAACCCTGCCAACCCAGCATGGATTCAAGGTTCATTAAATGCAGTTGGTTGTTAGGTTCCTTTAGCCTCTGCTAATCTAGAACAGTCTCTCCAATGTCTCCCACCCCCTTGTGATACTGACTTTTCTTTGAGGAATCCAGACTAATTGTCTTATAAAATCACTCATGTTTTGAATTTTTCAGAGGGTTTCCTTCCTATAAACTGGAAGTTCAGTTCTGAGGTTTTATTTGAAAAAGGTTAAAATTCTGGCAAGAATATTTCCTGCATTATGTAGTATATTTCACCTTGCATCATTATCAGGAGGCACATGTCGGGTTGTTCCACTATTAGCAATGCTAAGATTGAGTCCTGGTTAAAGTGAGAACATCAGATCTCTTCTTTGAAAGGTACATTTTCTCTTTTGCAAGTAAAAGTTAATTTGTAGGGCAATACTTTTTTCATCATGTTAATATCCTATTCCCTAATGACTTCACCATCTGTTAATAATCCTTGCCTGAACCAATTATATTGGGAAGGTTATAGAATCGCAACTTCTATTTTTCTATCAATGCTTCCACATTAGCTGGCATTCTTTTGTAAAGAAAAATCTTCTCCCTTTGTCATTCAGATTTTTATGTATTTAACAGATTACACTTAATTATACATTAATTGCACTGAATACTCATATTGTCTCAAATTGGGCCAGTGGGAGCCTCCTTCAAGCTGGCTCTTCTGTCCTTTGACATGATTCCATTACAGTCCTTCCACTCTTTTTGACAAAAGAAGATATACCAGGCTCACCTTGTTCTTCCTCTTCTCCAAACCTGGAATCAACCATTTCTCTCAGGAGCCTTTCTTTTAGAAGGGAGTAGTATTTAGAAGCTAATACCTGGAGTAAGAGGTGTGATAATTGCTATTAGAGATGCACTACTCCTAGGTTCTTTTGGTAGAGAGAGAAATCAATCCTTTTACTTATGAGTTCATATTGATATTTCTACTTCAGATTTAGTATTACCTTTTTTAAAAAAAGTTTAATTTTCCTATTGTATGTCTTGTCTCTAATGTTTGTTTATTCTATAATGCATACAAAAGTTTCAAAATGACAAGACTAATGTTATTACGCACCAAAATTTACTGAGTGACGTGTCAAGGTTTCATTGAAGTTCTTCTCGTCCTCAGAATATATTTCATAAAGATATATAATCAAAGTACTATTTTCTGTGTGACTGAGTAATCAATTTGATATATTAGGTTAAGATTTTATATTTTAGTTGGGTTCATTCCTTTGTGTTTGTAAGAACTTAAAGCTTTCCTTTTTTCTCTTTGATTTTGACATATAAAACATTTACATGTCTCAAAACTTTAAAAGGTACACTCAGAGAAGTTTCACTGCTATTCCTAGCCCTGATACTCTACGTGTCCCTCCCCATTTTCACTGGTTTCTGGTTTATCCTTTTTATGTTTCTTTTTAGGAGTGTGGGAAGCGAATACATATTATTTTCCCTCCCTTACTCAAAAGGTAGCATGATAATATAGTCTGCACCTTGTTTTTTTCACTTGGGAATCATTTTGTATTGGTTCATAGGGTATAAGAACCAACTAGTATAGGCTCAGGGAAATAAAAAGCTGTCAAGGCCGGGTGTGGTGGCTCACGCCTGTAATCCCAGCACTTTGGGAGGTCGAGCAGGGTGGATCACCTAAGGTCAGGAGTTTGAGACCAGCCTGACCAATATGGTGAAACCCATCTCTACTAAAATTACAAAAATTAGCCGGGCATGGTGGCGTGTGCCTGTAGTCCCAGCTACTCAGGAGGCTGAGGCAGGAGAATCGCTTGAACCTGGGAGGCAGAGGTTGCAGTGAGCTGAGATCATGCCACTGCACTCCCGCCTGGGCAACAGAGCGAGACTCCGTCTCAAAAAAAAAAAAAATTAATTTTGTATAGCAAAATATTGGCAAATTTTGTCAATATATATCACTGCTAGAATATCACTGATCTAAATATTTTACAAACCATTTTTGTTGAACTCTTGGCATACAAAGAACAAGCATCACTGGTAACACCACCTGATAGCACTACATGAAGATTTTTACTTAAAGTTGATTGTACAGGAAGTTTGAAATCCCACTTACTAGTAGGGTGGACACCAAGATCCTGAATGCCTAGATTTATATGACTTTAAGTGCTTTGCCTCAACACCTGTGGCTTACAGTTTACAGAGGGTTTGTATTTTCAAAACATTCTAGAATCCTTTCAATGTTGCATCTATGCTTCACAAATGAGAAAACAGAACAGGGGTTGGGGCTAAGTGACTTGCTTAAGGCAATTTGCTACCAACACTGAGGTTTAAAAAGCAAAAAGCAAAAAAAAAAAAGAACAAAAACAAAAAACACCCATAAGCCCAGTTCTATTTTCCTTCTTTTGGAATAGGCTGGGGAAACAGCAGCTTTCCCCTTTATTTCCAAGGGGTCAGTTTACCTTGGAGTGGTCTACTGTTGCACTATAAGCTTTCTGAGCTTATAACACCAGATAAAGATTTGTAAGCACTGGTAAAGGAAAATAATTCTTTAAGTTCCAAAAACCTTTATTAATTTTCAGAAAAGTAAAATGATGCAAAGAAATGTAATGTTTTTACGTTGCCAACAAATTGCCATTGAAAAGTACTGCTCCATAGATCTGGAAAGGGTGAGGAGAGCCCAGTAATAGCAGAGCCCAAACACTGTGGTAACAAAATGTTCCATTCTAGAATACACTTCCATTGTCTTCTGGGGATGGAGTAAGGAGGAGAATGTATGGGCAATCTAATCTAGACTACTTTACTAGGACAAAAGAAATTAATTCAGAATTCCCTATTTGTATGATTTCCACCTGCGTTTAAGCAAAATTTTTAGTTTAGTATGGTCAAATTGGCCACTGATTTTTTCTTTTTCCTCTTTTGGTCACTGGGGAAATTCGCTGGTTATTTCATGAGAAGTTACCATATTCTAAAACATGCAACAGAGAATATACTTTAAATGTGCTTTTTGAAGAGGTTTATCCTGTGCTGAATGGTGCTGGAGGAATATTTCTTTCACACATGAACACTTAGCACAATCAGATAATTTCTTTTAAACTAAAAACATTCCATTAGGTTCCTTTCTCATCTGTGGTGTGCCACTCAAAAAGCACCCTTTCCAAGTCTTATGTCTAAAAGATCTAGCACAGCTGAATTCCACCAACAGAAAAAGAGTTATATTTGGCCAGGTGCAGTGGCTCACATTTATAAACCAAGCCTGGGAGGTCGAGGCTGCAGTGAGCTGTGACTGTGCCAGTGTACTCCAGGGCAACAGAGCAAGACCCTGTCTCCAAAAAATAAAAATAAAAATAAAATAAATGTTGTATTAAATTTGAAGACCTCAGGTTAAAAAAAAAAAAAATTTTACCATTGATGTATTTCTACTTTCTGGTACCACCTTTCTGACTACTACAACTAACAAAAGTTCTTGTAAGGCTATTATTTTTATTGAAGTATTCTGGATTTAAGTAACATGATATCTGATTACTGAATCTTGGTTTCATAGTTATGGTAGATATTTATTTAAAGTAATCAATTAAATAATCTCACTTTTATGTGCAATCTAAAAAAGCCAAACTCATGGAAGCAAAAAGCAGAAGGTTCTTACCAGGCGTCAGGAAGGTGGAAGAAATGAGGAAATGTTGGTTAAAGGGTACAGTTTGGAGTTATAAGATAAATAAGTTCTGGAGAGTTAGTGAATAGCACAGTAACTACAGTTAACAATAACATTGTATACTAGAAATCTGCTAAGAGTAGATCCTAAGTATTCTCATCACATACAATACACACACATATACACAAAGTAACTATGAGGTGATGGATATATTAACTAGCTTGACTGTGGTAATAATTTCACAATGTATACATAAAAATATCACACTGTACACCTTGAATACTTTTTTTTTTTTTAAAGAGACAGAGTCTCACTGTCACCAAGACTAAAGTAAAGTGGCAGGATCATAGCTCACTGCAACCCCAAATTCTGGGCTCAAGCAATCATCCAGCCTCAGCCTCCTGAGTGGCTAGGATAACAGTCATGTGCCACCGTGCCCAGCTAATCTTTTTTTTCTTTTTTGTAAAAGATGGGGACTTCACTATGTTGCCCTAGCTAGTCTTGAACTCTTCGCCTTGAGCAATCTTCCCACCTCAGCCTCCCAAAGGCATGAGCCATCACTCCTGGTCCAAATACATACAGTTTTCACTTGTCAATTATACCTTAATAAAGCTGAAAAAAATATCAAATACTCAATTAATGAACGGAGAAAATTTTCCACTTAAGAATTTTTATGGCCAGGCTCGGTGGCCCACACCTGTAGTCCTAGCACTTTGGGAGGCCAAGGTGGGTGGATCACCTGAGGTCAGAAGTTCGAGACCAGCCTGGCCAACATGGCGAAACCTCATCTGTACTAAAAATACAAAAATTAGCCAGGTGTGGTGGTAGGCACCTATAATCCCAGCTACTCAGGAGGCTGAGGCAAGAGGATTGCTTGAACCCAGGGGACGGAGGTTGCAGTGAGGTGAGATCACACCACTGCACTCCAGCCTGGGCGAATGAGTGAAACTCCGTCTCAAAAAAATAATAATTTTTATTTATTTTATTTTTATTTTTTAGAGACAGGGTCTCCTTGTGTTGCCCAGGCTGACCTCAAACTCCTGGGCTCAGGGGATCCTCCTGCTTTGGCCTCCCAAAGTGCTAGCATTACAGGCAAGAGCCACCACACCTGGCCCAAGAATAAGAATTTTTAATTATAATTTTTAAGAATAATTTTTCCGAAAACTTAGTAGCAATTTTTAACTATATAACTTCATAAGCTGAATACAACTGCAAAACAGTCCCAGTCCCAGGAAGTGAGGTGTGAAATTCTTTTGGTTATTTTAAAGGGCTTCTTTAAAAATAAAAAATAAAGATAATTGGTATGTGATTATATTCTCTAGCTTAGGCAGCCTCAGCTTTAATGCATCACTGAGCAAACAATGAAATGTCTTTATGTGAGTAGCTGGTTGGAAGGTTTCATAGCAGAACAGTTTTTCCATATGCTGGAGAGCAGTTATAACTGGAACCATCTAGAGCCTCCTCACTCCTCTGGGGAGGACTGTGGGCTCTGTTCTCTAATGAGATGAGTTTATACAAGTTTAGCCTGAACACAGCCCTTATTCAGCTATCTTCCAGTGTGCATATGGAAAGTTTCCCTTAGATATCCCTGTAAAGATCAACCTAAAGTAAAGAGGTCTTGACCTGTGGTTATACTAAAGATCAGATTTCAGGGAGGTAAAGGTGGAACTAGCACAGGACTCTATGTGCTCCAACCTCTAAATCCGGCTGTGTCTTTCTACATAATTCTCTCTCCCAGTGTCCCATTTCATTCATGTTTCTGCAGTACGCGTTACACACTGCACTAACCCTCAGGCAGGGTTTGGCCATTCTTTCAAGTTTAACACCAACTTTTCCAGCAACAGAGATATATTAACGTTGGTATAAATGTTAAGGCAAACCCTTATCTGCCGTCCCGCTTTTTATCCCGGGTACTATTTGGTAACAAAGCAACAGTGACAGACCCCTTCAAGACCAAAAAGGAGTATTTTTCTGCATGAGTCTCAGATCTGCTCACTTTGGCTTAAGGAGAAAGCTGCTCTCCTGGCTACTGGCTCACCAGCTTAGTTGACTGTCTGAGTTCTGCCCTCCTTTTCTTCCTGTCATCTTTCTCTAATCTCTACTCTGGCTATTTCAACAGCCCTTCAACTCCTGTCACTTTCTGTGTTTTTGAAGCCAGAATTTCACTAAAATGTCCTCATGATCTTTATAACTTTACTATCACTCTCAGTCTAGGAATTCATAACATAAATTAGCACATTAGGGAAATTCTTATTCTGACTTGACTTTTAATCTATTGAGCACCAGAAGCCCAGCCAACTAGAAACTAGGGTAAGAGGGAGAACAGAGTCAGAATCATTCTTAGCATTTCACATAAAACATAGACTCTTTAGCTTAGAGAAGGCTTAGCCATTCCCTCTTTTTCTAGTGATATCCTTGAGTTGTTTACATACTGCTTTGGCTGTACAGATCAAGAAACTACAACCCAGTCTGGCGAGGAGATAATGGTTCCAAACACCCAATTCAGGGCCTGGCTTTATCCCAATCACCACATCCTCAAATCTAGACAAGTCTTCTAGGTTCTTAGCCCTGGGTCCATGGATGGGTTGCAGGCTGCCAATTCCCCCTTACAAGGTCCTGTGCTGTGTAATGAAGGTTGGTCAATGATGGACCACATATACAGTGGTGGTTCCATAAGAATATGATAGAGCTGAAAAATTCCTATCGCCTGGTGACATCGTAGTGCAGTGCATTACTCACATGTTTGTGGTGATGCTGGTGTAACAAACCTACTGCGTTGCCAGTCATTTAAAGTCTCTCTGACGTTTGCACAACAACAAAATTGCCTAAGGGCACAGTTTACAGAATGTATCCCCCTTGTTAAGTGACACATGACTGTGTGCATTTTGCTGGAATACGTACACATCTCTCAGAGGGTTCCAAACCCCCAATGGTTAAGAACCACTTCACTGGACTTAAATGATCCAAATAATAACCTCACAAGAATGTCAGCTCTACAGAGTATGAATCTTTGTTTTGTTCACTGATGCACCCTAAGTGCCTAGCACAGGCCCTGGGACGCTGCACCCTGAGCAGATGGGGCTACATGATTCCTGGTCATGGTTTACTCTGAATACATTGAGAAAAAGAGCAACGGTAGACTATTTTCAGGACCTTTCACATGAGGGAGGACCAAGATTTCTCCTCGTGATCAAAATCATCCAGGAGAGTTGGTAGCTGCATTACCATCTTTTTTTCTTTTTTGAGACATAGTCTTGCTCTGTTGCCCAGGCTGGAGTGTAGTCATGCCATCTCGGCTCACTGCAACCTGCTCCGCCCCATGGGTTCAAGCGATTTTCCTGCCTCAGCCTTCTGTGTAGCTGGGACTACAGGCACCTGCTACCACACCCGGCTAATTTTTGTATTTTTAGTAGAGATGTTGGCCAGGCTGGTCTCGAACTCCTGACCTGAGGTGATCTGCCTGCCTTGGCCTCCCAAAGTGTTGGGATTACAGGCGTGAGCCACCGTGCCTGGGCCATTACCATCTCAATGTTAGATTTCCGAACAATGTTGGCCAGTCTTGCTAGATAATCTAAAAGAATGGTTCTAAATCTGGGAGATTTCAAGTTTATCTGGTGAAGCTGTTTCAAAATGCCAACCCATTCTCCATCTGTTCTCTTACTCTCAGCTCCTCCCCCATTCTGATTACACAGCTCTAGTTTAGAGCCAGGTAATGAGTTATTGCGAAAAAACCCTCTATGTGACTGATACCTTCTTCTCCTTCCACAGAATGAGAAGTGCTGATCTAAGAAATAATCTAAGCAGGATCTGAAAAGGAAACACAAGTACACTGAGTTTACTAGGCTCTTGATAAAGCAACTTCCAATACAGGGAACAAATGCATTAGATATGCCTTGTTCAGAAATAAAACAATAAGGCAAAGGAAGTAGAGAATCTACCTTTAATGCCAACTCCATCTGTTAGGAACAGACAATCCATCAGATGGATCCTAGGGGTTAGGAGAACATGACAAAGAGACTGTCTGAGGAAGACCGAGATTGTATTTTTATTAGTTTGGTCCAAATTCAGTAAAAATTGGCAAAGTGCTCTCATTCCAGACATGCCCAGTGCTCAGCTAATCCCCTCGCTGCGGAGTAAGAAAAGAATGTACAGAATTATGAACCCCCTGCTCCCCAAATAGGAGGGGCTCCACCTCCTGAATGCAAGGGCCGAAACTAATCTCATCAACCATCCCCTCCTAATTATAAACTAGGTAGAGAAATAAGGTGCTTAACACAGGTGTTCTCCTTCTAAACTTTATGATTTGTAAACATGCTTTACCCCACTTCCACTAAAAACCCAGCCTTTGCCAACCTCAATTCATTATTGATTGGCAAACAAGAACAGAAACTATCCCCAGAATAATGTTTCTCTCCGGGAAATCTTGGGGAAGGGGTGCAATAAGGTCAGCCCCACCAAGATGCATTTTCCTTGGACTTACAATACATCTTATTACACTGAGAACACCATGTTCCCAACCAGCTTGGTCTCTTTTCTGTTACAAACCTGAAGTAAACAGATTCTACAGCAGCTACAAGTCTGTTACCAAGGCCACTGTATTATCAATATAATTAACATTCACAATTCATCTAGTCCAGCATGACAAGCCAGCTGGGCTACTTCTCATAAATGAACACTGGGAATCTTCATGTCTTGCTTGCTAAGAAAGCTGGTGCTCAGAAGCTGGGCACTGAACCCTCAAGTATTGAATAATAAGTGGGATACCACCTGGCCACCCATAAGAAACTGAATTAGTTACCAAAGCAACTGGATACATCTGCTATCTCTAGGAAGCACCTATTTCAACTTCCAAAATAGCAAAATTTGCCGGGTGCAGTGGCTCATGCCTGTAATCCCAACACTTTGGGAGGCCATGGCGGGTGGATCACCTGAGGTCAGGAGTTCGAGACCACCCTAACCAACATGATGAAATCCCATCTCTACTAAAAACAAAAACAAAAACAAAAAAAACACCAAAAAAAATTTAGCCAGGTGTGGTGGCACATGCCTGTAATCCCAGCTACTTGGGAGGCTGAGGCAGGAGAACTGTTTGAACCCGGGAGGTGGAGATTGCAGTGAGCCGAGATCGTGCCATCACACTCCAGCCTGGGCGACAAGAGCAAAAATCCATCTCAAACAAACAAACAAACAACACAAAATAGCAAAATTCTGAAGGTCTCCTTTTCCCCTGAATCTTGCCTAAGTTATACACTTGAAGTGAAACAGAACACACAAAATGTAGTGCCAACTAGAGCCTGAGCTTCTGGCTAGGATAAGCATTGGCCCAGTTCCCAGAAGACTGTAATTCTAAAGAAGGTGTGTTTCAAAGAGAGAAGGGCATGTATAGCTTTTGAGCATCAAACTCAGCCTTTGACTCAGAAGGGGCAGCCAGGGTTGCAGAGTAAGAACCAGAAGTTTGCTCATCACTGCCGGACGGAGCTGTTGTTTATTACTTTCAGAGTTCCAATGTACTTTCCAAAATCAAACTATTCAACTCATCGCTAATCCCCAAACCTCAAATACCCTATGTGAAAGCCTCCCTGTTCTTTAAATCAAGAGCATGTATAAACCAGGATACCAGTTTCAACTTTGGACAGAGTCTCCCTAATGCTAAGGGTTTAAAAGTTGTTTCAATGGTGAGAAATTCAAGTTACCTTCCCCATTATTGTCTAAGGATATCCCTATGCCCACTGCCACTGGGCTAAGAAGCTGGAGGCATATATTCAGATGTCTTCTCCCTGACCTCCTATTTCTGGCTTTATAAAGGGATCTATTAAGTTGGAAATTCTCATCAATTTCTCACCTGCAGTTCTTGGTACTTCCTTATACCTATGTGAGAGGGCTCTAAGTTAGAAAAATCACCCCAGCCAACTGAAAGGGAAAGTGAGTCAAAGCCACCACATAAGTCCAACTTACTTTCTCCAAGGAATGATTATCTCACATTATTTTATTCAATAAGCATTTATTGACAGTATTATGTGCCAGGTACTATATAAATATGTGTGAGATACGGTCTTTGCCCTCAACATATTCCATCTAGAAAAGTCAAATGATGAGTAAAATTCAAATATCAGGTCAGTCCTTAAAATATAATAGTTTGAGAAGTACTACATTGAAATCCAACCTATTTTTGAGAGACATACAGAAGCAAATTATTTTGTTTAGTTTTGATAATCTACTATGTGAGCTACTATTTCAAACACTCCTACGGAATCAGCTCTGGAGCTTCAGGGGCATCTGCATTTCATATGAAGAGCAGTAGAGTTGAGATAATACCAAAAATTCCCCCAAAGTGGCCGAAATGCCGGTTCGAATGTGTGTTAAGTTCCTGAGCTGAACTCTCAAGGCACTTATAATGAGTCTTTTGGGAAGCTGAGGAGCATCCCAAAGAGGGAGCTGACAATGCCAACAACCTCAGCTTTGTTCCAAGCCATAAGGACAAACTGCAGGCTGGAAACTTAAATCTCTTAGCAGTTTGTGGACTTGTAATGAAAAGAGATGCTGTGGCTTGGAGGCCTGGCCTTCCACATCAGGACTTTAAAACCCAGGATCCATGAGTTTCAGAAGTCCCATAAATCCTCTAACAGAATACGCATATTTTTGTGCTCCTGAATTTTCCTGAGGAAAGAACCAGGATTTTCATTAAACTCTTAAAAGGACCTCTGACTCAAAGAGTAAGAACCATTGTTCTACAGTCTCTAATCCAGTGATTCTCAAGAGCATTCCCTCAAATAGGCAAAAGAGAAGCATATTCCAATTCTCTATCTTCTACACAAATCTGTCTACTTACTGACCTCTCTTCTAAAATTAGAAACAAAGATGGGGATGTGCATTTTGAAAATTCAAAGTGAATCTCTATTTTCTACATCCCCAAAATAAAGCTAACAGTCATGAGAACCTGAAGTCTTCTCCTTAAAGTCTTTGAGAAAGGAGAAGGGGTGGGTCTGGTCAAAGAGGGCAGATCAGAATCTCTGTCCTTTAACTTTTTTTTTTTTTTTTTTTTTTGAGACGGAGTCTTGCTCTGTTGCCAGGCTGGAGTACAGTGGTGCGATCTTGGCTCACTGCAACCTCCACCTCCTGGGTTCAAGCGATTCTCCTGCCTCAGCCTCCCGGGTAGCTGGGACTACAGGTGTGTGCTGCCACACCCAGCTAATTTTTTTTGTGTTTTTAGTAGAGATGGGGTTTCACCATGTTGGCCATGATGGTCTCGATCTCCTGACCTTGTGATCCTCCTGCCTCGGCCTCCCAAAGTGCTGGGATTACAGGCGTGAGCCACTGGGCCCAGCCTGTCCTATTAACTTTTATGGTAGGTCTCTCTCTTTTCTTCCCCCCGCCCCCAGATTTCTGGAACCACAAAGGAAACAGGTCATGGCCCAAAAGCTTTGACGTGAGGTCTTGACGTGAGGTCAAGCCAGTCTTGGGGGAAAAGGGACAAAGTATTTCCCATTAAGCATATGGAAACCTATGTCCCAAAGGTTCACCTTAATACAATTAGTAAGTACTAGAAGAGTTGGAGCCATTTATTAAAAACAGAACTTCCAAAATCCTCTCATTGCTCAAAACTCAGTATGAACGGCTTCATTCAGGAAGTCTAAGTGAATGAAAGATGGTTATACTCATCTCCTCCAGCCTCTTGCCCCTTTACTCTGTCACTCACAAATTTACTACGTAGTTCACACTGAGCCACACATCATTGTGGATCAGCACATTAGCATTTTCCTTGGCACACAGGCTCAGAGGGATTCCACTAATGCCATCGTACACTCGCAGGTTCCGGAGAGAAAAGAAAAACATGTCAACAATAGGGTGTGCTCTTGCTGAGCAGTTCCTCAAATTGTGAAGAAGTAAGCCTGAGGCAGGTCCAAGATGAACAGCATGGAACAGAGAGCAGTCCCAGACCCCTCCTGTTTAATATGCCCCATTTCCATCACACAACTGAGTACAGGCTGTCCACTTTAAAACAAGTGAACTGGCTTGGGCTGGTAGAGAAGAACATGTTAAGCCCATTAAGCCCCACAGGTTAAGTACACAGGCACATCAGCGGAGGCGTTGGGGCTTTTATGGTAAGAAGCAGGAGCATGCTTGGAGAGTCTTGTACCTGTGGTTCTCAAAAGTACTTTTCCAATCTCTACCCCAGATTTCCAAATACTACCTTTTACCAATAGTTCATTAAACTTTTTACTTTGTGTTCCATTTGGGTAGTGAATGATTAAGCCCCCCAATGTATACTGATAAGCAGTATCCATCATTATCTACATTCTGAGATTAAGGCACCAGGCTAAATCCTTTAGAAAAATTAAACAGAGATAGAAACAAAAATGAAAGCAGTCTGAGTCTCTCAACAAAGGCATGGATGCTCCACTCTAGTTCTATGAGTGGCATGCAGCAAAGGCCACACATTTCTACAGGAGAAAATCAGTTATACATAATTAGAAGCAGGCTGTTAAGAGCAATGAGAAAACAGTACCTGCAGGGATGGGGGCGGGGGTGCTGGAGTACATACCTAAAATGATAAAGTCACAGTTCAGAAGTCTTTGCAATTATTTCATGTAATTCAAGGATTCTAGTTTGGGAAAACCCCAAACACCTGAAGTTTAAGGAAATAAACTCCTGGACTGAGACTGGCCCAGTGTCTGACAAATACCCACATTCTATGAGTGCATTATGTATTACGGGGGATGAATGGGGAATGGTAAGGTAGAGGACATCTCAACTCCATCAAAAGCTCTAAGATCTCTGTCTACACACCCCACCCCTGTAGTTAACAAAATGTTTTGGGGTTCAGTAGCTGTAAGCTCTATATAAAATAACATTTTTGTCAGAAAAAAATTTTCTTATTGAAAAGACATTCCAATAGAAACTTCTTTGTTTTGGCTCTTTAACATTTCAAAATTAGGCTCTCATTTGCACTATCATGTTGCATCATCCAGAGAGTTATAAATAGGGTGGCCACATAAACCAGGGTAACTTTCAGAGCTACGGAGGCACTCCTTGGACTGCATGCTAGGATAACAGGTATAAACCAGAATTGCGCCAGGCAAACCAGGATATATGGTCACTCTAGGTACAAAAAAACCCCACTAATTACTATTTACTAAATGCTAACCCTCTCAACCATGTATATAGATAGCACTATCATTGTTCCCCATTTTACAGATGAGAAAAGGACGTCACTTGTTGAATGTCCCACAACTATTAGATGGTAGAGACTAAAGGTAAAACTGACTCCAAAAATCAGTGCTTACCTTATGTTGTACTACTACTCACAGTTTTAGGAACAGAAACGGGAAGTTAAAGGCGTCTTATGTAACAGCCAAGCAACAGTGGGACAAAAGAACTACTTGAGTGAGTCAAAGGAAAATATGGAATCAGAAAAGGAAAGGCAACTGCAATTCTGTGTGAATTTTTATTAACTGCTTACTACACAATAGGCACTGATAGTATTGACAATAATCAAAAGGAAAATTTGTGGTAAGAATTTGTCTTCAACTGGGGATTCTCAGATTTCAGGCTAGAAAAAATTCTGGTCTATGCACGTAGGTTGCCCTTCACATGACAGGAATGCTTCTGACGCACCTCATTAGCATGTGTTCTGAATTACTATTCAGTTCTAAATTATAATAAAATGTATCCAGTATAATCAGGGTTGACATTCTTTATAAAAATGCAATACTCACATTCCCAAACTTGAGAAACAGGTACGTATAAATGATTCTCCTTTATTCGCCAGTTCCTTTAAAACAACCCCAAGAGGGCATTAAAGTGCTTATTTACAGATCATTAACTACTCGGAGTGGCAGAGTACACTTGCTAGGAGTCACAGGCAACTAAAGACCTGCATGATTCCATGTATCAAAATATCCTTTATAGACAACTTTCCAAGAATACTATATTGGGGTGGGCGTGGTGGCTCTTGCCTGTAATCCCAGCACTTCGGGAGGCTGAGGTGGGAAGATCGCTTGAGCCCAGGAGTTCAAGACAAGCCTGGGCAACACAGGGATTTCCCCATCTCTATAAAAAATAAAAATAAATTTTAAAAAAGAATATTATATTGGGTAAAACACTCTGGATCCAAATGACACACTCCTGATAAAAGAAAAGGTATACATTTGTAACCTTGGCAGCAAAAGATCTAGACAACTACTGATCTAGAAATCTTCTAACAGATTTCTGTTACAAGCTAAATGTCTAAAGAAACTTGGAACAAAGTAATTTGGAAACTAGAGTGTAACTAACTAAACCAAACAAGAAAAAGAGATGTAATCAATACCTGCGGAGAAATCTTAAAAAGAGGATCTTCTTACACCCCAACTCCTGTTTTAAAGACTGCTACTACAACAGCAGCCACTCTAAGGAGAATCAAGAGATACTAATGATGTGAAGATAGGAAATGCCAACCTATGAAATCTCCTTTCAGTGATTCTGACAAGTCCTGGCGTAAATTCTATACAACTGCACCAAAAATTAACCGTAAGATAACTCTGATGACAAAAGGAGAAACCTGGATTTTACCTATCGGGTTAACACCCAAGCTGTACCCATTGGGGCTCTACTTGGTGTGCTTCCTAAGTCTCAGCTGACCCTTTTGATGAATTAGTGGCACATAGCTTCATTCAAATAAAGAATATCCTATAAACAAAAGTAGTTTCTTCTGTGCTCTTCTCCTTCCCCACATTTTGCTGATGGGTCTGACTCCACAGATCCTAGGTCAAAATGTTTAATGGATCACTCTGGAGAGTGCCTTTAATGTTCAGAAGTTCAGAGAACAGCAAATGTTCTGAAAGGCCTTCCGGAGAAACATGCTTATTGTAAGAGCTCTCCAACAAGTTGGAGATTTGGGTTTACACTATGAAAAAAGAATCAACTTGACACAGTGTCAATTTCCAAAGGTCCAAGGACAGTTACCACTCCTGTTACACAAAGTAGCAGCAAAAGAGGGATAAATAACCAGTGGTTATGGGGAACTAGATTACTTACTTGGTTTGACCGATAACTGCCAACATTAAACAAGGATCTTCTTCAGTTGTGGTACACTTAACTCTTAAAACTCAAGGATTCCTTTTCTTACCTCAAATTTTCCTAGCCATACCATCTGAAATCACCAGTGACAGTCGTGAACAAGCCTTACAATGTGAATTACACTACAGCTATTAAGACATTCCCGTGAAAAATTATTTTAGAACTCTGTGTCAGGAAAAGTCGTCCCCTTGAGGAATTGACATGTATTATTTCCCATGCCTGCTAAGGAGACTGTAACTATGATTCTTTTCATCCTCTGGCTGCTAAAAGTTTCAAGTTGCATGTGATCAACCTCATCAACTATCTTAGCCCTCGAGGTTAACAATATTTTTTTCATTCTTTCTATAGTTTTTACTTCCTTTTATATCACATATATGTTCTGTGTTATAAGCCACTTCAAATGCCCATTGAAGAAAGAATATAAATATACGAATAGACTTTTAAAAAATTACACTGCTATCTTAACTCCCCAACATGCCCCTATCTCCACCTGTTCCAAAAAAAATAGGCACTTATTTGGCAGATGAGGAGATGCAGGTACAAAAGCTAATTAATTTGCTCAAGGTCATATCCCTTTAGTTGACTTCTCGACACCCAGACATCTCAAATCTTCAATCAAACCAACAAGTCCTATTTTGTTCATAGCAGTGTGATAGACCTTGGCATACAAAACTGAGTAAGTCATGATTATAGCTGAAGAATCTAGATATTTATGCTTTTAATTGATGGACATCCACTCTATCTCAAACAAAGCAAACAAAATGAATAAAAGCTGACTCTGTCTCAAACAAAGCAAACAAAATGAATAAAAGCTGACCAGAAAGTGACACTGGGATCTGATCTAACTGAGGACCATCAAGGTCACCCTGAAGTAACCTATATCCTCTGGCATCAAGAACATCCTCAATTCCTGAGGGGCCTCAGGGCTTCAGAATAATCCAAGGATTACTGGTCTAGAGCCAGGGTAGAATTCTCATAGGTGAAGGACTGCACCATTTGAAGAGGTCTTTTTCTCACACCATTAAGTACCATGCCAAGTTACTTTTTTCCCTCTTACTTTTCCCATGCTTTCACGTTATCAACACATGGCAGAGGTACAAAAGTGACTTAAGTCTTAATGTTCAATTCAGCAGTTCTGAAAAACAGATTGCCTAGGACTTGCTATGTGACCTTGACTAGTCCTCAACTGATCCATTAACTTAATAAATGTCTTTTATCATCACTAGGGAAAGGGTAATTAGTCATCATGAAACACTTTATTACAAAGTACTACGTAAATGCTAAAGAATAAAACTTAGAAGAGAAAGATTAATAAGAAACACGGTGGGGCACATTTACTGGTAAATGGAAACTTAAAACAGGGTCTTCCCACATTCCTGGCAGAGCCTGCTTCTTTTAGCTAATGCAATATAAGTCTAAAATCATCAGCACTTGGCCTGACAATAATACACATTAGTAATATTCCTCCTGGGAAGAAGAGAGGAAAAGGGATAGTTATTCATGGTAGGTGGCCACATGGACATCTCAGTTACTAGTTAGCCAGGTGAGCAATTAATATTTGAGTACCTACTGTATGCTGGGTACAAAGCTAGGCACACTGGATACAAAGGTGAACAAGAATCCCTGCCTTAATGAGTTTTTACAATCTACGATATAGACTTTGTCTTATCAACAGTGGTACTTTCAAGAATACAGATTTACTAACATAAAGGCAAGTAACAGCAAAGAAGACAGAGTCTGGGAAATTCAGGTATTAGGGCTTTCCCATTCTTTCCTCTAACTCATCTAAGGTCCCACCCTCAATCATTCTGCTTATAAGGACTGTGACTGTTTCTCCAAAGAATAGTGCAGATTGCAAAGGGTCATTGTCCCAACAAAGCAGTCAACTGAACTCTCAGCACTAAAGTTAATCAGATGCCTCAGAGTCAAGGAATCTTCCACAATCTTTTAAAGGAATTAAATTCTTAATTTTGTGAGAAAACAGCGAAAGCACACAATGGCGACTCGTCTTTTTTGATCTTGCATTTGATTTCTGGAGTGGCAGGTTAATTCACTTAAAAAAAAAAAAAAGAGCCATCTCTCCCACTTAAGACAGCTTAACTAGTTGAAGCCTCAAGGACTTAACTATTCCTGCAGCCCTTGCTTTGTTCAGCCCTGCATCCCATTAAACACTGGATGCAGGCAGAGACAGCTTTGTAAGACTCTGTCTTTATAAAGAAGGGAGACATTTATCTGGGTTCTCACTGGCTTCAGGAAGGTCACCTCTTTGTAAAGGTTCTCTGGTCTACTGCTAACTGGGTGCCAGGTGTATGGAAAATCAAGATGTGGTTGGCAGTAAATGATGAGAAAGCAATAAGGATCCCAATTCCACCACTCGGAGAGCTAGTCAGACTAAAATCTCCAAAGGTTGCCATTTATGAGAGAATTCGAAGGGTGTCCTTTGAGTCAACCTACAGCACAATAGATCAAACTTGTTCTGCCTCAAAAGTACAGTCAAGAGTGAGCAATCTTCCCTTACCACCCACTACTCCAACCCACCCAAGCTCCTTTCTCCAGGGATGCCTAAGTGATCTATTCACATGACTCTAGGATCCACCTGTATCCATGACAGTGTCTGCTGTCACCAACCTCCAAATGTCAATTTCTTACATATTTCGAAGTAATTGGAATGCTGTAGAAAGTGAAAATCATAGATTTTCAGTTTCATGTTACCCTCATCGCTTTCACCTGTATATCAGAGCTAGCTTCACGCATTCTTTTCTCTTGCCTCCCAGCTATCACGCAGTTGTTGGATAAAGCGGCCACTGCTCCCAAAGATTTGATGGAAGTTCTGCCAGATTTACCCACTCACCTGAAGGGAGATTTTCTGTACACCCCATGCCCCCGGACTGGTCACAAGGGTCAGCTGAGTTGGTTCACCCCCTCCCACTCTCGTCTTCGAGGCCCTTCATCCAGGAAAAGTCAGTCGCAAATTTAAGGCCTGGCCCTGTCGGGTTTCAAAACGATCCCGGAGGACTTGGGCCGAGGGACAAAGGAAAGCGAGGTCAGAGGCGGCCTTTCAGCCCGGGAGAGGCCTGGGGCCGCACAGCCGCCACCCCCTACATCACCTCCGCCGTCCCCAGTCACCCCCAGAAGTCCCAAACTAGCCAGAGCCCGGGCTTGCTCGCGTCCCTTCCGCGAGGCCGGAGCCCGAGCCCCCGCCGCCACCCAGAGCCCCCGCACCTTCTTGGGCGCCTTGGTGACGGTGGCCATGAAGGAGTACTTCTCGGCGTCCTCGATCTCCTTGGCCTGCTTCAGCTCCTCCCCGACCCCGGGCAGCGGCATCGCGTCAGGCATCGACATTCCCCGGCCGGCCCGGCCAGCGGCTGACCCGCCGCCCCCGCCTCTTTCCCCCTCTGGCGCCCGCCCGCCTGCCCGCGCGGCGCCCTCCGACACGCGATCGCCCACCCTCCTGCCGGCCCCTGCGTCGAGCTGCGTCGGCTTCTGAGGTGCTGTGGCCCACGCCTTGTCTGTTCGGCAGCCCAAGGCAGCCGGACAGCGACGGCGGCCACAAGAGAACCAGAACAGCAGCTCCGAGCTCCGACCTGCCCGCGCCGCCACCTCCGCTGTACGCAAACACGCACGCAAAGCGAGGGTAGAGGGCGGTGACGCCACGTCAAGTACTGGCAGCTCCCGGGAGGGGGAAGAGGCGGGGAGAAAGGGCACTCTGTCGTGACGTCACCACGCTGGGCTGGGCCACAGAAGCCGTTCCTCTCCCGCTCGAGAGCGAAGTTCCCAGGGTGAGCAGGACCCTTTGTGCCACCAGGTGGCACCATCAGCCCTGGGAGCAGCGCGAGGTTCATGCAACGATGCTGCGGAACGGAGGGTCTTTGGGCTGCGGGGTTCCTGGCAAGGCCTCAGAGGCGCATGAAAGGGGTGTTTGGGAGCAAAGACCAGAGCCCCACACGACACATCCTACAGCGATTCCTAGGAAATGTCCGGGGCTCGAGACAGCCCACTCACTCACTGGCCCAGCCCCAGGCCCTTTGGATTAAAGCTCCTTCCCAAGGGGCCGTGCCTGTCTTTTTGACTTCATAGGGGGCAGAACTGACTCAGAGTAGTCTGGTTTCTGCACAACGCTTTGTGACTTCCTCCACCACCATCTCCGACTGGGCCTTGCCTGTTTACAAAACCCTCATTGGGATAGGGCTGATGGGTATGAGGGTGGAGACCAGGAGAGCTGATGGAGAAGTCCCCAGCCAGAATGGCCTTCCGGTCCTTGCTCCACCAAAGCATTAGACCCTTCCAGCTCTCAGTGGGCATCCAGGACATTCATGGACTGCTCACACCCTTTTACTGGGCCTACTATGTGCAGTGCCTGTGCTGAGGCCCTGCTGGCAAAAGGACATGTGACGCATTTTATGTTTTGCAAGGCTTAGTTCAGCTGGAGAGGCAAAACCTGCTTGTATCCTAATGTCAGCTGAGGTAGCTTGTCCTTTGAGATTCAAATGACATTGGCTCCAATTACCATGTCCTGTGGAAAGTCCATTACTGGGAGGACTTGGATTTTCATGGTCACCTCTGGCTCTAGTTTTTTTGCCTTGTCTGGCATTTTATTCACTATTCTGGTCTTGTGACTGTTTCTGTAGCTCCTGGGGTCAATTCAGCCGCTTCTCCTTTCAACCCCCACCCCATGCTAAACAACTACAAAATAAGGCTGTAACATGTAGTAAAACTTTTAATAAAGGTTTGTGGGTCACAGGGGAGAGATTACATCACACAGCAAACAATTTAAGAACACATTTCTGAAATGTTCTGAAAAGTTATTTTGGCTGTCTTACCACCCGGGGATTTCTCAATGGCCACAAGATCCCACCACGCTCCCTAGCCCATTGCCATCTAATCTAGCTTCCTCCTGTTCCTCCCTTCCCATCTCTGCACCTCATCCTTCCTTCCTTGATAGACTCTGGGAAGCCAGATTCTCCTCTGCTGTGCTGAGCAATTCCAGTCTTCCCAGTGCCCTTTCCCTAAATTCCTCCCCAGGACCACCTTTTTTTTTTTTTTGAGATGACGTCTCGCTCTGTTGCCCAAGCTGGAGTGCTCTCAGCTCACTGCAACCTCCGCCTGCCGGGTTCAAGTGATTCTCCTGCCTCAGCCTCCTGAGTGAGTAGCTGGGACTATAGGCGTGCGCCACCGTGCCCGGCTAATTTTTGTATTTTTAGTAGAGACGGGGTTTCACCATCTTGGCCAGGCTGGTCTCGGATCCTGACCTCGTGATCCACCTGCCTCGGCCTCCCAAAGTGCTGGGATTACAGGCGTGAGCCACCGCGCCTGGCCAGGACCACCTTTTAACATCCAGAAACCTCCCAGGTTTTTAACAGGGCATACCCTTTCAAGAAGGAAGTTTTGGTTTGAAATGGCATTTTCCCCACTGATTTGTGTTCAGGGCTGGGGAGAGTGTGAAATATTCACCTCTAGGGCCCTAAAAGTCTTAGTCAGGGAATCCTGTGTTCCAGCCACCTAGCCTCATGAGACTGTCTGTTTGAAAAGGGCTGTAGAAGTGCCTGGAAGAATGCACCCTTTGCACATCTGCAGACCTTGGTCTTGAACTGTTTGTATTCTTTCATCTGCTCACTTTTTTGAGCACTCACACTTCCCTGTCAGGGGCATCACTGTAGCAGAACGGGAACAGAGATGGAGACCAGAATACCAGGTTCATCCATGAGGGTGCCAGACTGACATCTTTCAGCTAGGGGTCAGGAACCACACCTGGTGCACTAAGGACTCTCTGAACATAAGGCTCACAGTGGCTTTCATCCTTGTGGGTTTGCCCAAACTGTTGGCAGAGCCCAGGGATCAGAGATGCCTGCCCAAAGACTCGAGGCAGAACCCATTGGAACCAGGGATGAAATCTCAAGTCCCTATAGTAGAAAAATGTGTGACTTAAGAAGATCTTTTTTTTTTTTTTTTTTTTTTTTTTAAAGAGAAGCATCAGTGTATCTGTCTTTTGGATTTGATTTTTAGAACTCACTTTGTCTAAACATGTTGTCTCTCAGTCCCCCAGTTCTGCTGTGCATTTAAGCATCCAGACTGTGAGCTTCCTGGAGATTGAAGTTCAGTCTTTACTCCTCCTGGACCAGGTCTGCCCTAGCACCAGGCTCACAGTGTTGTCTGCTATTGCTGCTGCTACAGAGGATGACAGACAGGGCCAGGCCTAGAGCATGCAGTACCTTAGCAGTCTGGGCTAAGAAGGAGATCAGCAGGTCAGACTCCACTCACCTGAGTGGCTGGCCTGAGGGGAGGTTGATGAGCTGATGTAGGAGAGTTCGGGGACTCAGACTGGAAAGGGGAAGGGCAGCACCCCCTACCCTGGTGGAAAGCATTAGGCCTATGTGGTTCAAGTGAGGCCAGGGGCCCGGGACATTCTTGGAAACCAGCCACTGCAGGGGGCATGGGTGGCTGCCATCCCTTCCATCACGTGTGTGCTGGAGAGCAAAGAGCTCACCCAGCCAGGGAGTGTGACAACATAACATCCGTGAGAATCATTGCATCCTGTCTCCCACCCCCAAAACCCATCCTAAGATAGCCTCACATGGCACAGCTAAGGCGATTGCTTCTCATGAATGCCAAGAGATGACTTGTCTTCAGCCTACCCACCCACCTGACTCAGCACCTCTACTGGCAAGCTCACTGCCCTGAACAGCGCATCCACACACAGGTGAGAGACCCCCCACGGGGCAATTGGAGAAGAACAGGGACCCAAAGACAGATGCACCTGCTGTGTGTGGTGGTGGGAAGTCTCCAAGGGCCTGGAGCGAAGACCCTTGCTAGAAAGGAGTGGCCTAAGGGCAGTGGTGAATTGGGAGATGCTGTCACCAGAAATGTAGTGGCATTGGGCTACCACACGTGGGCTTGGTCTTGTTAATCAGATTCACTGTTTGTCCACCCCCAAATTGATGTTCTACATTCAGTCATTTGTTCTTTTATTTATAAAATATATATTGAGTGCCGAAGAAGTGCCAGCAGCAGGGCTAGATGTCAGTCGGGACTACAGAGATAAATAAGCTGAGGTGCTGATCTCTACGTGGGGACAGGTGATGGGGGTGGGGTGCAGTGGAGGGCAAAGGGATGACACAGAGGGAGATGCTGCCAGAGCTGAGTCTTGACAGATAAGCAGCTGGGCAAGGGAGGGAAGATTCTCCAGGCTGAAGAAACAGCCTGAGAATAGGCATGGTGATGGAAACAGCTTGGCATATTACGGGAACTGTAAATATCCCCATGTGGGTGGGGCACAGGGTGCAAAGCAGGGTGAAGTGAGCGCTGAAGCCAGGGCCAGATCCTGCAGGGCGTGTTAAGCCCTGGGTGGGTGGTGGTGATGTCTGCCATGCTGGGGAGCACAGGAGGAGAAGCAAGTGTGGCTAGAGGGGTGGAGGGGGGCTGCTGAGAGGAGTCAGCTTGGGACATGTTGAGTTTGATATGTCTGTGGAGGGCACTGTCCCTGAGTCTCAGGGGAGCCCAGGTTGGCACCTTTTGGAACTGCCCGCTCCCTGCCAGTCAGGCTCCCCACCAGGGGGAGGCTGTGCTCCTCCTGAAGGCCTTTCACCTCCTGTCGGCCAGGTGTTATGTTAGCCCTCTGGAATGAAAGTGCAGAAAAACTGCAGAGATCTTGGGTGACAATGGAAGTTCGGAAGAAGGTGAAGAGGGCAGTGGCTCTGTCTCTAGCTCTCCAGCATGGGCAAACCCTCCAGCTCCAGGCTTCTTTCTGTCCCAGAACTGCTACCTTGCACAGCTCTAGGAGGCACCACTGACATTGTAATTATTGTGAAAGGTGCCCTGGAGCACCACTTCAGATTGGTCACCTACCTCGCTGGCCCTTAGGGACCCCCAGAGGGTGGGCTCCCGGTTGCACCTCTGTGGCTGTGGGTGCTGGTCCTCAGGCTTCCTGGCTCCTACTTCCCACCGAGCTCCCTCCCTCCCTACCCTCAGCCTTTTCTCCTTCCCCTTCTCCAGTTCCAGTGGGAAAACATTCCTCCTTCTCTGTCTCCCCCTCTGCTTATTATTGTCATATTTATTAGGATCACTTACTCTTTATTATCATTTTGAACATTATAGGAAAGAAAAATCCATGAAGATTTTTTAAAAATTTCTTTTCATCTTGTTAAGTTCACTCCTAGTTCTTAGCAATTTGCAGAAACTCATTTTTACATACCTGTGATTGGTAGGTTCATGTCCTTTTGTATTCTGCTTTGATCAAATTACAATATTTCAAAAACACATGACCCGAACGGAGAGCATTGACATACTTGTTATTATTGTCCATGTTTTCCAAGCTTTCTGTCATATTGCTTTATGAGTTTGCTTAACTGTTTTCCTATTGTTCGGTATTTGAATTGTTTCCAACTAGTGCAATATAATGGAATGGAGGGAGGTGGTTTCGGAGTGGGTGTGGGGATGGCTTTCAAGCAAAACAGGCGAAGATGGGTCACAGCACCAGCTCCTGCCAGAGAAAGGGAGCAAAAATGTAAGTAGTGGGGGCAGTTATAATGACTGTAAACAAGGACCAGGATAAGGAGGCACCTTTTGGCCCTAGAGGATCTGAGGTCCTGTGTCTGGAACTCGTGATAGCTGACTCATGGCGAGGCTGCATGGTGTGAGGAAGCAGGAAAACTGGGCAGAGATGTGGGCTCAAATCTTCACTCTGCTACTAACTTGGCCACTGGCATCCTGGACCTTTTTTGACCTCCTCTTCCTCATGCAAGACAGGTTGATAGCTCTCCATCTGGGGCTTGTAATGACCTAATCCAGTAAGATCATAAATATGCAAAAGCTTTGAACAAGTTGCAAATATTGTGCAAATGTAAGGTACTAAGATGTGGGTCCAGGCTAACCATGGAGGGCAAAGGAGCTATTGTTGAGAATTTGGAATTCTCTCTTCGCTCCGCTTCCCGGAATGACAGGAATAAGCAGAAACCCGTCTGCTGCAGGAAAGGATTGTCATTGCTGGTTTTGAGTACTTGTTGACATGTGGATGTGTTTCCTCAAAAGGGAGGGCTGACACTGCCCCAGCCATGAGAAATTGCTGCTTTCCTGGCCCAACCTGGCCCCGGGGTCTGGCTGTGTGACCAGCAGCCCCTTGGAACTTCCTCACATGCTTTTTTTCTAGGTTGGACCAGAGATCCTGATGTATCTTACTTCAGTTCCCAAAGCTGCCACACATTAAAGTTCATACTGAGAAGGCATCCACCAATTGTAAACAATGTTCAAGAAATCTGTTCTGATGACTGTTTGTGCTACTTTGTATGTTTTTTCCTGCTCTTAAGTGTGTATATGGGAGCGGGGAGGATGGAGGTGGGGATGGTGAAGAGTTTACCAAAAAAGTAGAAATTGTGAAACTGGCCTTGGACTTTGGCCTCTGCCCAGTCAGTTATTTACTGAGCATCAGCTTTGTCTCGGGAGCTGTGCTGAGCGCCAGGGATCCCACAGTAAACAAGACAGACACAGTTCCTGTCCTCATGGGGCTTAGAGTCCATAGCAGAGCTTTGTCAGAAAATCAAGGTTCCCAGTACTGTCTGAGAGGGCACACCCTCTCCTTGCTGTCTCCATGTGCCCCACCCTGAGCGGTCTTCCAGAGTGTGTGGCATGCTTCCTCTCCCTGCTTCTGAGGCTGTGTCTAGCCCCATGCTAGGGAAGGAAGAGCAGTCTCTCTCCCGAGTTCAGAGATGCTGACCCACCCTTGAAGTAGCCCCAAGTCTTTTAGAAGCTTCTGGGATACTGCTTCCCTGGCAGATGTGCTCCCCCAGGGCAATGGTGAGTGGGCTGGTGAGATGTAAGTGTCAGCTTCTGGGATAAGGGAGGACACTGCCTGTCTTTGCCTCTCCCAGGCCTGCCTCTCTACCCATAACCTGCAACCTGCCTCTAGGACTGGAAATAGTCCTGGAATCGCAGAGACACAGGTGGCCAGGATGGTTTGATATCCTGGTGGGTACTCCTTCAGGATGCCTGCTGGGGGCTAGTAGAGGATTTGTCTTGACTGGAAAGGCTCTGGGGCTGATGGAGTGGAACAGACAGAAGCTGCCATCTCCCAAAGCTCAGGTGCTCAGGGT
This sequence comes from Homo sapiens, assembly GCF_000001405.40. Classification (NCBI taxonomy): domain Eukaryota; kingdom Metazoa; phylum Chordata; class Mammalia; order Primates; family Hominidae; genus Homo; species Homo sapiens. The sequence continues at coordinate 109,978,312 of NC_000001.11, read as the reverse complement.
CTTGCCCCTTTGCCCTGAAGGGCCCGGCCTGTGGCTGGTTTGCTGGAGCCAGAGGAGAGTGGTCGGCTGCTGGTGGTGCGGAGGCTGCTGCGGGGTGGGAGCCTGCCTTCCTCACCCTCTCTGGTGTGCAGGGCGGGCCCCATTGCATCACCCTTGGAGTCTCTGCTCCTGGCTTTGCAGCCAGCTGGGCCCCTGGAGGAGGGACTCTCCCTGTTTTTCAACAAACCATTAACCATTTCACCCTCTCAAGCCCTCCCTGCAACCAACCTGGATTCCCAAGGCTGCTCCTCATGCCTCTCAACCCTGGTCTTGAAAACCTCCCTTCTCCTCCACGATTCCAGGAGCTCTGCCTGGACAGCCTTTTAAGGGTTGAAGGCTCCACATGCACAACGCAAGCCTGGCCTCTTCCCCGGGGAAAGAGTTAAGCCTTGTCCTCCACACCCTCAGCATTTGTCCCATTCTGCAGCAGTGAGGACAGAGCTCTTCAGCCTCCAACATGAGCTCATGCCACTTCCACACTTCCACAGAGTCCTGACGGAGGGTCAACACAATATTTTAGACCAACGGCAACGATGGATCTCATGCCAGAACCAGGAGCTTGGACCTTGGCCTCTCCACAAAGGCCCTTCAGCCATTTCCTGCAGACCCGCTTGGCCCTTTGACCTCTTTATAGGGGTTCAGGGAAGGAGTGGGTGATGTGAGGGCCTGGAAGGGCTCAAGAGACTGATGGAAGAGAGTCGCAAGTACACAGTGTTTCCCTGTTTCTGTTCGGGCTAGATGAGGAGACATCAAGGGGTGGGGATGGAGAGGCTGTTCCAGTCAGTGAAGCCCAAGCCTCATTCCCGCTCGGGTCTTTTATCTCCCAACCCCAACATTCCCTTCATCGCCCCACCCATTCCAGGGCCTGAAATAGCCCGAAACTTCATCCAAGCCTAGGCCCAGGTCCCAATTTTAGTTCCACAAACATTTGGCTGCTCCATAGCTTGCAGGATCCTGAGCTGGGTCCCGTGGCGGATGCAGAGATGAATGAGGCCCAGCCCTTGCCTTCAGGGAGCTTGCAAAATGTGTCCAGATGACTGCAGTCAGAGGCGGAAGATGCCCGTGGAAGAAGAAAGAAAGACGCTCCCCGTAGAGGGAATGGGGCAGGCTTGTGAAGGAGAGTTGGTTTTGTTGAATCTTAAAGGATGACTAGGATTTCAAGAGGCGGACATGAGGAACACTGACTTTAGATGGAGGGAACAGCAAGAGCAAGAATATGGAGGTGTGAAATGTAGGGTATGCTCTGGAACATGGCCAGCAATCTGGTTTGACTGGAGCACATGGGAGAATGTGGAGCTGCTTGCGGTTTCTGTGGATGTGTGAGTCTGTCTAGATTCCCTACAGGCTGAGGGCTCCCAAGTGCCAATGACCCACAGATTCCCAGAGCTTTACAGAGCAGCCTATTTGTTAATCCTCTATTTAGGAACAGAAAGGTGAGAAACTTGCTCAGACTCTAAAGCACATTCGTGACACAGCGAGGACTGGACCCAGGTTCTCCCACCCTTATCTGTTTTGGCTCAGTTCAGGTCCCTTAATCCAGGAGGCTTCGTCCGTGGAGTTGGCTGACTCAACAGACTCTGCCATCCCTTAGGGGTCCAAGGAGAAGTATGAAATGAACAACCAGTGATCATGGATGAACACATGAATGCTCCTCATGGTGTTGCATATTTGCGTATTAATGAGGAAGGAATAGCTTCACGACACTTGATGGGAAAGACATGCCAGTATTTTTTATTTTCCCACATTTATTTAAATCTGGTCCCAAATCCCATCCACAGTGGGTGAAAAGTCTAATATCATTTTTAGGGCTTCCTCTCTTGGCTCATTGGATTTTACAAAAAATAAAACAAAACAAAAACCCCCAAATAAACAAAGAGTTCGTTCTTGCAGGACTGGAGCAGCTGGTTGGGATTCAGTGGAGCTCGCCACTGCTAATGGCTGCCCCTCAGACTGTAGGCAGGTCCTCCCTGTCTGTGGGTACTGCTTCTCCAGGCAGGCTGGGGAGCTGCCCACTCACAGTGGTCTCTCCCAGCAGCAAGCTACTTAGTGGGCTTTCTTCAAGCCCCCTCACCCCCAGCTCTACCTCAGGTTGTGCCATCCCCAGGGTGGAGGGAAGAGTTCCAGTTGGATCTCAACTGCTGCCACTTGTGGACACTCGTGATCTCCCACCCTCTTTCCTGGTGCTGGAAGTCACTGCCCACAGGTAAGGCTACTCTGCTTTTCAATGGAAAAACCACCTTCCAACCTCTTTGACATCCTGGACTTGAAGCCCTGGCTGCCCCCTTGGCAGGATGTGGAGAAAATGCTTCACATTCTTTTCTGAAGAGTCCACAGCCAAGAAAACCAGATATGGCTGATTTCTCAATCATGTTATTATGCCACACTAAATGTTCAATTAATCGCTATGTTACACTTACAACAGCAAAAGAAAAGTTCAGCAGTAAGTGACTAAAAATACCGTACAGTCATAGAAGGCCATACTGTGTAGCCTGGCAGAAGGATATTTAATGACATGGAAAGTTGTTCATGATAATATTGGTAGCTGAAAGAAAGCAGTTTTGAAAACAGCATCACGGTGTGACCCAATTTTTTGGTAAACATGAAATTATATATTTATATAAAGAAAAAATAACTGAAAGGTAAACACCAAAATGCATATTTCCTCTATGTGGTGAGATTACAGATCATTTTTATTTTCTCATTTTTGCTTGCTTCCTTTTTCAAAAATTCTGCAATGAGTGTGTATTACCTTATGTTGCTGAATAATTCAAATTAAATTTTAATTTAATTTTTTTTTTTCCTGAGACAGTTTTGCTCTGTCACCCAGGCTGGAGTGCAGAGGCACAGTCATAGCTCACTGCAGCCTCAAGCTCCCAGGCTCAATTGATCCTCCCACCTCAGCCTCCTGCGGAGCTGGGACTACAGGTGTGTGCCACCACATCCAGCTAATTTTTTATTTTTAGTAGAGATATGGTCTCACTATGTTGCCCAGGCTGGTCTTGAACTCCTGGGTTCAAGCAATCCTCCTGCCTCAGCCTCCCAAACTGTTGGGATTACAGGCATCAGCACCATGCCCGGCCTAAAATAATCTTTTAACCTACAAAAGTAAAACATACTCATTGTAAAAAAAATCTAAACAAACAGATGTACATGCAACAAAAGTGGAAAATTTTCTATCCCTCTACTGACTCCCACACTCCAGGTGTAGAGAGGGGGAACCTCACCTCCACATCATATTTTCATATGTGGATTTTAAAATTGTACATATGGTACTATCCATATTATTTGGCAAGCCCTCCTGTGATAGTTTCCTAATAAAATCAAGATAACAATGATACCCACCTTATTAGGATATTTATCAGGATTAAATTAGTTAATACATGTAAAGCTCTTAGAGCAGTATCTGGCATATAAAAAGCACCACATGAGTTTTAACTATTTTAATATACTTATTAATCATTTATTTCCCACTCTACTTCATAAACATCCCTCCACATTAGGACTACATACATTTAATACTTAGGAAAAACTTAAAAATAGTTTTTTTAAAAAAGTGGAACAAGAGAAATGAATAACTAACTTCTTGTCTATTCTTCCCACCACTTTGAGAGGGGCTGCCTGGTGGAAATTTCGCCCTTTGTCTGCTTTCCCATGTCCTAGCCGATGAGCCGGGATGGCCTTTATCTGAACAACCATGGGCCTCAGGTGGGCAGTCTCCTCAGCCAAATGCCATGCTTTGCTAGAGGCCTGGGTTACCTGACCTATATGTACTTTTCTGGAAGAAAAGGAAACAGAAATACCCTCAGCTCCCTGGAATCTACATAGTTGTGAAATGCACAGAGGTCTTGTCTTAGTTGACCAAGTTGGTAGATTTTGTTCCACTTTGGCTGTGGCTATGAAATAGAAGAAGAAAAAGACATCAAGTTGGCCGTGCAGCTATAGGAAACTGTAAACATTTGTTGCCTCAGTCACTGAAAATGTGTCAGCAGGAAAAACCCATTTTAACAATTATGATATGACAGCGAGATTATAAAAGTCAGTTATCACCGAGAATAACATGACTATCATCTGTATTTGAAATTCAGGAGCAAAACATAGTCATATTCAATTCACAGACCAACAAATGCTGCCAGGAAGTGTCTTTTATGGGATGTTTGCAGAATCCTTGTCATTTCTTAAGTTCCATCCTTTAAAAATAAAGCATTGGTACATGAACAGGATATCATTGTACCAAGACCAGAAAAAATCAGAAAACTACAGATCAATATCTCTCATGAACATAGACACAAAAGGATTTCTACACCATGCTCATGGGGTTTAGCTAGGGAATGCAAGCCTTGTTCCATATCTGAAAATGAAAAAAAAAAGCAATCAATGTAATCCCCATATTTGCCATTTAAAGAAAAAAGCCATTGCAATTGATGCATAAAAAGCATTTGACAAAATGACATCTATTTATGATAAAAATAAATAAGAGGCATACAGTTTGGACAAGAAGAAATAAAACCATCTCTATTCACATATGACATGATTGTGTATGTAGAAAAGCCTGAAGAATTCACACACACACACACACACACACACACACACACACACTGTATAACTAATAAGTGAATTTGACAAGGTTGCAGGATGTAAGGTCAACATATAAAAATCAATCATATTTCTATATACTAAAAACAAAAATTGAAAACCAAATTCAAAAAAACCAATGCCATTTCCAATAATTAAAAAATGAAATATTTAGATGTAAATATCCTAAAACATGTCCAGGACTTACATGCTGAAAACTAGAAAACATTGATGAAAGAAATCAAAGGAGATCTAAATAAGTGGAGAGATAAACCATGTTCAGGGATTGGAAAGCTCAATCGAGTATACATTCAATTCTCTGCAAATTGATAAATAAATTTAACTCAATTCTAATCAAAACCCTGGCAGATTTTTGGTAGGCATAGACAAGCTGATTCCAAAGTTTATACAGAAACAAAAAGGAGCTAGAATAGCTAGAAAAATTTTGAAAAAGAATAATAAAAGTGGATGAATCACACTACCTGATTTTAAGACTTACCACAAAGCTACAGTAATTGAAACATTGTGGTATTGGAAACAGAAGAGATACAAAGATTAATGAAACAGAATAAAGAATCTAGAAATAGGCCGGGCGCGGTGGCTCACGCCTGTAATTCCAGCATTTTGGGAAGCCGAGGCGGGTGGATCACAAGGTCAGGAGATCGAGACCATCGTGGCTAACATGGTGAAACCCCGTCTCTAGTAAAAATACAAAAAATTAGCTGGGCATGGTGGCGGGTGCCTGCAGTCCCAGCTACTTGGGAGGCTGAGGCAGGAGAATGGCGTGAACCTGGGAGTCGGAGCTTGCAGTGAGCCGAGATTGCGCCACTGCACTCCAGCCTGGGCGACAGAGCAAGACTCCGTCTCAAAAAAAAAAAAAAAATCTAGAAATAGACACAAACAAATGTTGCCAATTGATGTTTTACAAAGGTGCAAAGGCAATTCACCGGAGAAAGGATAATCTTTACAACAAATTGTGTTGGAACAGATGGATATCTGTATGCAGAAAAACCTCAACCTAAACCTCACACTATACAAAAATCAATTCAGAATGGATCACAGATTTAAAACATAAAACTATAAAACTTTCAGGAGAAAATGTTAATGACCAGGAATTAGGCATAAAGACCTAAGACATGACAAAAAAGCATGATCCATAAAATAAAAATATGGGTATATTGGACTTCATCAAAGTTAAAAAAAAACTGCTGTAAAATACATAATAAAGGGGGATGAAAAACAAGCTACAGACTATGAGAAAATATTTGCAAAACAGATTTTTAAAAGGACTTGAATACAGAATATATAAAGAATTCTCAAAACTTCGCACAAGAAATCAAACAACCCAATAAAAAAATGAGTAAAAGACGCTTTACCAAAGATGATATATAAAGCAAATAAGGATGTTCAACATCCTTAGCTATCAGGAATATGCAAATTAAACCCTTAATAAGATGCATGACACACATTAGAATGGTGACAATAAGAATATTGACAATACACAGTGCTGATGAGAAGGCTCTCCTACATTGGAACTCTCATACACTGCTGGTGGAAATGCAAAATGGTACAGCCACTCTGGAAAAGCTTGACAATTTTTTTTTATAAAAGGAAACATAAATTACCATGTGACCCAGCAATTGTACTATATAGGGCAACTATCTAGTTGCCTTAGAAAAATAAAAATTTGTGTCCACACAAAAACCTGTACAAGAATATTTATAGCAGCTCTATACATGATTGCCCAAAATGGATAATCCAAGTATTTTTAAACAAGTAAATGGATAAACAAACTGCAGTTCATCCACACAATAGATTAAAAACGAGTAAACTGTTGATACATGAAACAAGTTTGATGAATCTAAGGCATGCTGAGTGAAAGAGACCAGTCTTTAAAGGGTTACATACTGCATGGTTCCATTTATATGGCATTCTTCAGTAATGGAGAACAGATCAGTGGTTGGCAGTGGTTAGACACAGGGAAAAAGTGTAATTACAAAAAGACAGAATGAGGAAGTTTTGGGGGTGATGGAACTGTTCTGTGTCTTGATTATGGTGGTAGTTACACAAACCTATAAATATGTTAAAATTTTCAAGTCCACACACATCCATGCCAATTTAATTTTATGTTAAAATTTTAAAAATTAGATGACTTTTTAGAGCAGTTTTAGGTTCATAACAGAATTGAACAGGAGGTATGGGGATTTTTCATATATCCACTGCTCTCACACGTGCACAGCCTCCCCCACCATGAACATCCCTCACCGAGGTGGTATATTTGTTCCAATCAACGAACCTACATTAGCACATCATTATCACCCAAAGCCCATAGTTTGCATCAGGGTTCACTCTTGGTGTGAACATTCTACAGGTTTTCACAAATGTATAATGACACAGATCCACCATGACAGTATTGTACAGCATATTTTCACTGCCCTTAAAATCTGTGCTTTGCCAGTCCATTATTCCCAGCCCCTTGACTCCTGACAACCACTGATCTTTTTACTGTCTCCATAGTTTTGCCTTTTCCAGTATATTATATAGTTGGAATCAGATAGTAGGTGACTTTTTCAGATTGGCTTCTTTTATTTAGTAATATGTATATAAGTTTCCTTCATATCTTTTCATGGCTTGATATCTCATTTCTTTTTAGTACTGAATCATATTCCATTTTCTGAATGTACCACAATTTATCCATTCGCCTACTGAAGGACATCTTGGCATCCACGTTTTGGCAACTGTGAATAAAGGTGCTATAAACATCCATGTGCAGGCTTTTGTGTGGAAGTAACTTTTCAACTCCTTTGGGTAAATATCAAGGAGCCAGAATGCAGAATTATATAGTAAGAGTATGTTTACCTTTGCATCTGCTTCTGGTAGGAGCCTCAAGCTACTTCCATTCATGGCAAGAGGGGAAGGGGAGCTGGCATGTGCAGAGATCACATGATGAGAGAACAGAGCAAGGGTATTGGGAAAGGTGCCAGGTTCTTTTTAACAACCACCAATCTGTCTTCCAAAGTGTCTGTACAAATGTACATTCCTATCAGCAATGAATGAGCATTCCTCTTGCTCTACATCCTCAGCCACACCTGGTATTGTCTATTTTCTGGATTTTGGCCATTCTAATAGATGTATAGTGGTATCTCACTGTTGTCTTGGTTCGAATTTCCCTCGTTACATGTAATGTTGAGCATCTTTGTACATGCTTACTTGCCATCTGTATACCTTCTTTGGTAAAGTGACTGTACAGGTCTTTTGCCTATTTTTTAATCGGGTTGTTTGTTTTCTTATTGTTCAGTTTTAAGAGTTCTTTGTTTATTTTGAATATGTCTTTTGCAAATATTTTCCCCAGTATGTGGCTTATCTTCCCATTCTTTTAAAAAATTTTATTGTAGTAAAATATATATAACATAAAATTTATCATCTTACTCATTTTAAGTACACAGCTCAGTTGTATTAAATGCATTCATAATGTTGTGCTACCATCACCACCATCCATCTCCATAACTCTTTTCTTCTTGTGAAAACTGAAACTCTATGCCCATTAAACAATAACTCCTATTTCCCCTTTCCCCAGCCCTTTGCAACCACTAATCTACTTTCTGTCTCTGTGAGTTCGACCACTCTAAGTATCTCATATAAGTGTAATCACACAGTATTTATCACTTTAAGACTGGCTTATTTCACTTAGCATAATGTCTTCAAGGTTCATTTATGTTGTAGCATATGTCAGAATTTCCCTCCTTTTAAAAACTGAATAATATTCCATTCTACACGTTACTTATCCATTCGTCTGTTGATGGACACTTGAGTTGTTTTAGCCCATTTAGTGCTACTATAAAGGACTACCTGAGCTAGGTAATTTATAAAGAAAAGCAGTTCATTTGGCTCATGGTTCTGCAAGCTGCGCAAGAAGTATGCCATTGGCATCTGCATATGGTGTGGGCCGCAAGCTGCTTCCATTCATGGTAGAAGGGGAAGTGGAACTTGCGTGTGCAGAGATCACATGATGAGAGAACAGCAGCATGGGTGTGGGTGAAGGTGCCAGACTTTTTAACAATCTTTGCTCTAGTAGAGCAAAGCCATTCATGAGAGATCTACTGCCATGACTCAAACACTTCTCATTAGGCCCCACCTCCAACATGAGATTAAATTTCAGCCTGAGGTTTGGAGGGCCAAATATGCAAGCAATAGCATAAGCAAAAGCAATAATTGCTTCCATGTTTTAGATATTGTGACTAATGCTGCTATGAACATGGGTGTACAAATATCTCTTCAAGACCCTACTTTTAATTCTTTTGGGAATATATCCACAAGTGTAATTGCTGGATCAGATGGTAATTCTATTTTCAATTTTTTTGAGGAACTCCCATACTGTTTTCTACAGTGACTGTATCATTTTACATTCCTGTCTTCTCATTTTCTTGAGTTTCTTTCACAGAGCAGAAGTTTTCAATTTTAATGAAGTGTAGCTTATTAATATTTCTTGCTTTCAATGTTGTATCTATAAAGTCATTGCCATTCCCAAAGTTATCTGTATTTTCTCCTATGCTATCATCTAGGAGTTTTATAGTTTTGTGTTTATATAGTTTAGTGTAGTTTTACATCATTTAAGGCTGTAATCCATTTCAAGTTTTTTTTTTTGTTTTGTTTTTTTGTTTTTTTTTTTTTTTCTGAGACGGAGTCTTGCTCTGTCACCAGGCTGGAGTGCAGTGGTCCAATCTCGGCTCACCACAACCTCCACCTTCCAGGTTCCAGAGATTTTCCTGCCTCTGCCTCCCAAGTAGCTGGGGCTACAGGCGTGCGCACCATGCCCAGCTAAGTTTTGTATTTTTAGTAGAGACAGGGTTTCACCATGTTGGCCAGGCTGGTCTTGAACTCCTGACCTCATGATCTGCCCACCTCAGTCTCCCAAAGTGCTGTGATTACAAGTGTGAGCCACCGTGCCCGGCCATCATTTTGAGTTAATTTTCATAAGAGGTATAAAGTCTGTGTCTAGATTCATACGTTCACGTGTGGAAATCCGGTTGTTCTAGAACTATTTGTTGAAAAGACTGTCTTTATTGAATTGCCTTTGCTCCTTTGTCAAAAATCAGTTGACTATATTTGTGGCAGCCTATTTCTGGACACTATTCTGTTCCATTAATTGATTTGTTTATTCCTTCACCAGTAGCACATTGTCTTGACTACTGTAGCTTTATAGTAAATCTTGATATCAGGTAATGTTGGTCCTCCAACTTTGTTTTTCTCCTTCAACATTGGATTGGCTATGCTGGGTCTTTTGCCTTTCTATATCAACTTTAGAATCCGTTTATCAATATTCACAAAATAATTCGTTGGAATTTTGATTGGGATTGTGTTGAATCTACAGATTGAGTTGGGAATAACATAACTTGACAATATTGTCTCTTTCTATCTATGAACTTGGAATATCTCTCCACGTATTTAGTTCTTTGATTTCTTTCATTGGAGTTTGGTAGTTTTCCTCATATTTATCCTGTACATATTTTGTTAGATTTATATCTAAGTATTTCATTTTTAGAGATGCAAATGTAAATAGTATTGTGTTTTTAATTTCAAATTCTGTTTGTTCATTGCTGGTATATAGGAAAGTGATTGACTTTTATATATTAACATTGTATTCTGCAACCTTGCTATAATTACTTATTGTTCCAGGAGATTTTTGTTGATTCTTTCAGATTTTCTACATAGACAATTATGTCATCTGAAAACAAAGGCAGTTTTATTTCTTCCTTTGCAATCCGAATATCTTTTCTTTCCTTTTCTGGTCTTATTTCATTTGCTAGGACTTCCAGTACAATCTTGAAAAGGAATGGTTAGCGGGGACATTCTTGCCTTATTCTGATCTTATAGGAAGACTTTCAGTTTTTTACCCTTAAGTATGATGTTAGCTGCAGGGTTTTTGCAAATGTTCTTTATCAAGTTGAGGATTTCCCCTCTATTGCTAGTTTACTGACAGTTTTCATTGTGAATAGGTATTGGATTTTGTCAAATGCTTTTTCTGTATCTATTGATATGATTGTATGATTTTTTCTTTAGCCTGTTGATGAGACGCATCGCATTAATTGATTTTTTAATGTTGAATCAGCCTTGCATACCTGGGATATGACCTATTCAGTCATGGTGTATACTTTTTTTTTTTTTTAAGAGACATGATCTTGCTCTGTCACCCAGGCTGAAGTGTAGTGGCTTGATCATAGCTCACTACACCCTTGAACTCCTGGGCTCAAGCAATCCTTCTGCCTCAGCCTCCCAAGTAGCTGGGACTACAGGCATGTGACACCACACTCAGCTAATTTTTTATTTTTTGTAGAGACAGTGTCTCACTATGTTGCCCAGGCTGGTCTCAAACTCCTGGGCTCATGCAGTCCTCCTACTGGCCTCCCAAAGCACTGGGATTACACTACCATGTAATCCCATGAGCTACCATGCCTGGCCTGTATAATTCTTTTTGTACATTATTGGATTTCATTTGCTAGTATTCTGTTGAGGATTTTTGCATCTATGTTCATGAGAGATATTTGTCTGTAGTTTTCTTTTCTATAATGTTTTTGTCTGATTTTGGTATTAGAGTAATTCTGGCTTCATAGAATGAGTTAGAAAATATTCTCTCTGCTTCTATCTTTTGGGAGAGATTATAAAGAAATGGCATAATTTCTTCCTTAAATGTTTGGTAGAATTCACCAGTGAATCCATCTGAGTGTGGTACTTTTTGCTTTGGAAGGTTATTAATTATTGATTCAATTTTTTTCATAGATATAGGCCTATTTAGATTGTGTGTGTGAGTGAGAGTTTTGGCAGATTGTGTCTTTCAAGTAATTGGTTCATTTCATATAGGAGGTTATCAAATTTGTGGGCATACAGTCACTCATATATCTATTTATTATCCTTGTAATGTCCATGAGATTTGTAGTGATGCCCCCTCTTTCATTTCTAATATTAGTAATTTGTGTCTTCTCTCTTTTTTTCTAAATTAGCCTGGCTAGAGGCTCAGCAATTTTATAGGTCTTTTCAACCAGTTTTTTTGTTTCATTGAGTTTATCTATTGATTTCCTGTTTTGAATTTTGTTGATTTTGTCTCTAATTTTTTAATTTTAATTTTTATCTTTTGAGACGGAGTCTCGCTCTGTCCCCCAGGCTGGAGTGCAGTGGCGCCATCTCTGCTCACTGCAAGCTCCGCCTCCCGGGTTCACGCCATTCTCCTGCCTCAGCCTCTCGAGTAGCTGGGACTACAGGCGCCCGTCACCACGCCCGGCTAATTTTTTGTATTTTTAGTAGAGATGGGGTTTCACCGTGTTAGCCAGGATGGTCTCAATCTCCTCGGCCTCCCAAAGTGCTGGGATTACAGGCGTGAGCCACTGCTCCCGGCCTCTAATTTTTATTATTTCTTTTCTTTTGCTTACTTTGTCTATAATTTGGTCTTCTTTTTCTGGTTTCCCTAGGTAGAAGCTTAGATTATTTATTGTTTTCGTCCACTTGGGATGCTATAACAAAATACCAGGGACTGTGGCTTGAACAACAGACATTTATTTCTCACAGTTCTGGAGGCTGGGAAGTTTGAGATCACCCTGATAATTGGGTTCTGGTGAGCGTCCCTTTCGTGTCTTGCAGAGGGCTGCCTTCTTGCTGTGTCTTCACATGGTGGAGAAAGGAAGCTCTGGTGCTTCTTCCTCTTCTTATAAGGGCACTGAGCTCATCATGGGGGCTCCACCTTCATGACTTCATCTAAATCTAATTATTTTCCAAAGGTCCCACCTCCTAACACCATCACATTCAAGGTTAGAGCTTTAACATATGAATTTCAGGGGGACACAAACATTCAGTACATAACAATTATTAATTTTAAATCTTTGTTCTTTTCTAATGCATGCATTCAATGCTATAACTTTCCCTCTAAGTGCTGCTTTCACTGCATCCCACAAATTTTGATAAGTTGTATTTTCATTTTCATTTACTTCAAAATATTTTTAAATGTCTCTTGAGATTTCTTTTTTCCATCATGTGTTGTGTAGAAGTGTTTTATGTCCCAAGTATTTTAGGGTTTTTCAGCTATCTTTCTGTGATACATTTCTAGTTTAGTTCCATTGACATCTGAGGGCAGACATGGCGTGATTTCTATTCATTTAAATTTGTTAAGGTGTGTTTTATGGCCCAGAATGTGATCATCTTGGTAGATGTTCTGTGTGAGCTTCAGAAGAATGTGTTTTCTGCTGTTGTTGGATGAAGTCATCTATAGATGTTAATTATATCCACCTGATTAATGGTGCTATTGAGTTCAATTATGTCCTTACTGATTTTCTGCCTGCTGGATTTGTCCATTTCTGATGGAGGAGTGTTGAAGTCTCCAACTATAATAGTGGTTTCTTCTATTTATCCTTGCGATTCTATCCATTTTTGCCTCACATATTTTGATGCTCTGTTTTTAGGTGCACACACATTAAGAATTGTCCTGTCTTCTTAGAGAATTAACCCTTTTATCATTGTCTAATGCCTCTCTTTACCTTTGATAACTTTCCTTGCTCGGAAGTCTGCTGCCTAAAATTAATATAGTTTCTCACACTCTCTTTTGATTAGAACTAGCATAGTATGGCTTTCTCCATTAATTTACTTTTAATCTGTGTGTTTATATTAAAAGTGGGTTTCTTGTATACAACATATAGTTGGATTTTTTTTAATCTACTCTGACAATCTGTCTTTTCATTGGTATATTAGACAACTGATGTTTAAAATTATTATTGATACATTTGGATTAATATCTACCATAGTTATTACTATTTTCTATTCATTATTCTTTGTTCCTATTTTTGTCTTCTATTCTTTTTCTGCCTTTTGTGGCTTTAATTTAGCATTTTGTATTATTCCATTTTCTCTCCTTTCTTAGCATATTAATTAATATATACTTTTTAAAAAATGTTTTTTAGAGGTTGCCCTAGAATTTGCAATATATGTTTACAATTAATCCAAGTCTACTTTCAAATAACACTATAACACTTCAGGGATGGTGAAAGTACCTTATAATAACAAAATATTCCTAATTCCTCCCTCTCATCCTTTTAATCACTCATTCATTTTACTTAATACATAAACATATATAAGCATGTATAGACACACAAAGTATCCATAATATAATACTTTGTTGCTATAATTATTTTGAGCAAACTATTATGTTAGATCAATTAAGTATAAGAAAAATAAGTTCTATTTTACCTTCACTTATTTCTTCTCTGATGCTCTTCTTTATATAGAACAGAGTTTCTGACCTATATCATTTTCCTTGTCTCTGAAAAAACTGTCTTAGCATTTCTTTCAAGGCAGGCAACAAATTCTCTCAGTTTTTGTTTGTCTGAGTAATTATTTCTCTTCCACTTTTGAAGGACAATTTCACAGAATTTTAGGTTGGTGCTTTTTTTTTCTGTCTTAACACTTTATTTCACTCTCCTCTCTCTTGCTTGCATGGTTTCTGAGAAGTCTAATGTAGTTTTATCCTTTCCTCCTCTATAGGTAATGGGATTTTTCCCACTTCCTGACTTCTCCATCTTTGATTTTCTGTGGTTTGAATATAATATGACTAGGTGTAGGGCTTTGTTGTTGTTTTTGGCATTTATTCTGCTTTGCGTTCTCTGAGCTTCCTGGATCTGAGGTTTGGTTAACTGCCATTAATTTGGAGAAATTCTCAGTCATTATTGCTTCAAGTATTTCTTCTGTTCCTTTCTCTTTTTCTCCTCCTTTTGATATTTCCATTATGCCTATTTTCCACCTTTTGTAGTTGTCCCACAGTTCTTGAAATTCTCTTCCTTTTTTTTTTTCAGTCTCTTTTCTCTTTGGAAGTTTCTATTGCCATATCCTCAATCTGAGAGATTCCTCAGCCACGTCTAGTGTGCTAATGAGCCCATCAAAGGCATTCTTCCTTTTTGTTGCAGTGTTTTTTTATCTTTAGCATTATTAAAATTCTTTCTTAGAATCTCCATCCCTCTGCTTACCCATTTGTTCTTGTATGTCGTCTACTATTTCCATTACAGGCCTTAATATATTAATCATAGTTGTTTTAAAATCCTGGTCTGATAATTCCAACATCCCTGCTATACCTGAGCTTGGTTATAATGCTTGCTCTGTCTTTTTAAACTATGTTTTTTGACTTTCAGTATGTCTTACACTTTTTTTTGTTGCACACCAGATACAATGTACTGGGTAAAAGGAACTCTGGCAAACAGTCCTTAGTGGTGTGGAGTTAAGACGTAGGGAGAGGATAAGCATTCTATATAATGAGGTCTCAGTTTTTTAGTAAGCCTGTGCCCCTGGGCTGTAAACTTCACAGTGCTTCTCAATATCCACCTCAACTTGCAATGTGGGACACGATGGCTGCAGTGGGCTGGAGTTGGGTATTTCTCTTCCCCCCAGTTGGTTTTAGGCGCTGATAAAACCCCATTAGGTTAGGCTCTGGTAAAATCGTTTCCCTTGAAGGCAGACCTTGTCCAGAAGAACAGAATGCTCTGGCATATTTCAAAATGGTTACTTTTCCCTAGAAGTATAAAGGGATTTTTCTCTAGTACTCTCTGTGAGAACCTGGTAGAGCTCATGGAGCTAAACCTCACAAAAAACTTGTGAGGCCTCCCTCTGACTGGGACCCCCTGGAGTTTTTATTTCTCAGACTTGTCCACAATGGAGCCTCTAGCAATTTATCAATTACAGTTTAAGTTGTTCTACCCTAATACTGGTTCCCACAGAAGTTTCTGCTCATGGGTTTCTGCCTTGGTTAAGTTGTAATTCTCTGTATCTGTCTCTCTAATTTTAGAGGCAGTGATTTGTCCCGTGACCTCACTTCTCTGAAGGATCTAAGAAGAGCTGTTGATTTTTCAGTTGTTCTTAAAATTTTTTAAATAAAAGAATGAGGAGTTATAAATGAGGAACAGAGTATAAGGAATAATAAAATTTTTCCAAATGTTAGCAAGTTATCTCCACATGGTTATCATCAACGCATCAAATTCAATATATTCAGAATCCCTTTAATTGACTTTGCCTCTTAGGTTCTGGATTTTCAGTCTGGTGCCACCTTTCTGTTGGTCATTCATGTTTGAAACTTTGGGTCATCTTTGACCATTCTCTCTATCTAAAGATTTCTCAATTACCATGTCATGTGTGCTATGCAATTGTAACTTAGTTGTACATCCGTTTTCCTGTCTTTTTCCCCCTGCCCTCCCCTAGTCCATCACCACTTGTCAGGACTTTTGAAATTGCTTCCTAATACTTCCCTGTCTTAAGAGTCAACTTTGGTGGCAGATCAACCTGAGATTAAATCCTAGCTCTGCCACGTATAGCTCTTTGATCTTTGGTATAAAATACTTAACCTCTTTGAACCTTGGGCAGTGCTATAGTTTCAGTATTGGTCCCCTCCAAAACTCGTGTTGAAATTTAACCCCCACTGTGGCAGTATTGAGAGGTAGGGCCTTTAAGAGGTGATTGGATCTTGAAGGCAGAACTGTCAGGTGTGTGGTGGGGCCTGCAAGTAGTTGCCTGCAGCTCCTCTGCCCTCTTCATTTCACCTACTTTTTTTTTTTTTCGGTGGGGTCTTACTCTGTCGCCCAGGCTGGAGTGCAGTGGCGTGATCTTGGCTCACTGCAACCTCCACCTCTGGGTTCAAGCGATTCTCCTGTCTCAGCCTCCCGAGTGGCTGGGATTACAGGAGGCTGCCACTATGCCTAGCTGATTTTTGTATTTTTAGTAGAGATGGGGTTTCATCATGTTGGCCAGGCTGGTCTCAAACTCCTGACCTCCGGTGATCCACCTGCCTTGGCCTCCCAAAGTGCTGGGATTACAGGTGTGAGCCACCGTGCCTGGCCATTTCACCGACTTTGTGAACTTTTCTTCTCCATTTCCCCCCATCTGTTTGCCAGAGGGGTGGGACTGGAAACAGAACAGCTGTGGCTGCTTTGTCTCTCCCCTCCGTGGTGACTTATGGCCTGAGTGGTGACTTACAGGAACCTGGCCACCTAGGTGCTATGCGCCCTCTTAACCTTTGAACTGGAACTGCTGGCTCACACAAGGTTTTGAACAGCTGCAGCAAAAATCCTACAGAAAAGCTGGATTCCTTTGCCTTATGTGGAAACAGCAAGGCCCTGCCAGGTGCTCACCACTGGTCCTGGCAGAAGTGGCTGCTGCTGAGAGTGACCTTCCAAATCCTTGGTGGAACTCAGCACTACAGGCTCTTAAATAAAAACCCTTTAGACACAGAAAAAAGAAAAAAAAAAAACAAAAAAAACTCTCAAACATTTGATGTGAACAGTGCCCTCATTTGTGTATTAATTCATTCATGGATTAATGGATTAAATGGTTAATTAATTAGTTAATTAGCTTGCTCAGCCTCTCACCATGGGGTGCCCCGAACTACCTGGGGACTCCCTACCAGCAAGAAGACTCGCCAGATGCAGCCCCTCAGCCTGGGACTTCTTAGCCTCCATCACTGTAAGAAATAAACTTCTTTAGAAGTTAGTCAGTTTCAGGTATTCTGTTATAAGCAATAGCAAACAGACCAATATAGACATCACCTATAAAACTGAGGTAATAATACTCAATTTACAGGATGATTGTGAGGGTTGGAATACATTATGGGCCAGACACTGAGTCTTAAATGCATTAATTATTACTTTCATTAAATGAGAAAATGTATGCAAAGAGTTTGGCATGGTGCTGGGTACATAGTAACTACTCAATCATTGCTGGCTGCTTTATATTGTTATTCTTCAACCCAGTCCAATTTAGGAACTGCTGGCATATTAACTTGCCTAATAAGCATTTTTTATTATGTTTATCACTTGCTCAAAATCTTCTTTGGCTCCCTTTTGCCTGTTTCAGTAAGTCCAAACTCCTTGCCACGCATTCAAAGCTCTACTTATCAGTTCCCTCCTACCTTTCAGATTTTATCACCTGAATTTGACTATTCAGTGTATCCCATACATACTCCTGGTTTTCCCTCCTTTTTAGCTTTGTTCAAACTCTTCTCTCTCCCCAGAATGCCCTTCTCCTCCCATTTTGCTCAGTAAATATTTGCTGAGTAAATAGATGGTGTCCTTTGGAAAAGCTCTCTAAGGGAAGCCAGTTCTTATTCATGCTATATGTCCCCCCTGTGGTGGGAACACACAGGGCAGATTATGTTTATTACCAGCAGGACTTTTCGTAGGGGAGGCATATATGCAAACTGAGAGGTTTTAAAGAAGTCACCCCTGCTCTACAACCCCTCCACCCCTCCCGACTACAGATGCTACATAATACTCACGCCAAGAGGTGATATTGCTAAATTCCTCTTGTTTAATTAGCCTCTCAATTCAGGGCATACTTATCGGATACCTACAAAGCGCTCTGCAACTTGCCTGAAACTGTGTGGGTCAGAGTACATTTAAGACCATCCAGCTGGAAGTGAGAAGACTTGAAAAACATTGGCAAACAATGCATGTGAATTCAGAGTTGGTTTCTAAATTTTGTAATGCTGAAGACAAGTCTTTGACTAGGATGAGCCTGTGCACTAGAGCAAAGGTCAAAAGAGGTTACAGCCAGTCGAAACTTTGAAAGGGCCCTTCCTGGAGTGCATCTCCTTGTCCCGCATGCTTTAAGAATGTATGGTATGCTAAAACAAACATCTGATGTAGGCTGGTGAAATGCAAACCAGTATTCTGTATTCATGTGATAAGCCAGGCCCAGGGCAGTCTCCTAAAAGGCAGCTTTCTTAAAATCACGGGTAACTTTCTGCTTCTAAACATATGGGTGCAGGGAGAGATTTTTTTCCCCCAAGGACCAGCTCCCACACCCAATGTAGTTCACTGGTTCAGCACAAGCTCAGTTGTTTAAGATGCTAAGACATCTTTAACAACAGGAGCAGTAAGCACAGGGAGATGACAAACAGACATTTCTGAGTTTACTCAGTGCCTTAGCCCAGCTTAACTCACTGTCTAGGCTCTTGGCAGGTCTCTAACCTGGATTTTATTTCCAGAATATTCTCAGCTCCCAGATTATTCAGAATAAGATAATAAAAGTTAAAATTGGAGCACATGCTTTGAAATCAAATGAGTTTGGGTTTGAACCCAGCTCAACCACTTACTAGCTCTGTGACCTTGAAACTCAAAAATGTTTTCTGAGGTTTGGTTTCCTCCTTTTGACAATTGGGGTGATACCACTGACGTTAGGATTTATTGTGAGGATTAATGAAATGATGTGTTTGGAGTGTAGGCTCAGTATTTGATGGTTAGTATCACCATGACAATGACTAGAGGTCCCCCTCACTCCGTTCCACACCCAAACTATCTCCTCCAAAGCTACCCAAATTCTAATTTTTTTTTTTTTTTTTGACAGAGTCTCCTGTTGCCTAGGCTGGTGTGCAGTGGCACCATCTCGGCTCACTGCAACCTTTGCCTCCCAGGTACAAGCGATTCTCCTGCCTTAGCCTCCCGAGTAGCTGGGACTACCACCACGCCCTGCTAATTTTTTTTGTATTTTTAGTAGAGACGGAGTCTCACCATGTTGGCTAGGGTGGTCTCCAACTCCTGACCTCAAGTGATCCACCTGCCTCAGTCTCCCAAAGTGCTGGGATTACAGGCATGAGCCACCGCACACAACCCTAAATTCTAAATTTAACGGCTCTCTTTGCTCTGTATTCCTCCTACACCTCTTAATAACGATAAGTGTAAATAGTAATAATAGCCAAGCACAGCTATAGCCTACTACATGCCCATGCCTGTGGTGGACACCTCCAAACATTATCTCCAATCCTATTCCCAGTTTACAGTGCAGGAAACTGAAGCTCAGATAAGATAAGTGACTTGCCCAAAGTAAGTGGAAGAGCTGGAATTAGAACTCAGGCCTTCTCTCTCCAAAGCATATGGGCTTTCTACTTAACCACATTTTCTCCTTTGGAAAGAGAAGTCTGTTTTTCTGGATGCAAAGACCAGATACTCTAGCTTCCCCTTAACAACTTTCAGAGCTTTTCTAATTGCTTGCCTCTGTAACTGTAATTCATTCATTTATTCACCCCACAAATGTTTATAGTGTATATCAGGTGCTAGGGGTATAAAAATGATTAAGGCAGTCATCTTCAGAGTTCACACTTTGATGGGGAAGACAGACACATAAATGGGCAAGTGAGGAAGTCAGTGATTAGGTAAAAGGGCACAGTGGGACCCCAGAGTCCAGGTGGGGTTGGAGGAAGAAATGATGACATCAGAAGAAGCTTTCAAAGGACTTGGGTTAATTCATTGACCTACTCTTTATTTCATTCATTTCAGAAATGTGTTTTAAGCAACTATTCTGTTTCAGGCTCTAGGCTAAGCCCTGGAATTAAATGTAGGCATGGCTTGCTTCCGTCTGGCCAGGAGGGATGGACTATAAATAATTAAATGACATTAAAATTGTCTTGGGGTTATGCCAGAAGGATGTACAAGTTAAATCAATGGGGGGGGGAGGGGGTTGGGTGCACAAATAAATGGTTAATTCTCTAGGGCAAGTGTTGTTTCGAAGGTCCAATTTCTTTCAAACATGTTTTTTCTTTTTCCTATTCATTCCTGTCTTACTGTTTGTTTTTGTTTTTGTTTTTGTTTTTTTGCATTTTAAATACCTTTGAGGCTATCCCACAGACCATGCCAAGTAAAAATAGCACATCTAAAACTACATTTATATTTTACAACATTCTCCAGGGAAAGAAGCTTTAATTCAAACAACAATACATCGGGACTGGGCGATGTCTCCACAACTAGCAACATCTTGGTGAAATGAAGGAGATGAAACTTTGGCCATAGTATTACAAAATGAAATATTAATTATGTTTTAACTCTGTTATTTGACCACTATTGTCTTCTATAGAGTGGATAATAGTGCAGGACAGAGTCCAGCTCTACAATTTTGTGACTTTCCTCCCATAAATCATTTCTGAGACCTAGTAAACTTCAGACCCATTAGGTGAAAGCATGTTCAATAAGAACTCTTCAAAAATAAGTATATTTAATATGTGATAAAGGTGGCCTTTTACATCAGGGACAATGTGTAGCCTCTTGGAAAAAATAAAATTATATCTATAATATATGCTTTTATAGCAAAATAAAGTCCAGATGGATCAGACATATTTAAATTTTGACAAATGAAATTCCAGAAGCACAAGAAGAAAATATAAAAGTTTTTTTGGTTTTGTTTGCTTGTTTGTTTTTTCATAATCTCAGGGGCAGAAAAGGCTGAAGCCATAACATAAAGAATTGATAAATTCAGTCAGATAAAAATCAAATATTTCTGCATGGTCAAAAAGAATCACATAAATGATTAAAGTCAAATAACAAACTTGGGGGGGTGAGTGAGGATATCTAAAAATTATAATACAGCAAAACAATAATTATACATATTATTATAAGTATATATTATTATATTTGTATCTATATCTATAACTATTATTCTCTCCAGAATTGCTCACATCTACCTGCCTCTCCAGGGCCTCAGTGGCTTGCTCCATAGGGTGCCCTAAACACTGCCCTCTCTGCCTTCTTCCCAGCAACACTGCCTGTCTCATCTCCCCCCAGGATGAAGGCTGGGCAAGGGCCACAGTTGCACAGATACCCAAATCTGGAAGATATGATGCTCTCCTCCTTTGGTCTCAGGTAGGACATAGGACCTGGCTTTCCCACCATCTGTGCAGGTGAGGCAACCCAGAAGTGCAGGATAGTTAATGCCCTGTGGCAAAAAAGGATCTATGAGAGGCTGCAGATAGGAGGACAGATAAAATCCTCTTGTTCCCATTCCCACCATCCTTCACTTCTGACAACTGGGCAACTTAACTGAGCAACTGTCTGTATCCTCCTGAAGCTATGGTCAGCCTGATAATGCACCATGTTGTATTTGCTTTCTCTCCTTTTTGTCCTCCCTTCCATTTTTACCTTCGTGCATGCTGGTCTGGGCTTGCACTCCCTCAGTAAAACATTACCATGTGAGCTTTGCTTCAGGTTCTGTTTCATAGGGAATCTGAGCCAAGACCATATATAAAGAACTATTATAAAACAATGTGAAAAAGACCAACAACCCAATAGAAAAGCAGGCAGATCTAAATAGTTTACAAAAAAGCAACTATAAAAGCAAATAATAATGTAAATGACTCTTAAAAAACGTGAAGAGATGTTCAATCTCGCTCACAACGTGAAACACAAAATAAAATTATAGTGATATTTACTTTTTTACCTATCAAATTGAATATTTTGTAACATGCTGTGTCAGCAAGGGATGGAAAAATAGACACTCTCATTGCTGGTGGAAATATACATTGCTATAACTTCTACGGAGGATAATTTAACAATATCTTTAAAAATAGAAAAAAAAATACACATACTTTTTAGTCCAGCAATTTTATGCTCATTTTTGTTTGTAAAAAGATTGGAGATAATCTAGTGACCATTGACTAGAGACTGGGTCTGCAAATTATGGTACAGCCATAAATGGACACTTTTTAAAAAGAAAGAGGGTTTTTTAAAATGGACTGATTTGTAAAGACCTGCAATTTATATTAAGTAAAAATATGTCTAGAAATATACATAGTAAACTGGTAACAGTGGTTGCTTCTAAGGTTGGGCACTTACTTAAAATCTTTTGTACCTTTGGAATTTTGTACCATGTGTATTATCTATTTTTTCCTAATCAACTTTATAGAGGAATAATTTATGTATAGTTAAACCACATCCATTTAAAATTTACAATGCAATGACTTTTGAAAATTATATACTTGTGAGGCCGGGCGCAGTGGCTCACGCCTATAATCCCAGCACTTTAGGAGGCTGAGGTGGGCGGATCTCGAGGTCAGGAGATTGAGACCACCCTGGCCAACATGGTGAAACTCCGACTCTACTAAAAATACAAAAATTAGCCAGGCACGGTGGCGTGTGCCTGTAATCCCAGCTACTCAGGAGGCTGAGGCAGGAGAATCACTTGAACCAGGGAGCTGGAGGTTGCAGTGAGCCGAGATCGCACCACAGCAGTCCAACCTGGCGACAGAGTGAGACTCTGTCTCAAAAAAAAGAAAGAAAGAAAGAAAGAAAGAAAGAAAATTATACACTTGTAAAACCAGCTCCACAATCAAGACACAGAACATGAACATTTCACCAAAAGATGCCTCATGCCCTTTGCCATCCAGCTGTCTCTCTTCCCTGGCCCCAGGTAACCACTGATCTGCTTTCTGTCATTAGAGATTAGTTTGCATTTTACATCAATGGAATCACACAGCATATACTCTTTTGTATCTGACTTCTGCACTCTGCATAATGATTTCGAGATTCATTAGTGTCGTTATGTGTATCAGTAGTTCATTCCTGAATAGCATTCTGTTGAATGGATATACCACATTTTGTTTATCCAGTCAACTGTTGATGAACGTTTGGATTGTTTACAGATTTGGACTACATGAATAAAGCTGTTACGATCATTTTTGTTTGCTTGTTCTTGAGAGACAGTCTCGCTTTGTCACCCAGGCTGGAGTGCAGTGGCGCAATCTCAGCTCACTGCAACCTCCACCTCCCGGGTTCAAGCAATTCTCCTGCCTCAGCCTCCCGAGTAGCTAGGATTACAGGCGCCTGGCTAATTTTTGTATTTTTAGTAGAGATGGGGTTTCACCATGTTGGTCAGGCTGGTCTCAAACTCCTGACCTCAAGTGATCCTCCTGCCTCGGCCTCCCAAAGTGCTGGGATTACAGGTATGAGCCACCACACCCTGCACAGCCATTGTTATGAACATTTGTGTATAATGTTCCATTTGAGTAGAAATATGCTTTTATTTATTTTGGGTGAATACTGAGTGGAACGGCTAGATACTATGGTAGATATTTGTTAACTGTTAAAGAAATGACAGTTTTTCAAAGTGATTTTATCATTTTCCGTTTTTACCATAAGAATTCAAGTTGTACTCATCCTTGCCAGTACTTGGTGTTGTTGGTCTTTTTAATTTTATATTGAGTGTGTAGTGGTATATTCACTATTTTAAAAGAAATATTTAAAATAAAACATAAATAAATAGGTTATTACTTGCAGCCTCTCCCCCCAAGTCTGTAAATAATGCTATGAAAAAGCTGAATGTTGAAATTTTGAGAAGGAAGATGTCTAAGTTTTTTCTATTGCTATGTAGCAAATGACCCCAAAGTTAGTAGCTTAACACAGCATGCATTTATTATCTCACAGTCTCTGTGGGTCAGGAGTCCAGGCATGGCTTTGCTGGGTGTTCTGTTCAGTGTCTCACAAGGTAACAATCAAGATTTCTGCCAGGCTGCATTCTTTTATGGAGCTCGGGTCCTCTTCCAGCTCACATGGCCTGTGGTTGTAGGACTGGGCCCCTGTTTTCTTGTGACTGTCATCTGGGGCCTGCTCTCAGCTTCTAGAGGTCATCCACACTTCCTGGCATGTGACTTTTTCACAGGCTGTCACTACATGGCCTCTTACTTCTTCAAGGCCAGCACAAGAACCTCTCTCTAGTCCTCTAGGACAGAATTTCATATAATGTAGCAACATAATGTAATGTAAGTCTTGCATAATGTAAAGTATAATGTATAA
Source organism: Homo sapiens (assembly GCF_000001405.40). Taxonomy (NCBI): domain Eukaryota; kingdom Metazoa; phylum Chordata; class Mammalia; order Primates; family Hominidae; genus Homo; species Homo sapiens. The sequence goes on along the minus strand of NC_000001.11, from coordinate 109,954,130 downwards.
TGTAACATGAGAGTCTATCCCACTGTCTTTGCCATTTTTCTTGTATAATGTATACATTTTTTACATTCTTATATACATTCTTGTATAATGTATACATTTTTCTTGCATAATGCCATTTTTCTTCTATAATGCCATTTTTCTTCTATAATGTAACATGAGAGTCCATCTCACTGTCTGCCATTTTTCTATTGCTCAGACGGGGGTCACAGTTTCCACCCAATGACTCACTGGGGGGTCATCCTAGAGTGTGTCCTACATAGGCGGCATACCGTGTCAAACTTGGGTGGTGGTTCTCAGTTTTGTGTATACCTAAGAATCACCTGGGGGCCTGTTAGTAGATAGATTCCTGGGACCTATCTCCAGAACTTCTGACTCAGTAAGTCTGAGGTGGAGACAGAGATCTGTTTAGTTAGACAGCAGTTAACTTCTCAGATGCATCTGAGGCAGGCGGTCCCCAGGCCACAGCTACACAACACTGCCAAGGAAGCTACTTCGGGAATTCCGAGAGGGGCACACTTGGATCTGAACCTCTCCTTTTCCAGTAATCTAATGAGATTGACTGATTCCATCTTTTTTCTTGAAGACCAAAGTGGAGGACTGGGTTCTCTTTATCAGCAGATTCCTATAGAGAGAGGCAAAGGTCACAGCCAGGTACAAAGAAGTCACCTAAAAAAACTTTAGGTAAAAATAATCCTCTAGGACATTATCAAAAGGCAAGGTTAATGAATCAAAGTAAAAACAACTGGTAATATGATATTTAATAAAGTTTAAATTATGGTTCTACCACTTACTAGATATAAAACACGGACAAGTAACCAACATCCCTGAGCCTCAAAGTCTGCAAAATGAAGATAATAGCTCCTTCCCACATTTGTTACCCCATATAAATGGGACAATGTAGGCAAAAAATGTGCCTGGCATTCAAATATCTGTCAAATCCCATCTAAAAAACTTGAACCTCAAAAAGGATTCCAGACTGTCAAAATATAACCACAAAGATTGGTATTGGTACTTCTGTTCCTCTCCAAGACCAGTTGAAGAAAACAAGAAAGTCAAGAATGATGAAATAAAGATAAATACCAGGACCAATGAAAGATTTTACAATTATATCACTTATATTATACATCCAGAAGACAACTCTCTATAAGAAGAAAATAAGTTTAAAGACTGAGTTAAAAAAGAAATGTAACTATTAATTATCTATAAGAAAAATAATTAGGCCAGGCGTGGTGGCTCACGCCTGTAATCCCAGCACTTTGGGAGGCTGAGGCTGGCAGATCACAAGGTCAGGAGTTCGAGACCAGCCTGGCCAACATAGTGAAACCCTGTCTCTACTAAAAATACAAAAAAAAATTAGCTGGGCATGGTGGTGCGGGCCTGTAGTCCCAAGTACTCAGGAGGCTGAGGCAGGAGCAGGAGAATTGCTTGAAGCCGGGAGGTGGAGGAGGTTGCAGTGAGCCAAGATCATGCCCCTGCACTCCAGCCTGGGAGACAGAGCAAGACTCCTTCTCAAAAAAAAAAAAAAAGAAAAAGAAAAAGAAAAAGAATAAAAATCACAAATCACAAGACTTCTTTTTTTTTTTTTTTTTTTTTGAGATGAGTCTTGCTCTGTTGCCCAGGCTGGAATACAATGGCATGATCTTAGCTCACTGCAACCTCTGCCTCCCAGGTTCAAGCGATTCTCTTGCCACAGCCTATCAAGTAGCTGGGATTACAGGTGCCTGCCACCACACCTGGCTAATTTTTGTATTTTTAGTAGAGACGGGGTTCCACCCCGTTGGCCAGGCTGGTCTTGAACTCCTGACTTCAGGTGATCCGCCCACCTCGTCCTCCCAAAGTGCTGGGATTACAGGTGTGAGCCACCGCGCCTGGCCTAAAACCACAATACTTTTTTTAAAAAAAGACTAAGATGATGGGAGTATCCTAACTTCTCGCCTGAGTATATAGTAGCAAAGGAGATTTTATGATAACGAATATGAAGAATGATAACATATGTTGAGCAATGAATGTTTAATAATCCTCAAGTTTTAGGTTCTAAATAATGCAATAACAAAGACATGCAAAAAGAGAAAAATGAAAATATAATTGCATTTGGATTCCTTGGCACTTTATTAACTAGCTAATTTTCAAAAGAGAGAAAATAGGGAAAATTAAATGGTAAATGAAAAAGAAAAGCAATTTTTAAGCAAATTATATTTTTAATACTTGTTCAAAAGACAGTCAGTAAAGTTTAATATGTATTCCTTATTAAATCTTTGCAATTAGATGCAGATATTTTTATTCTCAAATAAGAAGAACAAAATGTACTTAATCTGAAGAACCAATGTCATACTTATTGGAGATGCACGAGACTTGCTTCTCTGGAAAACAGAACAGAAGGTTCACCCATGTCTGTTTTTCTCAATGTGGTACTAGAAATGCTGACAATAGCTGTTTGGGAAAGGCATAAATAATTAGGGTAGGCCAGGTGCAGTGGCTTACGCCTGTAATCCCAGCACTTTGGGAGGCCGAGGTGAGTGTATCACGAGGTCAGGAGTTCAAGACCAACCTGGACAAGATGGTGAAACCCCATCTCTACTAAAAATACAAAAAATTAGCCAGGCATGGTGGTGGGCGCCTGTAATCCCAGCTACTCCGGAGGCTGAGGCAAAGAATTGCTTGAACCTGGGAGGCGAAGGTTACAGTGAGCCAAGATCATGCCACTGCACTCCAGCCTGGGCAACAGAGCGAGACTCCATCTTAAAAAAAAAAAAAAAAAAACCGAAAAAAACAATTAGGGTAAAAAATACTACTCCAGTTGACGTGATTATTTATCTGAATGTTCCAAGAATAGTATCCCCTAAATTACTATAAATAATACATGAATTTAGCAAAGATGTGAGCCAAAAGAAACCCACATAGAACAATTGCGTTTCTGTCAGTGAAATATAGCTGCATATTAATAAAAACATAAAATAAAAGAGAGAAAGATTCCATTCATAACCACGAACCAAAAATAAATTTGCTTGAGGATTTTCTTTAAGCCACAAGATTTATTCCAAGAAAGTTACTAAACTATAGCAGTAAAAGTAAAGGAGGATATGAATAAGTGGAGAGATACACCAGATTATTATTGGAAAAATACATATATAATAAATGTGACAGTGTTTCAAAGTTAATAGATTTCATGTAGTACCAGTTTAAGGCCTTACAAAATAATTACAGAAGCAGAATAATAGATAACAATCTTAGAAAATAAGAAAAGATACAAAAAAAGTAGGGCTTTCACAGGATTTAAAATGTATTACAAAAAGTACATTGATCAAAACTTTCTTAGCACCACAGCCAGGGTGGCACTGATAAGCTAAGTCAGATCCTGCCTTTCCTTTGTGCAAAACCATCCTAGACTTCTCATCTGCCTCTGAGTAAACACCACAGTCCTTACAATGCATGACCTGGCCCTGCAAGATCTGCTCTCGCCCTTCCATGTCTGGTCACCTCTCCTGTTCTGTCTGTCACTTATTCCACTGCAGTCACCTTGGCCTCTCACTAGGCCTGAATGCATTAGGCACTTTCCAGGTCACAAAATTTGATGTTCCTTTATACTTGCGCTTCTGTCTGGAACCCTTTTTTCTCCCACATATTTGCATACTTGTTCCCTCCCCTCCTTTGGGCTTTGCTAAAACAGCATCTTCTCAATGAGGTCCTCCTTAAGATTCCCAGAGAAAAGTTCAACTTTTCATTCCCATGCCAGGCTCCCTATCACTTTTTCCTGTCTTATTTATTATTTATTTATCCATCTGTTATCTATTTTTAAATTGTCTCCACCACCACCAGAATGATATAGCTCCATGAGGGCAGGGATGTTTGTTTTGTTAACAGCTGTATCCTTCGCACCCAGAATGGTACCTGGCACATAGTAGGTGCTTAACACATATTTGTTGAATGAATGAATGAATGAATGAGATAGAACAGAAATTCCTGTGGCACTGCTATTCTATTTTATAAACTTAATTTATGACAAAGCAGAAGTAACACAAGGCAGAAAGAGTTCATTGCTTGCTAATTGTTTGAGCAATGAAACAATAAAAAGGGAATTTAATATCTTAGAGTAATACATGGCATTATGTATAATAATACAGCCAGGCATCGTGGCTCAGGCCTGTAATCCCAGCAATTTTGGAGGCCTAGGCAGGCAGATTGCTTGAGTTCAGGAGTTCAAGACCAGCCTGGGCAACATAGTAAAACCCCATCTCTACAAAAAAAAAATACAAGAATTAGCCAGGCATGGTGGCACATATCTGTAACCACAGCTACTCAGGAGACTGAGGTGGAAGGATCACTTGAGCCCAGGAGGTCGAGGCTGCAGTGAGGCCAAGACCATGCCACTTCGCTTGAGCCTGGGCAACAGAGTGAGACCCTGTCTCAAAAAAAAAAATAATAATAATAATATAAATTTCAGATGATTAGAGTAAAACCTACACCAGTTTTTGTTTGTTTGTTTGTTTGTTTGTTTAAGACGGAGTCTCACTCTGTCACCCAGGCTGGAGTGCAGTGGCGTGATCTCGGCTCACTGCAACCTCTCACTCCTGGGTTCAAGTGATTCTCCTGCCTCAGCCTCCCAAGTAGCTGGGATTACAGACATGTACCACCACACCCTGCTAATTTTTGTATTTTTAGTAGAGAGGGGGTTTCACCATGTTGGCCAGGCTGGTGTTGAACTCCCTACCTCAAGCGATCTGCCAGCCTCGGCCTCCCAAAGTGCTGGGGTTACAGGCGTGAGCCAACGCACCCAGCTTAGTATTTTTTTAAATGGGAAAAATAACATGGTTATCTCATGTTTGAAGGGGTCGTAAATGTCTGACTATTGAAGAAATGAAAAAAATTTATTAAGGACAAGGTAGAGAAATATAAACATATATTATTATTATTATTATTGTTATTTAGACAGGGTCTCACTTTGTCCCTCAGGCTGGAGTGTAGTGGCACAATCTTCGTTCACTGCAGGCTTGACCTCCTGGGTTCAAGCGATCCTCCTGCCTCAGCCCCAGAAGTAGCTGGGACTAAAGGTACATACCACCACGCCCAGCTAACTTTCATATTTTTTTGAAGAGATGGGGTTTCACCATGTTGGCCAGCCTGGTCTCGAACTACTGACCTCAAATGATCTGCCCGCCTCACCCTCCCAAACTGCTGGGATTACAGGCGTGAGCCACCACACCTGGCCAAATATATAAAGATTACTCTGAACTTTACAGCAGCTACATACAAGACTATGCTATAGAAATAAAAGATGTGACAAATATTAAAAGCTTATCCCCAAGTAGAAAACAATAGATGGAGAAAATACTGGCTTGTGTCTGGATTCTACTCTGTAAATTGTCAAAGGAGAGGAACAGTTTATTCCCCCCAAAAAGGAAGAACAATTATCACATAAAAAAATACAGCCTTGAAAGTAATAAAGAGAAGCCCATTTAAACAACTTTAACATATCATTCTAGAACTATTAGACTAGCAAAAAGCTAGTAAAAGTAATAAATCCCATGTTAACAGAACTGTGGGGAAACAGGTACTTATATGTTGCTGGTGATAATGTGAACTTGTGCAATCTCTTAAACAATAAAAGGATATGCATCAAAGGCAGTAAAAATGCTCATATCTTTTGGAGTATTTATTCTGTTTTTGGAAGCTTATCTACAAGGAAGTAAATAAACCAAAAATTAAGCAAACAAAAAAAAATCAATCTGTTTCATACTGTGTAAAAAAGTGAAACTTGAAAATGACTCAGGTGCCAAATAATAGAGGAAATTCTAAGCAACTTTTCTTATAATAACACACTGGACAATTAAGAATGAAAATCTGGGGACTTTTTTTAACATGAAAGAATGTGAATGTCAACACAGCAGTGCTACCACCTGAGATGTTGAAGTGTGATTTTTCTGTAATAAAGCCAAGAGAGGTCACCCCTGAGATCAGAATTCTAATCTTTGGAACAATGCGCTGCCCAGAACTTACTGTACTAGGTGAAGAATCCTCTTACACAGGGTTATGCCAACCTGCCAGATTGAAAAGTCTAAGAAACTCCCTGGTGAGGCTTGAGGCTTGAAGTAACGATTTCATTTCACTTCATGGACGCTATTAACTCGGCCTCATGGACACACTTGTCCTGCAGTAAGATGAAGAGAGGAGGGTGCCCAGGCAGGCAGGACTGAAAGGTTCAGTTTCATTAGGAACTGGGTGCCCAAAGGAGGAAGCTGTAAGCCACGCTCCTGGAAAGTAGAGAACTTCGCAGGGAGCATGGGACCAGGGAGGAAGTGCCTTCTAAGGCTGCAGGAGTGGCAGGCCTTGGGACGGGAAAATTCCAGAGTAAAGATCCATTGTGAGGGAATTTCGCCTGTGTGAACCCAGAGCCTTCTGTAAATGCCACGGGATGCCTGAAAGTTCTAAACAGGAAACATGGCAAGACGGAGAGGAGCTACAATTTATTTGTCCAACTCATAATGCAGGTAAACAGGAAGATGAGATGTTTTGCCTACCTGCATGCCATGCCAGACTGCCTGGGTTTGAATTCTTTTTTTTTTTTTTTTTTTTTTTTTTTTTTAGATGTAGTCTCACTCTGTCACCCAGGCTCAAGTGCAGTGGCATGATCTTGGCTCACTGCAACCTCCATCTCCTGGATTCAAGCAATTCCCCCTGCCTCAGCTTCCCGCGTAGCTGGGATTACGGGTGTGCACCACCATGCCCACCTAATTTTTGGATTTTTAGTAGAGAAGGGGTTTCACTACGTTGGCCAGACTGGTCTGGAACTCCTGACCTCAGGTGATCCACCCGCCTTGGCCTCCCAAAGTGCTGGGATTACAGGTGTGAGCCACCACACCCAGCCCTGGCTTTGAATTTTGACTCTACCATTTATTAGCTGTGTGACCTTGGGCAAGTCACTTACACGCCTGTGGCTCAGTTTAACAACAGCACCTTCCTCTTAGGGATGCAGTGAGGTTTAGGTGCAACAAAACAGGGAAAGCTCCCACATTGGGATTCTCATTAACTGCAAGCTCCTATCATTATTTTGTACTAAGGTTATCTTGCCATGCAGCAAAGTGCCTGGGAGCACAGCTCAGAGAATAAGAAAGTTTGGATCAGATAGAAGCATCAGGAATTTATAACCAAGAGCTACCCAAAACAGTGAGGATCTGGGAGGAGGAAGAAAGAAAGCCTTCAAGTTATTTACACTGGAGATGCTAGGCTGGCGTGGGAAGGTTGGATGCCCTAAGCCTTCAGGTCTCAGTTGGGCTACCAGGCAGGTTTCTCCCCTCACCAGAGGCCGTCTCACAGTCAGCCTTGGGACCCTGGCTAGAGGCAGTTCTCCTTGAATTGCTTCGAGTGAGGCAGGACTGGTCCCAAATGGAGTCATGGGGTCATTGGGCACTAGACCACGGGTGCCTTGAAGACCTCACTGTGTGAGAGACAGATTGAGAAACACATCCAAGAATTTAGGAAGTAGATAGTGCTTTTTTTTTTTTCTTCCTGCTGATTGCCTGCCCATTGGTTGAGAGTGGGTAGTGTCAAAATTAAATCCTGATGCTTGTGCATTTTCCCTGGGAAAAGTTACAGATTTCGCTGGCTGAGGCAGTGGATGGGCGGGCAAGTGCAGGGACTAAGTGAAGGGGTCTGGAGGAGGGAAGAAATGTCTTCAGGGCATTTTTCGGAAGCTTTGCTGTGCAATGTGTTGTATAATCTTCTCCTCTATGTCCCAAGATAATTGTGCTAAAGACTGACATTTATTTTAAGGCTTTAAAAAAAAAGTTAGCTTTAGATTTCTTTGGAATGTTGTGCTGTGATGCTCCCTAAGGCACAAGCAATAGAAGTCTGTAAGTATGGGATTGTTCATTCACACAATCATTATTTATTAAGCACCTACTGTATCTGAGGAGCCATGTTAGGAGACGAGAATAGAGAGGTAGATAAGGTACAGTCTTAGTCTTCAAGTTGCTCACAGTGTACTGGAGATACAGATAAATATACAAATAATAGGTAAATTGTTGGTGTAATAATAATTGCGGTAGGCTGAATAATGTCTCCCAAACAGATCCAGGTCCTCGTGTCTGGAAACTAGGAATGCCATCTTACCCAGGTGGGCCCTAAAGGTGATCAGAAGAGTCCTTATAAGAGGAAGGCAGGGGGAGATCTCCCCACAGAAGAGAAGGCAATGTGATGGCAGAAGCTGCAATTGGTGTGATGAGCGTTGAAGACGGAGGAAGGGAGCGCACACCAAGGAATGCAGGAGGCCTCTAGAAGCTGAAAAAGTCAAAGAAACAGATTCCCCCTCAGAGTGTCTGGAAGGAACCAGCCCGACCCACACCTCGACTCTGGCCCACTGAGACCAATTTCAGACTTCTGAACTCCAGATATTTAAGATAATAAATTGAATCAATTTGTGGGGGTTTTTTGTTTGTTTTTGAGACAGGGTCTCACTTTGTTGCCCAGGCTGGAGTGCAATGGTGCCATATTGGATCATGGCAACCTCTGCCTCCCTGGTTCAAGCAATTCTTCTGCCTCAGCCTCCTGAGTAGCTGGGATTACAGGTCTGAGCCATCACGCCCGGCTAATTTTTGTATTTTTAGTAGAGACCAGGTTTTACCATGTTGGCCAGGCTGGCCTAGAACTGCTGACCTCAAGTGATTCACCCACCTTGACCTCCCAAAGTGCTGGGACTACAGGTGTGAGCCACCACACCCGGCCAAATTTGTGTTGTTTTAAGTGACTAAGTTTGCAGCAATTAGTTATATCGGCAATAGGAAACTAATACATTAGTGTTTAGTGAAAGAAGAGGCACAGAATGGAATGGACATCCTGACAATTGCCCTGCAGATATGCAGCTCATCCAGGTGTCAGAAGGGAATACAGAGAAGTGGTGCTATTGACTCTTGCCATAAAGGAATCTGGGAAGGACGTAAAGAACATCTTTACCTAGCACTGTGAGGTGTGGAGAGGTGAAGGGATTGGCCAGGGTCATACATATTCATTTACTGAGCATCTGCTCTGAACCAGCTCCTGTGTTGGTTTTGATGGGATATGAAAATAATTAAGGCAGGGTTCTTGCCCTCAAGGAACTTCCAGTCCAGCAGGGGAGAGCTAGCATAAAAGCTCTGGGTTATCATGACTTTGGACCAGTTATTTAACCTCTTTGGGTTTAGGTCCTTCTATGTAAACGATAGAAAGAGCTGCTTCACCAGATGTGAGGACCAAGTGATAAAATATATGCCAACTTGCTTTGTAATCTGTAAAGCATTATAGAAATAAAAGGTGTTATTGTAATTAGGTATAAGAAAAACAAGACACTCACTTAAGTAGCTTGAAGGCATATGAGGAAGACATAAAAAAACCACAAGACACTCACTTAAGTAGCTTGAAGGCATATGAGAAAGACATAAAAGACATACTGGAGATTCAGATGGAGTGACCGAAGAGATGAACTCAGCTAGCAGGATCAACACAGCTTTCTAGAGGAAGGACATTTTAGCAGGTTGTGGTGGGACAGGAAGTAGATGTGAGAAGGGGAAGGGGAGCGAGAGCCCAAGGAAGGGCAAGGAGGAAGAACATTTACTAGATGTGAATGTGAATGTGAGTGGCTGGAGATGAGGTTAAACGGTTAAATGATAGATTGGGCCCTGATTGTGAAGGGATAACCTGCGTCCTTTGTAGGTGACTTGAACCTCTAGATGATGAGGAATTTCAGTGGTGGGGAAGTTGGCACCTTCATAGGGCTAAATCTTAACTTTTCCATAAGCCCTTCTTAATCTTGCTTCCACCACCTCATCCCAGCTCCTCATTAAGGTGTCCAGAGCAGAACCCAGGTTGTGTGGCTCCAATCGCTGCTCCTTTCTCCATCAGTTCTATTTCAACACAAGGCAGAGTTAGGAGCTGAAACTTGTTCGTGTTTTTTTTCCCTTTAAAAAATACTGTTGGAGTTTTTTTGTTTTGTTTTTGTTTTTTGTTTTAGAAAATTACTCATTGTTGGCCAGCGCGGCGGCTCATGCCTGCAATCCCAGCACTTTGGGAGGCCGAGGCGGATGGATCACCTGAGTTCAGGAGTCTGAGACCAGCCTGGCCAACAAGGTGAAACCCTGTCTCTACTAAAAATACAAAAATTAGCCAGGTGTGGTGGTGGGTGCCTGTAATCCCTGCTACTCTGGAGGCTGAGGCAGGAGAATCGCTTGAACCAGGGAGGTGAAGGTCGCAGTAAGCTGAGACTGCGCCATTGCACTCCAGCATGGGCAACAAGAGCGAAACTCCGTCTCAAAAAAAAAAAAAAAGGAAAACAAAAAGAAAATTGCTAATTGTTAAATCATGCAAAGGATGAAGACAATAGTTTCTGGGACAGATGAGCATTCACTGTGAGCCAAAAAGCCAAATGCTGTTTAAAGTACATTCTACTTGGACCTCTGCTGATATTCTCATATCGAATAACATTGTGCTGAAAAATTGGTGGAGAATACTTGCACTAGAACAAAAATTCTGGTTCAGGGTTTGGTTCTTGGTTAAAAAATAAACTATGGGAGGCCCAGGCGGGCGAATCACGAGGTCAGGAGATCGGGACCACCCTGGTTAACATGGTGAAACTCCATAAAAAATTAGCCAGGCATGGTGGCGGGGGCTTGTAGTCCCATCTACTTAGGAGGCTGAGGCAGGAGAATGGTGTGAACCTGGGAGGTGGAGCTTGCAGTGAGCTGAGATTGCGCCACTGCACTCCAGCCTGGGCGACACAGCAAGACTCCATCTCAAAAAATAAATAAATAAAATAAAATAAAAATAAAAAATAAAAAAGGGGAATAATTGTTCTGGAAGTTGTATTCGTCTTCTCTTTCCATTTTGCTCTTATCAGCTCTACAGACGTTAACTGAGCGCCTTCTCTCTGCTGGTCTGTGTGGTGGGTGGTAGGCAGGCCCTGTGAATGGAGTTCCAGTCTGGTGATGAGGGAGTGTCAGATGACGTTCATCTACCTCAGTATTTGAGCTTTTAACTCAAAGAGTTATGACTTTTAAGGAAGATTCTAAAGCCCACTTAAATTGTCTCCTCCTCTATGTATTCTTCCCTGATAATTTGCTAGAAGGACTCTCTCTTTCTCTTTTTCTGTCCCTCGGCCTCACTCCCTTCTCCATACCCTTTCCTCTAGGTAGGAGTAATCTTTTATTCTACATCTCCCAAGACAGTTAAGATTTCAAATATTTTACCCCACAATCCCTACATTACAGTGACATGCAAATGTTTTGACAACCGAGCAACAGCTTCTGAAATACCTGTGTCTCCCAAATGATAAAAACTACAACTTGGATGGTGCCATTTTCCAGGACAGTTTAGAAGTAAAAACTGTGCTATTATCACCCTCAATTTACAGATGAGGAAACTGAGTCACAGAGAGATTAAATTATTTACCCAAGGTCACTTCGGTCAGATCTTGTGGCTCAATTTTTGGCTCAGAATATTTGGTTCCCAGAACTGCTTATCATCTCTCTCCCAGTCCTGAGACACATGAACTCTCTTTCCTCCCTGGCCTTGTCTGAAAGCTTTGAATTCACAAAACATAGAAGGTAAAAGAGTAAAAAGCTGTCTACAAAGAATCGTAATGACATGGAAAAATGTTCATGATTATGACATTATGTGAAAAATCAATACTGTACATTCATTATGATATCAACTATGTAAAGATATAAACATACTATTAAAATACTAGAAGGAAATACAACAGAATGTTGACAGTAGTTATTCCTGAACGGTGGGGTTAAGAGTGATTTTTTTTTTTTTTTTGAGACGGAGTCTCACTCTGTCACCCAGGCTGGAGTTCAGTGGCACAATCTCAGCTCACTGCAACCTCCGCCTCCCAGGTTCAAGTAATTCTTGTGCCTCAGCCTCCCAAGTAGCTGGGATTATAGGCATGTACCAGCACACCCGGTTGATTTTTGTATTTTTAGTAGAGATGGGGTTTCACCATGTTGGCCAGGCTGGTCTCCAACTCCTGACCTCAGGTGATCCACCCACCTTGGCCTCCCAAAGTGCTGGGATTACAGGCGTGAGCCACCGCGCCCAACCAAGAGTGATTTTTATATTCCTATTTATAGTTTTCTGTATTTTCCTATTTATCTATTATCAGCTCATGCTAACTTTATAAAAAGAAAAAAAGTTTTAAAATAAATCATCCACTTAAAGGAAGACATGAACACCATAGAAGAGACTGGTTGATTGAATGGTCGTCCTAGTGATCTGTGGTCTCCCAAGGGTGGAGCGGCATGATGAGTAGATTTGTGTATGTGACACATTGCTGCAATTAGATGGTCTATATGTGGGGATATAGATTTAAATTAGTACTTATGAATGAGGAAACAAAAAATGTCTCTTCTTAGAGTTTAAATGGTTTATAGAATTTGGAGGAAACCAGTCCAGAAAAGATTAGAGTGTCAGAGCTGGAAAGGGGCTTCAGAGATCCTAAAATCTAATCCTCTTTTCTTACAGATCAGTATCTGATGCCTCCTTTGTTCAGGGTATTGATGTAAGTTAACATCGACCAGGAAGGAGAAGAAGTTTGAAATCAGAAATGGAAATCTCACATCTTCCTCTGTCCTGGTCAAATTTCAAGTCTGGCCTTGCTGTCCTGGTGGCAGGACCCTTGGGCATGCCTCCCATAGCTGCTACACTAGTCTAGCCCTGCTGGAGATCTTTGCTGCTAGAGGGATCGCGCCTCTGTGGCTGTGTGAGTGATTTGGTCTCATGGTGAACGATTTGACAGAGGGCACAGGGCAGTGAGACTGGGCTTTCTGAAGACTCAAGTCTACCGGCCAGACCAGCTGAACCAAAGGATCTTCTCTCTTGGCCTTCCTAATGAACCCTTCTCCACTCTTGCCAGGCTCCCGTGACCAGCAGACTAATTTCTGTGACCAAAATAACCACTCAGAGTCATCAAACAACCAGTGACCAACCAGCAACGGACTAGCAATTTGTTCTATGACCACACTGTTTAGTATGTTTAGATCTTGCCTCAAGGTAGCATTTTGCCATTCTGTGGATCAGCAGTCCCCAGCCTTTTTGGCACCAGGGACTGGTTTCGTGGAAGACAATTTTTCCACGAACCAGGGAGCGGGGTATGGTTTCGGGATGATTCAAGTGCATTACATTTATTGTGCATTTTATTTCTATTATTATTAAATTGTAATATATAATAAAATAATTATACAACTCACCGTAATGTAGAGGGAGTGGGAGCCCTGAGCTTGTTTTCCTGTAACTAGACAGTTCTATCTGGGGGTATGGGAGACAATGACAGATCATCAGTCATTAGATTCTCATAAGGAGTGTGCAATCTAGATCCCTCACATGTGCAGTTCACAATAGGGTTCGTGCTCCTATGAGAATTTAATGCCGCTGCTGATCTGACAGGAGGCCGAGCTCAAGTGGTAATGCCAGCAATGGGGAACGGTTGTAAATACAGATGAAGCTTTGCTCACTGGCCCACTGCTCACCTCCTGCTGTGCGGCCTGGTTCCTAACAGTCTATGGACTGGTACCAGTTCCTGGCCCTGCTGTGGATGACTTCAGAAAAATCACAACTTCATTACAAAAATACAAGTTTTATAAAATATTTTTTCAGATTACAAAAGTAATATAAATGTATTATTAAAAATTGGAAAATGTAGAAGGAATAAAGAAAGAAATTAAATCACCCATAATTCTAACTCTTAGTAATAGCCTCCATTAACACAGTCATTTTTCCTTGCAATTAATGGTTCCTTCTAATCTTTTCTCTATGCACAGATATATGAATTACCTTATTTATTTATTTATTTTTTGAAACAGAGTCTTGCCCTGTCGCTGAGGCTGGAGTGCAGTGGTGTGATCTTGGTTCACTGCAAACTTCACCTTCCAGGTTCAAGTGACTCTTGTGCCTCAGCCTCCTGAGTAGCTGGGATTACAGATGTGCATCACTATGCCTAGCTAATTTTTGTATTTTTAGTAGAGATAGGGTTTCATCATCTTGGCCAAGCTGGTCTCGAACTCCTGGTCTCTAGTAATCTGCCCACCTTGGCCTCCCAAAGTGCTGGAATTACAGGCATGAGCCACTGCGCCCAGCCCCATGTGTATTTTCTATTCTCATTTATTCCTTAACATTATATGATTAGCATTTCCTATATCACTCAGTATTCTTTAAAAACTATGACCGGTAATGATTGCATAAAATTCCACTGTAAATGATGAACTATTATTATATAACTATTCTCCTAGTATCAGACATTTAAGGTGTTTTCAAGGAGAAACTGGTTTTATATAACCTTCTGATCAAAGTATACAACAGCACCTATGAAGTGTTCTTACAAAAAAAACTGATCCAGAACCTGATTAAATCTATAGATTGAATTTCCAAATTTGTAGAAAATATAAGTGACAGAGGAACATGTTAGTGACACTTTGAGGCTGCAACCAAAAAAATTCAGATTCTGGGAAACTCTATGGGACAAATAAACAAGTTTTTCATCAGATAAACTGCTGAGGGAAAGAGATGAGGGGAAGGGGACCTATAGATGAAAAGTGTTAAGAAACATATTGACTAATTGCAATGTATGAATATTGGATCCATATTCAAACAAACTTAAAAAAATTTGAGACAAATTATTGGATGACATTAAGAGATCATTAATTTTTAGAAGTGATGAGTATTGTAGTTATGTTTTTAAAAACCAATCTTTATCTTTTAAAGATTCATACTGAAATCATTATGTTTGAATGGGTATATGTGGGATTTGTTTCAAAATAATGAGGTAGCGGTAGGGAATAGTGTGTGGTAACATAGATGGATGAATATTGGCTTAATTGTTCAAGCTGAGTGATGAGTACATGGGATTTCATTTTACTATCTGTTTATTTTGGTACTTTTTTTTTTTTGAGACAGGATCTTGCTCTGTTGCCCAAGCAGAAGTGCAGTGGCATGATCTCAGCTCACTGTAAGATCACATGATCTTGCAGCTCACTGCAAGAGCCTCCTGGGCTCAAATGATCCTCCTGCCTCAGCCTCCTGAGCAGCTGGGACTACAGGCATGCATCACCACACCCAGCTAATTTTTGTATATTTTGTAGAGGGAGGTTTCATCATATCACCCAGGGCTGGTCTCAAACTCCTGGACTCAAGCAATCTACCTGCCTAAGCCTCCCAAAGTGCTGGTATTACAGGTGTGAGCCACTGTGCCCAGCCGGTACATGTTTTATATTTGCCACAATTAAAACTTAGAAAAGAAACAAAGGAAAAGCCAGCATTTCTGATAGCCATGTGCTGAGCTGAGCTGTGGAAGAAAGAGTCCTGAGTAAGATAGACCTCACTCTAATCCCAACTCTCACATTAACTGGCTGTGTGTCTTTGAGCTGTTTACCTAACCTCTCTGAGCCTCAGAGCCCTCACTTCTAAAACTGATATTATAAAGCCTGCCTCACAAGGTTGTTGTGAGGAGAAAACATATTTTCTGGGAAAGGGCATGCAAAGCTAAGGAATGCTGGATATTTTATGTTAAGGTATGAGTAAAGCGTAGGGCTGAGGAACAAAGAGGATATGCATACCTCCCCTCCTCAGGGAGTTCAGGCTCCCCATTTTTTGCTGGTTCCTCGAGAGTGAGGTTTTCATAGAAAAATACTCTGGTGCACCATTTTAATTTTCTTGTCATTTCTTTTATTATATATTTTTGAGTTGTTTTTCTAGTGGTTTCCCTGAAGATTACCATTAGCAACTTAGTTTATAACAATCTAGTTCAAATTAATACCAATTTAATTCCGATAGTACACAAAACTTTGCTCCTATTTGGCTCTGTACCTCTCTCTCCTTTATGCTGCTATTAACACAAATTATATCTTTATACATTTTTCCCATTGACATAGATTTATCGTTAATGCTTTATGAATTTTTTTAATCAAATAAGAAAAAATACGTTTATACTGTCTTTTATGTTTACCTACGTAGTTACGTTTACTGGTGGTTTTATTTCTTCATGTGGATTCAAGTTACTATCTAGTGTATTTTCAATTTAGCCTGAAGGACCTCCTTGGTATTTCTTTTAGGTTGGATCTGCTTAGTGACAAATTCTCTCAGTTTTTGTTTATCTAGAAATGTCTTAATTCCTCCAACATTTTTGAAGACCAGTTTTGCTGGATATAGAATTCTTGGTTGACACTTTTTTCCCTTCAGCGCTTTGACTATGCCATCTCACTGTCTTCTAGCCTCTCTGGTTTCTGATGAAAAATCAGCTGTGAGCCTTATTGAGCATTCTTTGTATTGAATGAGTTACTTTTATCTTGTTGCTTTCAAGAATCCCTCTTTGATGATGGTCACCAGAGGCTGTGAACAGTAGTCAGGGCAGGGGTGAACAGGGATGGGTAATGGGTACAAAAATGTAGTTAGATAGAATCAATAAGATCTAGTATTTGACAGCACAGCAGGATGACTACAGTCAACAATAATTTATAGTACATTAAAAAATAACAAAAAGTATAATTGGAATGTTTGTAGCAAAAAAACATGATAAATGCTTGAGGTGATGGATATCCCATTTACCCTGATGTGATCATTATGCATTGTATGCCTGTATCAAAATATCTCATGTATCCCA
The DNA here is from genome assembly GCF_000001405.40 of Homo sapiens. Lineage (NCBI taxonomy): Eukaryota > Metazoa > Chordata > Mammalia > Primates > Hominidae > Homo > Homo sapiens. The sequence continues at coordinate 109,937,515 of NC_000001.11, read as the reverse complement.
AAAATATATACACCTACTATGTACCCACAAAAATTAAAAATTAAAAAAATATTCCCTCTTTGTCTTTTGAAAGTTTGATTGTGATGTGTCTGTGTCTCTCTTTGAGTTGATCCTACTGAGAGTACATGGAGCTTCTTGGATGTGTAGATTAATGTCTTTCAGTAAATTTGGAAAGTTTTCAAGCATTATTTCTTCAAACATTCTTTTTTTTTTTTTTTTTGAGATGGAGTTTTGCTCTTTCACCCAGGCTGGAGTGCAGTGGTGCAATCTCAGATCACTGCAACCTCTGCCTCCCAGGTTCAAGTGATTCTCCTGCCTCAGCCTCCCGAGTAGCTGGGATTATAGGTGCCTGCCATCATGCCTGGCTAATTTTTGTATTTTTAGTAGAGGCAGGGTTTTGCCATGTTGGCCAGGCTGGTCTCAAACTCCTGACCTCAGGTGATCCACCCACCTCAGCCTCTCATAGTGCTAGGATTACAGGAGTGAGCCACCACACCTGGCCGAAATCTTCTTTTTATTCCTTTCTGTCTCTCCTCTCATTCTTGGACTCCCATTATGTACATGTTGGTATGCTTGAAGATGTTCCACAGGCCTCTGTGGCTCTGTTTATTTTTTCTGATCTTCATTGTTTCTTTGTTATTTCTCTTCCTCAGACTGGGTAATCTCAGTTGAGATTAACTTCAAGTTCATAGATTCTTTCTTTTGGCTGTTCAAATCTACTATTAAGCCCCTCTGGTGAAATGCTCATTTCAGTTATTGTACATTTGGCTCCTTTTTTTTTTTAGACAGAGTCTCACTCTGTTGTCCAGGCTGGAGTGCAGTGGCACAGTCTTGGCTCACTGCAACCTCTGCCTCCCAGGTTCAAGCAATTCTCCTGCCTCAGCCTCCTGAGTAGCTGGGACTACAGGCATGCACCACCACGCCTAGTTAATTTTTGTATTTTTAGTAGAGACAGGGTTTCACCATGTTGGCCAGGATGGTCTTGATCTCTTGACCTCATGATCCACCTGCCTTAGCCTCCCAAATTGCTAGGATTATAGGCGTTCCTTGTCTATATGTTCTTATCTTTATTGATATTTTCTATTTGGTGAGACATTCTTATATCTTCTTTTAGTTCTTTATACATGTTTTCTTTTAGTCTTTGAACACTTTGGAATACCTCATTTAAAATATTTGTCTAGTAAATCTAATGTTGGGGCTTCCTCAGAAGCAGTTTCTATTGATTGTTTTTTCCCCCCTGTGTATAGGGAATACTCTCTGTATCTTTACATGCCTCACGTTTGTTGTTGTTGTTGGAAGCTAGACATTTAAAATAATATAATGCATCACCTCTGAAAGTCACATTTTTACCCCCTTCCCCAGGATTTGTTGTTGTTGTTGTTGTTAATACAGAGAAATACTCTGAACATAGCAGAGGACTTGGGCCCAAATACCCAAAGAGCTTCAAACTTGAAACTCTTCTTCAGGAGAGTAGACAGAGACAGTTTCCTGCATGTGGGCATGGAGCTCTTTTCAGGAAAACCAACATGGAAAGCGTACCAATAGTGCCCTCTGATAGTCACACCTCTTGGAAGATCCCCCAAATATCACAGGCCAGGTGAGGGCCCTGCTCCTACCCGTGAGATTCCTCAGCCCCTAGTCTTTGGCCTGTCTCCCCAGAATCACTAGAGCATATTGAGCCTGCAGATGTCACACTTGGTGGTCCTGATCCAGCCTTGCCCATGCAACCCCAGCCCAGGCCTGGACAACCTCCCCTGGAGATCTGGCTGGGTGTGGGAGAACAAATTTCTAGCCCTTTCTTCCGGGAAATCGTAATCAGGCAAAATAAGAATGATGACAAAGCTGCTGCCAGCTGGAGTGATCAACGGCCAGGTGTCACCTGGCTCAATAATTAACCAGGTGGTTGGGATAGGTCCAAAGGGTGGGCAGGAAGGAAACACATGGGTCACAAAGGACTCAAGCCAAGAGAAGCCAGAAGGAGGGACTGACAGTCAAGAGAGGCCTTTTTCAGAGGCCCAGGCAGTGGACACACCACCCAGGAGAGGTCCCTCTTCTTTCCTGGTGGATTTAGGGATAGCAGCAAGACTGAGAAAACAGGAGTCTGTCATAAGCACCTTTTGCCCAGTTTCAGACTACACAATCCTTTTGAGGGGAGGAAGAAGGAGAATTCTAAGGCCCTGGGGACCCTCAAAGCCCACCAAGCTGGCACGAGCTGTCCATTTTGTGCAAGAAGCATTTGTTAAATGTCTGCTAGAGTGTGATGTTATGATGCTGTATTTGAAAACAGCCAGATCTGGCTTCAAATCCAGGCATTGCTACTTGCCAGCTGCTGTGACCTTGGCTGAGTTAAGTTTCTCTAAGCCTTAGTTTCTACATCTACAGATGAGGATATTAGCACCTTGCTTACAGGGCTATTGTAGAATAGAATGTGATTGCATTTTTACAGAGTGCCCCATACATACCAGTAAATAGTAAATAGCCTTCCATTTGATCTTGTTGACAGTCTTGGACAAGGAAGAGGAACAGACCATGCCTCACTGCCTGTAACCCTTATGTGGCTTCCTTTGTCTTAATCTTCCTGAAGGCCTGCAGAGTCCAGCATCCCTGGTCAGGTTCCCTGTTAGGTATCTTCCTAATTCTATTCATACTTTATGACTAGATATTTACTTGTGTGATTGTTTTACTAATACCTGTCTCCTTCACTGACTCTTATTTACCATTTTGTCCTCAGTGTGTGGCAATCAATGGGGAAGTAAATGAATAAATAAGGATGAGGCTCTTGCCTTCACAGACCTCACTAGATGCACACACATGAAGAGGACAAAATAGCAGAGTGGCTGGGGGAAGGTGTCCAAGACTTCAGAGCAGGGATGGGGCCTGTGGACCAGAGAGGCTAAAGTCCAACTTAGGGTTCTCCCCTAGCCCTCCTCCAGGAATTCACTCGACAACTGCCTGACCCAGCCTTCTCCACTGCCCCGATCCATAGCCTCTTCTGACTCAGCCACCCAGTAGTGGAGCTGAGTCAGTATGGACTCTAGATGGTGCCATGGGGGTCAACCTGTGGGCTTTCCTGTGGTCCAGCCGCTTCACCATGGGGCTTTCCAAGCTAGTGTGGTCCACTTGCTCCCTCAGCAGTCCCAGCATTCAGGAGCAGAGCCTGGTCACTCCCCTAATCCTAGAGCCTGAAGAGGGAAACCAGCAAACAAAAGTGCTGCTCTGGCAGAGGAGGCTTTCACTGGGGCAGGGGACATGTGCTCACTGGGAAATGTGGCTTTTTTTCTTCAGGGCTCCCTGGCCACTGCCTTCACCAAATGACTTTAGTGCCTTATTCAAGGGGTCTTTGGACACCCACCCAGGCCCTGCATCTAGTCCTGTCACCAACTCCTTTCTTGCCACGGCCCACAGTCTGCACGAGGTTAACCTCAGGCTTCTTCCTCGTCTCCTCTGATTCACTTTCCTGCCTCTGGCCGGATAGTGGTTTGGGGTTTGGCCGTGGCCTCTGCTTATATAGTCCAAGCCAGAGTTCCTGACCCTGCCTGCTCACCGGCACCCGTAGCAACCCAAGGCCACTTTCCACTCCAGTCTCCTACCTGGCTCTTCTTGTCAGCCAGAAATACCTGAGCAACAAGATCTCTAACTACTCATCCCTGTGGGAAGCACCCAGCTCTGCCACCTTCCTCTGAGAACAGCCAGGCCCTGGTAGCATGCTGGTGCCCAGGGCTTGCCCAGAGGGGAGCTCTCTGTTTGGCTTGGGCACTGTTGGACCAGCTGGCAGGCACAGTATCAATACACACTTGATTCAGGGGCAGCCCTTTGGAGCCCACAAAGTGCTTTTGGGTTTGTCATTTTATTTGAACTGCAGTCCAGGTATACCTGGTTTGCACTCTTCCTTTTTTTTTTTGAGACGGAGTCTTGCTCTGTTGCCCAGGCTGGAGTGCAGTGGCACGATCTCGGCTCACTGCAACTTCTGCCTCCCGGGTTCAAGTGATTCTCCTGCCTCAGCCTCCCAAGCAGCTGAGGTTACAGGCGTGCACCACTATGCCCGGCTAATTTTTGTATTTTTAGTAGAGATGGGGTTCCACCATGTTGGTCAGGCTGGTCTTGAACTCCTGACCTCAAGTAATCAGCCCGCCTTGGCCTCCCAAAGTGCTGGGATTACAGGTGTGAGCCACTGCACCCAGCCACCTGGTTTGTACTCTTAAACTAGTTCTACAGATGAGGAGAAACCTGAGGCTCAGAGAGGTTAAATACTTACTCAAGGTCAAACAGTAAGAGCCAGTGAGAGATTCAAGCCAAGAACCCAATTTCTGTTGTTTTTTGGGTTTTGGTGTTTTTGAGACAGGGTCTTGCTTCATTTCCCAGGCTGAGGTACAGTGGTATGATCTGGGTTGACTGCAGCCTCAACCTTCTGGCTCAAGCTATCCTCCCATCTCAGTCTCCCATGTAGCTGGGACTACTGGTGTGTGCCACCGCATCTGGCTAGTTTTTGTTTGTAGAAATGGAGTCTCATTATGTTGCCCAGGCTGATCTCAAACTCCTGGGCTCAAGTGATCCTCTCACCTCAGCCTCCCTAAAGCGCTGGGGTTACAGGTATAAGCCACCACGCTCAGCCAGTTCTCTGGTTCTCAATTCAAAGCGAATATTGCTCTATAGGTATGATGCTTCCCAAGCAGCCCCTGCAGCACATGAAGCCCAGGAAAGGCCTGCCGAGATTCTCAGGTCTTTCTGGGGGTTCCAGAGAGGCAGCTAAGGGGAAGGGGTCTTTGCTGTCCTCATCACCAATCCTTGCTTAGAGGCTTTGAAGTGTACATTCCATCCACCACAGCCCAGTGATCAGGAAGGGCTCTAACTAGCCCCATTTCTGTCAGAAGCCAGGAAGACTCCTCTGCTGAAAATCCTTCTGCTTGGCCATTGAACAGTAGTTATTAGATACTAATCTCATTTGCTAATACCAATAAGGCCTCTAGAAAAGGCCACCCCTTACGTCTGGTCAGAATTTGCATTATGATGCCTCTGTTCATGCTTTAAGTATTAACCTTTGGCACACAGTTACTGAGCACCTACTGTGTGCCAGATACTCTTAGGCGCTAAGGCACTAGGCGCATGTCCCCCTTTAATAAAAGGAGGGATGTAGCAGTGTCTGCCACTGACCATGGCCTGGTGGGACAGACAGACAAACAGATTCCAAATTCCAAATCTGTAGAAGCACAGGGGAGGAAGGAATTGAACCTGGGTGGGCCTCAGGAGCTTGAGTCAGGCTGGGAAGGCTTCTCAGAGGGGCCTTGAAGGATAAAATGTAAGTTTCTTCAAAAATCTTTTCTGTAGCTCTTTTGATAGAAAGGGAAGAGCCATCTTAAGGGAAATGACAAGGGACAGGGTGGCAGGGGTGAGGGCACAGAAAGGGGTGACTGAGACACCTGAACACCTAGCCCCTGGTCAAATGTGCTTGATGCCAATCTTGGCCCTGTATCCTTGGTCCCTAAGTCCAAGGACCTAATCTTTGGGGTAGCACTGTCCAGTAGAATTTCTGGAATGATGCAAATGTTGTATTTCTGTGCTGTCCAACATGGTAGCCACATGTAGTTACTGAGCCCTTGACATGTGGATAGTACAGGTAAGGAACTGAATGTTTACTTTTATTTCATTCTAATTAATTTAAACTTAAATAGCCACCCTACCTGACAGTGCAGCTCTAGATACTTCTTATCCTGGATCACATTGGAATCACCTGAGATGTCTTTTAAAAGTTCTGACATCTGGTGCCTGAGCCTCACCCCTAAGATTCGATTTTGTTGATCTAGGGTGGGGCTCGGGGATCAGTATTTTTTTTAAACAATCCAGGTGATTCTCCCGGAAGCCAGTGTTGGGAACCACTAATCCAAAGCTGTCTACCACTCCCTCAGGGATGGGGAGGCCCCTCTTGTCATAGCTTTGCCCAGGGTGTATGTTTGGGCCTTCAACTCCTCTGGCCCTGCCTAACACCCCTCTCCCCATGGAAAGCCACACCCTCAGTCTCCTCTCCAGCTCCAGTAGGAAGGTCGAGCCCGAACGAGGGCCCTTACACGGACTCCTGGCTCTCCCCTGCTAACCACACTCACTTCCCAGCCTGGAAACAGAATTCATTCACCTCAGAGTCTGCAAGGACCTAGCCAGCAACCTCTGCCCTGGTCAGCAGGGCTCAGCAGTCAAGGAGCCTTATCCTTGCAGGCCGCCGGGGCCCTTGGACAGAGCCCAACCAGCCATTTTCCCAGGCTGGGCTAGGCTGGGCAGGAGCAGGGGCCAGTGACCAGGCCTGATGTTTGGCCACTTTCTGCCCAATACGAGCAGATATGCAGATGAATGTGTTTGGGACAGCAATAATACAGGAGGTTTTGGTACCAAGACTGAAACTTGGAGAGAACCTTCCTCCCCTGTGTTTTGTGGAAAAAGGTTCTCTGAGCTGGGGTTCATCCGGCAACTGCTGCCCACCCACCCTGATGTTTGCCACCCACACCCCAAAAGCAACTTTCCCACGACTCACATGGCAGCTTGTGCACTTCTTTTATTATTAAATATATAAGCAGCTTCCTATCTTTTAAATAGATATTTAAATGACTTTATATAAAATAATTCACCACTTCCAAGTATAAAAACAAAATCTCACAGTGCGTGAGCCAATGTCCTCTCTTGACTTCTCAGAGAACAGAAGGGGTTCCTGAGCAGGTAGCCTGGGGGGACACCAGAGGTGGCTCTGGGGCTCCTCCTGCTCTGATGCCACCAAGTGCTCAAAAAGAGCTTCTGCAGTGGGTTGGATTGCTTTTTTGACCTTTAAAATATTATATGTTTAAGGTAGGGGGATGAAGGGGGAATGCCTTTTTATTTTTCTTCCATTTAAAAATATGTGTTTTCTAGCATCAAATATAGAGGCTGTGACTAGAAGGCTAAGCCCCATATGCAAGTTCACTGCCCTTCCCTAAGCTGTCGGCATCAGGACAGGGAAGGTGGGGCCAGCCGACCCTCACTTTCCTGGGCAGGAAGGGAAAGTCACGGGGCCCAGCGGCCAGGTAGGGCAGGGTCTCTTAGCGGAGGACAAAGGGCGGCAGGAGAGGAGGCACACAGCAGCACAAAGGAACCCAGGGGCAACTGGCAGCCCTGTCGCTCGTTGCCTAGGCCTCAGAGCCACCACCACAGGCTGGCCACAAAGTGGAGGCCCTCCAGGCATTGGAAGCTGAGGCCTGGCTCTCCTGATTGCTCTCCCACCCTGGCTTGCCTGGTTAGAGGTGATGGTAGAGGGGGTGGGTGAGAGTTGGAGGTCATCACTGCTGACCAAGGTCAGGAGGAAAGAAGGGTGAGAAGTGGATGGGAGCTGGATACCATGCAGGTGGGGCTGAGATGCAGCCCAGTCCAGGGCTCCTGACAGGGATAACCTGTTCAGCCCCAGGTTCCTGTCGGCAGCAGGGAAAGGACACTGCGCTGGGGTTTGGGAGTGCAGACCCTCCCCCAACCTCAGGTGCATACCTATATTTCAAAGGCCCATCTTCAGTCAGAGCTCGCCCTGTAGCCTCTCTGTCTGTGCCCTCCCCTCCCTTGCTCTCTCCCACTAGTCCCTTCCCTCTTGGGAATGTCAAAGTGCAAGATGCAGAAACCTGGGCGAACAACACAGCCTAAAGACCGGCTCTGGCTGGCGGCCCAGGAGGTTCTCCCACCCCACTCCACTCCGGGGAGTCAAAGGCCAGGTCAGGAGAAGGTCAGGGCTGAGGGGCTCCCTCAGTCGACTGGTGAGGCCAGCTCAGTGCAGGAGGCTGGGGAGAGGCTGGAGAGTGGAGGACGGACGGATGCTGGCTCATGGATGGACGGGGGCAGGCTGTTCAGCAGGCAGGTACAGTGTTCACAGTGCAATGGCTTCCTTCATGAGGGGAGCCTCTGCTTGGCCTCCTGGAGAAGCTCTGGCAGGTGCTGGAAGGAGGAGGGGCAGAGGCCAGTGCTTGATCCCCCTCTTGGCATCACTGGCAGGTCAGGCAGGTCCTGAGGGCAGGGCTGGCCTCCCCTCTGCGCCTGGCAACCAGCACAGGGCACTTAGGTGAGCCGAGGGTGTAGACCCTTCAGGCTGTCAGTGCAGACCAGCAGGTCCAGAGGCCTCCTCTTCCCGTCTCTCAGGCTGCACACCTTTACGGGAAATCAGGCCGACGCTGTCCCGCCCCACGAACTTCAGGCTCCTCTCTCTGGAGACAGGTCCATGCCTGTCCAGGCTGGGATACCTTGGCACCAGGCAGGCCCTCTGGGTGCAGGGTTCTTTCACTCCTCAGCGTCCACCCTGCTTTCCCACAAACCACAGGCCGGTGGGTCCCTGGCCTGGGTTCCGGCATGGAAGGGAGTGAGAGGAGGGTGCAGCCCCTGAGGGAAGAGGGTCCTGAGCCGGGCTCACCAGCCTTCCTCAAGCACATGGGAGCCTCCAGGGCTCACAATAAATAGTGGCAGCATGGGGAGCATCCTCTGGCCTCTCTCATTCAGTCAAGGGTCTGCGGGTTGAGACAGAGGGGCCCCAGCCTGGCTGCTCTGGTCCAGTCCTGGCAGGCAGGAGCTCTGGTGGAGGGCAGACCACATTCCAGGAGGATGGCCAGGGAGGGGTGGTGGTGGACGCCCCATAATGTCTCCTCCCACGGAGAGACTGTTCTGTGCGTCCAGCTGTGGGAGAGAAGGAAAGGCTAGTCAGCAGAGTGGGAATGCGGGGAGGGTCGTTGAGGACATGGATTGGGAGGTGTGGCATTCCTGTGGGCTGCTGGCGGTGCTGCAGGCAGGACTTCCTTTCCTCCCTTCCCTGGCCTTTCCAGACACCACAGAGAGACCAGGCAGCTTTCTCTGGCACCAGCCCAGGCCTCTGGCCCAACTGGCCTCACCTCCTACCTCCTCCTGGGGAATCAGGGCCTCAGTGGAAGATAACGGGGCCCGGGAGAGGTCTGGGCAGGGCTGGGAAGAGGGGTTACTGCTCAAGCAGAGGGCTCTGACAAGGAGCGAAGCGGGCACTTGAATGTCTTTGGACCCCTCCTCAGGCGAGGTCATCTCATTGGCCTTGGTCCAGTGAACAAAGGGTGATTCCTGCTAACACTAGCAAAGAAGAATCTTTCATTTCATCAGAGGGGCATCACATATGATGTTCAAGACAGTAGGGCAGAGCTAGCTGAAGAGGAACAACTTGGGCCAGAGAGGAAAAGTCTAGAGGCAGTGCCAGGACAAGGAAATTCCCACACTGTCATTTGGCACGCGACCCCTAAGCAACCCAGCCCCTCCTGGATGGGCCGAGGGCCTTGCCTCCCGCATCATCCATGGGAGTCAGGGCCTTGTCCTCTCGCCTTCCACCCCCATCCTTGTCCTCTTGCCCAGCATCCTCAGGACGCTTTGTTCCCAGAGCAGAAATCCCCTGGACCCCATCCAACAGTTTGACTTTGGACCTTGTGTGGAGCCTCCCTCCCTAACATCCATAGGCCCTACTGGGTAAGGAGGGAAGATGGAACCACAGCCTCTGGCTCCCTGCCCATTCCCATGCTCTAGAGGGAAAGAAGGGGAACCATAAACTGGACATGAGCCATGCTGGGTACAGCCAGGCCACAGGCCCAGCTAGGGCCCAGGAGGGGAGAAGGACCCAGTGAGCGAGTTCCAGCCTGCTGCCCCATCTTCTAGCTGCTTAGGGCTGAGGTGCTGGTGTCTGCATTTTCTGTGGCTCTGAGTCCCTATCTCAGTCTCTGCCTCTATGTTTCTCTCTCTCACTTCTCAAATCACAGCAGCAGTCACTCTAGGGGCTGGCACTCAATCTCTCCAAGGCCACTGGTGCCTGGCCTGGAGACCACCTTAGGGCTGGACCTGCCGGGCCAAGTGGGATCTGGATGTAGCCCCTGCCCTGGATTCCCTCTCCAAGTGAAATCTTGAGGGGGAAGAGGAAAGCTTGGGACGGGCCTGAGAATAAGCAAGTGGGGAAAGGAGGGTGGGCGTGTAGAGGGGTGGGACAGAGGGCCAAGACCACGGCGAGGGGTTTGGGGACAGACGACCCGTGGGAAGGGTGTTGTGGCACTGAGCCACCAGCAACCAGTTCTGAGGAGGCCTGGGTCATTTCACAGTCTTGCCAGTGCCCCAGCTGACCCACTCACCCATCTTAGCCCACCCCACTGACAAGGTAGACCCCAGGATTCCAGATATGTTGTTACTGCTGGTTCTTGTCTAAATAGGTTCCCCTGGTTTTGAGCATTTGCCAAATTCCCTATCTCTCTAGAAGGGGCCCAGACCTGTCACTCCACACATGGGAGAGCCCTGCGGCACTGGCTTGCACTTGGTAAAGGATGTGACTGGAAACTTGACTGGGTCACCCCAGCTAGTCAGCCAACCAGCCAATTAGTCAGGCAATCAGCTAGTCAGTTGCTCAATGGGCTCCCCAAGCAACAGCTGGTCAGTTAGGCAGTTACCAAGATAGTTGGTTGGTTAGTCATTCACCCAGCCAGCTGGTCAGCCAGTCAGTCAGAGTCAGTCAGTTAGCTGGTTAACTGGTCAGCTAGAGGCTGGTCAGTTAGAGACAGCTGGCCAGGGTCAGTCCGTGAGTCAGCCCTGAAGCCAGTCAGTCAACATTTATTGCATGTTTGGCAAATGTGGAGAGGCCCTCTCTTAGTAGAACCCAGGATGGAAAAAGAAACACAAAAAAAAGTGGAAGACAGTCCCTGCCCTCAAGGGGCTTACAATCTTAGGGATGTGGAATGTACAATACATATAAAATAAGATTTTAAAAAATATGAAAACAACATCCAAATAAGTGCAAATTGATATACTATTAGCCAAATACAAAAGAGCAGGAGGAGCATGACTGAAAAGAGCAGTCAGAAGGTTGTGGAGAAGCCAGGAAGGCTTCCTGATGGGCTGGCTGTGGGCTTGGGTGGGAGGGGGAAGAGGTGGGCCAGCTGGGGTTGGCGGGGGGCAGGGGTGAGGAACAATAGGGTCACAGCTACATCAACAACATGGGCAAAGACAACAGCAGGCACTCATCAATGTGCAGGAGGCACAACTGGGAGGGCTACGGAGATGACAGAATTAGGATTTCACACAACTTCAGTAGGTTCAGGTGATGGGCAGAAACCAACAAGGTGGCTTTAACAAAGGTGAACATAAACTGCACTTTGGTTAAAAAAGTTAAGTTGTCCAAGTACAGGGTAGAGATGGTCTGGCTTGACAGAAGTTTATGGGAAATGGAACTAGGGGTTTTAATAGACCACAGGCTCAACATATGACAACAGTATGATGCAGTTGTTAAGAAAAAAACTAATGCAATCTTAATCTGCACAAATAGAAGAATACTGTCCATATCAAGGAAGGTAACAGTCCCACTGTACTCTCTCTGAGCTGGTCAGACAACATCTGGAGTACTGTGTCCGGGGCTGGGCGTCACATTTTCAGAGGGACATTGACAAACGAGTGTGTCCAGGATGGTGAGGGGTCTGAAAACCATATCATATAAGGAACGTTTGAGGGACTTGGCCATACTTAGCTTAGAGAATTCTCAAAGGGGACATGGATACCTGACTTGAAATATCTGAGGGTTTTCATGAGAACAGGAGGGAGGAGCAGTATGGAGGGGGCAGGGAAGCCAGTTTTGCCTCGCATGAGGAAGACGTTTCTCCCAGTCTGACTGGAAGATGGCATGGGCTGTGGCTAGGCAGGGAGCTGGGCTGGATCTGGGAGTGTGTGACAGCCAGCTGGCTGGCTCCCTGTTGGGGACATGGAGAGGGGCAGTCCCTTTGGGGTGGGAACCAGGGCCAAATGACCCCTGAGAGCCCTTCCAAGACTCAGGTTCTATGTCAACATGATCCTAAAAGCAAGGAAGCAGAACTGACCTCAGCTGGGGAGGAGGGTTAACTGGTGCGGGGGTGGCGATCTGGCAAGCAGCTGCTGTCGAAGGGGCTTGGCAGCCAAGCCAAGAATATAGGGCTTGCAGTGGCTGCCACACAGAGCTACTGAAGATTCTCCAGGAGGGTAAAGACCTTATAAAGGCCACATTTGAAAAAGGGGGGTTTAGTTGCTCTGAGGTCACAGGTGGCAGCAACACTAGAAGCCCAATGCAGAGGTAATAGTCCCTGGCCTCAGCGGGGGTGGATGGAATGGAGGGGCAGGGGGATAGCTGAGGACCTGGAAAGGAGAGGGTGGCTGGACCTGGCTGGCGATGTATGGAAAGGGAACTGGAGAGAGGCATGGGAGTCAGTGTGGGGGCCTCAGGGGAATTGGTGTCACCAACAGGTGAACGTGACTGGAAAAGGGTATAGGTAAGTTTTAGGAGTGGAGATCAAAGTCAGAATCTTACCTTAGAATTCCCTCTACACTGGCAGTTCCACCTGTCTGTCATCCTGAGTCAGGGGGCTGCAGGCAGAGCACAGGGCTGGTATTAGACATCAGCAGGAGCAGGGGAATAAGGGGACTCCGTAAGTTTACCCCTAAGCCCCAGACATGCTCTAGGCCCTCTCAGATTGAAAAGACCCAGAACTGTCTAACTCTACGGAGAAATCAGGAAAAAGCCCAGATATCTGGGAAAGGACAGAGGCCCTTCTTCTCTCCCCCATCCTGTTCTGCAGCTCCATTTCCTCAGAGCAAGCAGGAGAGCCCCACCACCACGAAGAGGGGAAACAGATCCCAAGCCAGGCCCCCAGTGCCTCCCAGAGCCCCACCTCAAGCTCTCACCTGCCCTCTGGTTGCTCCAAGGGAGAATCCGCTCTCTGAGGCTCTTGATGGCTCTGAGGACAGGAAAGAGCATCTCACTGAGGAGCTGGGGGAGTGTGGGGGGGCGGTGGCCCATCCCCAGTAAGGGCTGCCCCAGGTATTTATGAGAGAGTTGCAAGAGTCCTCCCAACTTCCCAAAAGTGGGGATCAGCCAGAGGCCCAAGGGAGATTTGTGAGGTCTCTCTGCTGATGGTGTCCCCTCTCCTCTCCCCACACCCTTGCAGGCTGTTCCCTATGGGTCCTCCTGCCCCAGGCTCTGCAGAGCTTCCAGTGTACGCCTGCCCTGACACGCTCACACAGCATTGCTCTCCTCCTCCAGCTCCCTGCCCGTCTGGATATCATCCTGCTGTCAGCCCATGAATATTCTCTCCCGCTCCCTTCTGCTCCAGTCCCTTCCCATTGACCTTATAGCTTGAACCTTCCCAATTCTCGAAGTAATCCTCCATTTCCACCTCTCATCCTCTGTGCTGAGCCAGCCCCTATCTCTCTGTGTCTGAAGAACTCAGGCCGCACCCAAGCTGTCCCCCCACCTGCACCCCCGCCAGGCTCTGCCCCTGCCCTAAGGGACGTGCTCTTCTTCCTCATGGGGATCTACTCACCCGCCGCCTCCACCTGTAGAACAAGAGGCCTCCGACGGCCAGCAAGACCAGGATGACACTGGGCACCAGCAGGTGGAAGACAGACTCCTGGAGCTGCGGGCTGAAGGATCCCTCGGACTGCCTCTCATGGCCTGTGTCAGTCAAAGGAACGGAGTTAAAACGGGGCAGGGGCCTGGCTGCCCCTTCACTTGCTGGTCCTCCTTCTGGCTCTGCGGGGCTCCTCCGATCCCTGGTGCTCCTCCTGCCCTCCAGCTCCCCAAGGGGCAGCACGCTGCCCGAGGAGTGGCTTCTGGAAAGCTGTGGCTGAGCAGAGAGGGTGGAGGGGTTGCTGAGGCCCTGGGGGCGCAGTGATGAGATCCTGGGAGAGCCTGGCTCCGGGGGGTCTCTGAGCAGGGCAGATGGATGGTCTGTCTTCTGGGGGGTGTGATTCCAGTCCTGGCCAGTGGGCCTCACGGGGCCCACCCTGGGCAAGGCGGTACCAGTTACATCTGCCGGCTGTTGGCCCTTTGCTGATGCAGGGAGTGGAGAAGATGCTGAGAGGAAGTTGCTGGGTCTGGCGGGCTCTGTCTGCATGCTGCCCCCTCCTGGCCTGGAGGGGGAAAGCTCTGTCCCTTGGGGTACGGGAATCTCACTGGCCTCTCCAGAGGCTTCTTCTGGGACCCAATTAGTGCCCATTGCAGAGTCAAGAATATCCTCCATCCCGGGGTTGAAGGCCCCGACAGAGGGGCGAGGCTGTGGTGAGCCACCGATGGTGCTGTCCTTGACAACTGGGGTCTCTGGCGGCTCAAAGCTCTGGCAGGTGCTCCTGGGTGGCCGCTGCTTGGCACTGCCTGGATCCACTGTGTGCAGGGGCTGCTCACCAGGCAAGAGGGAGCTGCCCTCAGTTCCCTCAGAGTCCTCCCAGGTCAAGCCAGCCACAGGGGCCATGGAGGGGGCGAGGGGCTGATGAGGGGAGACAGAGGCCGGGTCACTGCTAGGGATGGCTTTGGGGTACAGGCAGTTGCAATCAGGCTTGGTCACCACATCTGAAAGAACCACAGAGAGAAGGAGAGAGAAAGATGGGGAGGAGATAGAGTCACTAGCCTCCAGCACAGCTTTCCCAGAGCGGGGCAAGAGGGGAATGTGAGTCTGGGGGGCCCTCATCTCCTAGCTCAGCCCTGGGGCTGAGAAGAGGATGGGACTAGAGTGGGTGCTCATGACACAGGGAAGGTGCCGTATGCAGGGTCTCATGAGCAGTGACAAAGAATAGGGTTGAGATGCACACACTGGGGGTTGGGGAGAAGGAAGATAAGAGAACAGCCCATGCAGGGGTTCCCACTGGCCACAGGCCAAGCTAGGGGTGAGCAGCAGTCAGGTCAGGAGGCTGAACGGTTGCCTTCCAGACCAATACAAGACAACTTCAAGCCCCAGAGACACTGGTTTCATGCATAGCCAGGAGCCACACAGCCACAGCCACAGCCACAGCCACAGGCAGGAACAGGCTGGGGCTAGAATGCAGCCAAGGCTTGAGGACTTGGGATTGAAGCAACGAGACTGGACTTGGCCACTGGCAGGTTGCAGGGCCCTAGACCCTGCCTTGGGAAGCAAGGTTGAATGTAGGAGGGCACGTGTGGCACGAGACGCAGAGACGAGGACACGCAGTGTACACATGTATGCAGCTGAGCCAGCCCTGGGAGTTCCAATGATGCTCAGACTTCAAATCCAGCCTTGTCCCTTGAGGAAACACCCAAGGCATCCTGGGGACTTCTGGAGCCAGGGTATCATGGTGATTCGCAGCAGAGCTCCTGGAGCAAGGGCCCTGACTCCCAGATGGGTGTCAGCTGTCTCCACAGAACCCCCCACACGTTCAGCCAGCCTGCAGAGCCAGTGGGGAAAGCTTCCATACCTACAGGGCTCCCAAGACAGGCTCCCATTTCCACTCCCTAATCTCAAGGCACCAGCATGATCCTTCTTGACGCTGCCACATGCAGACATATGTAGGTGTGCATGCACACACATGTCAGAAAAGACATGTGCCCAGGACCAGAGGTACGTGAAGCCACATATATACACAGAACAAGCACATTCATGCACACGGGAACACGAGTAGCAGCCAGGCTGCCTCCCCAGGGGTCCCCCCAGCTTCACATCTCACCTCCCAATCCCCATTCCATATGCTACCACCCCCACACACTTGCTGGCCCCTGCCATGCTTACCTTGGCTGGAGCATTCAGCAAAGCTGTTGTTGCAGTTCTTGCTGAAAATATTCCAGTCCTTGTCAAGGAGATTCTTTGTTTCATTAAAGACATTCTTGACCTTCTCCAGCAACTGGAGAGGTGTCTCATAGAAAGTTCGGACGCAGGCCTGGAAGGAGATCAGGGCCCCCTTTTGTGAGCATGACCATTGGCCCCATGTCTCCATCTTATTTGTCAAATTCCCTTGGCCTTTCTCACATCTGTCTTCTTTTTCCCTTTTGTTTCCTTGCTCCCCTTTCCCCTGGTTTGCAGCAGAATGAGTCCTGAGGTTATGAGATATGTCATTTATTCACAGACCCATTCAACATATGTTTATGTGCCAGGCATATGGTAATTACCTGGGAATCATGCAACGAACAAGAGAGAGGTGGTTCCTGGCTGAGTTGGACACTGAGTCCAGCAATCCAGCAGGGACTAAACACATTGTTACAAGTGCAATGAGTCCTATGAATAAGTACTGGGCCATCCGATGGTGTGCAACAAGGGGAACTAAACAAGTGTTCAGGGAGAATTTCCCCAAGGAATCAACTAAAAGATGAGCAAGAGAAACCAGGAAAGAGATGGGATCCCAGAGAGCTGTCCAGGCTGCAAGAACAGACCGTGCAAAAGTCCTGAGGCAAGAAAATGCATGAAAAGCCCAAAGACTAAAAGAAGGCTGGTGTGGCTGCAGCACTACCATCTAGGAGGAGCGTGGCAAGAGACGCACATGGAGAGAGGTTAGCAAGGGCCAGGTCTTGAGGGCCTCGTGGGCCAAGACCAGAACTTTTAGTTTTGTCCACAGAGCAAAGGGAAAACATCTGAAGGGGTGTTAGGGGTGGGCAGTGGCATGGTAAGAGTTGAGTTTGAGAAAAATCATTGAGCTGTGGTGTGGAGAAGGGAACGGGGCAGCCGCCAGGCATATGGGTCCTTTGCTGGCATTGGTGTGTCTTAGAGGGAGGGCTGAGGAGGTCCCAGCCCTGTCTTCTGTGCTGCTCAAGGGGCCCCGGCTTCCCACACCCACTGGAGCTCTGAGAAGCTGCATCATCCTGGGTCTTCTCCCACCTTTCAAGCTGCTCTTTCTGTCTCCTTACCAAGCTCCCCTTCTCCTCCTGATATCCAAATGCTGCCATCCCTCAGGGTTCACTCCCGGGCCCACCTCTCCTTTCACACAAGGCCATGCCATGCATGCTCACAGCTTCATCCAGGGCCTAAATGCCACTGAATCACAGATACCAAGTTTTTCCTTAAACTGAGCTTCACAGGGAAGAAACATGGGCTTTTCTAGGCTGTGAAGTCCTTGAAGGCATCGCCGCATCTCCCTGGCCTATGCAGTCAGCCCTTAAGAAATGTTTACCAGATAGGCCGGGTGCGGTGGCTCACACCTGTAATCCCAGCATGTTGGGAGGCCGAGGCAGGCTGATCACGAGGTCAGGAGTTCGAGATCAGCCTGACCAACATGGTGAAACCTTGTCTTTACTAAAAAGACAAAAATTAGCCAGGCATGGTGGCACGTGCCTGTAATCCCAGCTAGAAAGACAAAAATTAGCTGGGCATGGTGGTGCGTGCCTGTAATCCCAGCTACTCGGGAGGCTGAGGCAGGAGAATTGCTTGAACCCGGGAGGCAAAGGTTGCAGTGAGCTGAGATGGCACTACTGCACTCCAGCCTGGGAGAGAGTGAGACTCCGGCAGTTTACTTGGTCACTGCCACCTAGCTGGTAAGTGATGGAGCTGAGCCCAGTCTTCTCATTCGTACGTCTATCTGGTAAACATTTTTTTTTTTTTTGAGATGAAGTCTCACTCTCACTCTCCCTCAGGAGCTCTGAATCCCTCCCACTGTCTTCTCCAGAGACTTGCTGGGAGCTAGCTCCTCCAGCTTCACCCACCCTCTCTCTTGGAGCCTGCCCCTCAGCATTCACACATGTCTACAAGTGAATATCCAAGGGGGTCATAATCATCAGTGCGACAGCTGCTTAAGATGCAGATTCCTGGGTTCAGTCTTTTATTTATTTATTTATTTATTTATTTATTTATTTATTTATTTATTTATTTTGAGATGGAGTTTCGATCTCAGCTCACTGCAACCTCCGCCACCCTGGGTCAAGCGATTCTACTGCCTCAGCCTCCCGAGTAGCTTGGATTACAGGCATGCGCCACCACCAGCTGCTAATTTTTGTATTTTTAGTAAAGATGGGGTTTCGCCCTGTTGGGCAGGCTGGTCTTGAACTCCTGACCTCAGGTGATCCACTGTCTCGGCCTCCCAAAGTGCCAGGATTAGAGGCATGAACCACCGCGCCCGGCCCTGGAGCCACTCTTAAACCCAGTGTATCAGACTCTCTAGGGGTGTGTCCTAGGAATATGCATTTTCAACACATTCCCCAAGTGATTCTTAGGAATCTTAATGTTGGAAAACCGCAGATTTAATACCTCTCTTATTAAAAATGTTTTCCTGGCCAGGCACAGTAACTCACATTTGTAATCCCAGCACTCTGGGAGGCCAAGGCAGACAGATTGCTTGAGCCTGGGAGTTTGAGACCAGCCTGGGCAACATTGCGAAACCCTATCTCTACAAAAAATAGCTGGGCATAGTGGGGTGTGCCTGTTGTCCCAGCTACTCAGGAGACTGAAGTCAGAGGATCAATTGAGCCTGGGAGGTTGGGCTGCAGTGAGTCGTGATTGCGCCGCTGAACTTCAGCTTGGGTGACAGAATGAGACCCTGTCTCAAAACAACGACAACAAAAACAGAACAAAAAGTCCTCCCTCAATTACACACTCCCTCCAGCTACATCTCTTTTCCTGCCCCCATTCGGATCCAAGTTCTTCCACAGTGGTGTCTCTACTTCCTCTCTTTCTGTTCACCCTGATCCAGCATGTGTGACACGTTGCCAAATCCAATGGACAATTTTAGCCCTCACCTTGCTTGATTTCTCAACGCTTTTTTATGAATCTCCATCCCTTATCCATCTTGGAATGCAGTGCCTCGACTCTGCACTCTCCCTCTTTTCCTCCCACCTTCAGGCTGCCCCTTGCCAGGTCCCCCATCCTCTGCTTGCCCTCCAAATGCTGGGTTCCTGGGCCTGCTTCTCTTCTCACAGTGGCAGTGCTGTCCAGTCCCATGGCTTCACAGATAAGCCGAACCCCCATGCCTCATAGATCTGTGCATTGCTGGTCACACTCAAGACCCGCACACCTAGCTGCCTCCTCAACGTCTCCACTCACCATTTCATGAGCACCTCACGTCTGCTGTGCCCCAGACTGAACTGTCTTCCCTCAAACCTGCTCTGCCCATGGATCATCCCCGTTTCAGCATCATTGGAATATCCAGGTGCTCAAGACAAAAACCATCCTTGGCTTTTTCTTTCCCTCAGCTTCTCACATCCACTGCACGTACCAAGTCTTGTTGATTCTGCCCCTAAACCCACGGGAACATGTCCAGTCCACTTGCCTCCACCTTCACTGTCCCACCTTGGTCCAAGCCGCCAATGTGTCTAGCCTGGACTCACACCTTCTGCTGGTCTCCCAGCCTCCATTCCTGCCCCCTGTGGTCTATCCTCCACATAGCAACCAGGTCAGTCTTATAACCTGAGATTAAGCCACATGCCTGTTCACAACAGCTTCCCTCACCCTTAAGACAAAATCCCACATCTCTAAAACCACATGTGATCTGGCTCCTGACTTCTCTCCTCCCCCTCCTTCACTTCCCATGCTCTGGCCATGCTGATAACCCTTTGGGTCCCTGAATGTGCACTTTCCTGTTTGTTTACCTTAGGGCTTTGTGCATAGCTTTTCCTGTTCCAGAATGTTCTTCTAGCCTTACTGCTTTCAATTCTTACTCATCTTTGGAGCTCAAATCAATATTTGCTTACTCAGAAGCCTTTCTTGTCTCTGCTTCCCCAACTCCATGGAAGTCTGAGTTCCCTGTTGCTCTCCTTGAGCCCTTCAGGTTCTTGTTCCCAGCTCACTCCTCCACTTCCTTCGGGTCGTCTCATCCCTGGTTTACTCTTCTCCAGTGCTGTTATTGCCATGCTACATGTTGTATATTTTACTTACATATTTTGTTAACTGTCTCACCACCACTACCGTCACCCCCAAATGTAAGTTCCAGGAATGTGGGGATTTTTGTCTGTTTTCATCACAGCTGTTTCCTGGTGTCTAGAACAGTGTCTGGTACACAACAGACACACAATAACTGCTTGCTGTTGGAATGAACAGTCCTTATAGTTTGTAATTCTATTTACTGGTGTCATGGTTTGTTTAACAGCTGCCAAGCTCACTTGACTATAAGCTGCATGGGGTGGGACCATGTATTTGTTGCTCATGATGACATTGTCAGGGCCCAGCATGATCCCTCCTGCCTCCTGCCTGGTAAAGGTTGGTGGGATGACAAATAAATGAGAGTGAGCAAGCAATGGCGTGAGGCGAGGTGAGCGAATGTACTCTGTGCCTGTGGATAGAGCGGCGCCTCCACAGCCACCCTCTGCCCTCACTCAGTGCTCCAGGCCTCAGGGCTTCCTACCTTGTCATGCTCTTCATAATCCTTGGTGAAGCAGCTCTTCAGCCTCAAAGAGAGTTCCTGCAGCTGCACAATGGCGATGGCATTGGGGGTGTTATCTCTGAAGCGCATGGTGTCCTCCATTATGTCTTGTACCAGGAGAAATGCCTTCTTAAGGTAGCACACTGGATCTTTCTGAAAAACAGGAACCTGGAGCTTATGGCCTGGCCATTGTGGCCTGGGAACCCCCAACCCCAGGCAGATGGAGGGTTGCAGCTTGCTCTCCCCCTTCCCCCAGGGGAGGGACCACACCATGCCAGCAACTAGGAGAATGCCGCCCTCAGCTTGCCTGTCTTTCTCTCTCTTTGGGATCTAGCGCCACTGGAGACTGGGCTAGAGTGAAGGAAATGTGGATTCTGATTAGAGAGTTCTCTGGGTTTCTGGAATATGAGGCTTTAATCACGATGGATGTATATAGGGAAGGTGGGCTCCAGGGAACCTTCCCCTGCCTTTCTTTCTGTCTTCCTCTTGTCTTGCTTTCACAAATATCTTTTACCATATGGCCCCTTCAAATCCTCCAGGACATAGGGGTGCTGAAGACTATCTCATGGTCCAAAGAATAACCTCTGTGTTTTGTCTCCCTAAAGAGATGGTAGTTGCCTTGAAGACCCACTCTGCTTTAGCTCTCTACCCCCAGCATCTAGTCCAGTAGGTTCCTAGCAAATGCTAGTTCAGGCATGAGTGCTAGAGCAAGCGAGTGAGTGCATAAAATACTGAGGCTATTCTTTGGACCATGAGGTGATCTCTAGTCCTAACAGAGGTGCATATGGGTCAGGTGTGTGGAAGCTCAGAAACAGGGGCAACTTCTGGGTATCAAGGCAGTTTTGCATGAGGCATAAAGATGAATAGATGTGGAATAATGATTGGGGGGCAGGTGGAAAGGCATGACAGTCATTGGAAAGAGCTTGTGCAAAGATGGGAGGCAGGAAGAAGCAGGGAATGGGGAGGTGGTATAGAGGCTTGTGTGGTGGAGAATGGCTAGACCTGGTGTAACCCAGACTAGACAACCTTGGCTTTCTTCTGGAGTGATGGGGGCCCTGATGTTTTTGGGAGAAGGAGGTAAAGGCAGCAGGTTGGCGTTTCAGAAAATTTCCCCCAGTGGTAAGATGAGGAGTGAACTAGAAAGCAGGGAGACACCAGTTAGGAGGCTCTTGAAATTGTCCAAGCAACTGATTGAGGGGTGAAGGTGGGGATGGAGGAGACAGAACCCAGAGATGCTGAGAGGCAGAACCAGCAGCACTTGGTGGCTGGTTGGGTGTGGGGCAAGTCCAGGAAGGGCTGGACTGCCTACCTGCCTGCTGGTTGGCCTGGTGAAGAGAAGTGACATCCTTAAGCAAAGCTTGTGACCTGGAAGAAGTATTGATTTGCCTCAAGCCCTACAGCCAACCTTCCTGGATTCAAATCAGGCCTCTAGCACCTACTAGCTATGCTCCTTTCACCTCTCTGTGGATAATAAACTGTATTTGTGTACCACATAGTGGTACTGTCAGAACTACATTAGCAAAGTGCTTGGTACCTAGTGAGCGCTTGTTATGTATCAGGCCAGGAGAAGGGAATGGCAGGGGACTTGAGCCCTGGATCCTGGCACCCCAGAGTTGAGCACCCATGGATCCTCACACTCTCACCCTTTCCAGCAGTAGGCATTCTGCCGCTTTCATGCTCCCCCACACACCCCACCCTGGGAGTTGCATGCAGGCTGGTGCATGGATTTTGTAAAAAGCCATCACTCACCAACTGTTCCTGGTCTACAAACTCAAATGTAATTTGGCACGAGGTCTCCATCTGACTGTCAATCTGTAAGAGAGAGCAGGCCAACGATTGCAGGGTAACCTACAGCTCAACTCAGCCTTCAGCCTTCTTCAAAACGGGGACCTTAGCTTCTGAGTGGATTGGGGTTTGAACTTCATCCCTGCCAACCACACGTGGAAAGACAGAGTCAAGTCTAGGAGAAGATCAGTGCCTTCCAGATGCCCAGGGGAAGGCTGTAGAAGAACAAGAAGTCTCTTCTTTCCTTCTACCACCCCACGAAATCTGACAAATGCCCATTTGTTTTAAGGAAGAGATGTCTATAGAAGAATATAGGATATAATCTTCCCTGGAGGCAGTGAGCACCCTGTCATGGTAGGAATTCAAGCAGAGGCTGGACAAGCTCTGGGGATTGAACACCTGTAGGGGTTGGAGCTGGATGCCCTTAAAGCCCTCTTTAGCCCCAGAGCAGCAGTTCTGGATTTTAAGCCTCAGAGAATGCTGGGGCTCTTGGTCTACCTTGGATTGCTACAGCAACTACATACAGGAGAAGTAGTGCTGGGGCAAGAGAGGCGGAAGGCACAGCCCACAGGCCCCAAGCTCAGGGCCCTGGAGCTGGCGTTAGCCAGTGATGCCCCACCCTGCCTGGCTGGCCAGAGGAATGGTAAATTCCCACTGAGCAGGACAGCAGCCATGACAGCAACCTGATTCTGCCTGGCTGGACCACGTATGGGTCTGATTAGAATGAGATACAGGCTCCTTCATGGCCCAGATGAGCAGGCCATCCCAGCCTCAGGGTATGGGCAAGAGCCAGGGAAGTGAGTGTGGAAGGCTGGGAGTTAGGCAAGCGCTTCCCCTCCAAATCTGGGTGGGGCTCTGATGCCAGACTGGCGCCACATATGAGAGTCCAGGAGCTAGATGCAACATCTGGACACAGCAGGCCGCCTGGGCTAGCTTCCCAGAGGAGGCATCCCACTGAGGGACAGCAGACCTCAGAAGCCTTTTCAGAATCAGTGGTTGATGTTCCTGGGCAATCACTAACCCAGGCAAGCAGCTGGAAGCCCACAGCATCCACTGCCTGCAGGGCAGTCAGAGAGGGCTTCGAGCTGGGGAGACCAGAGGTCCTAACTTTGGGAAGGTTAGTGAAGGGTATCACTGGTGGAGCTAGTGGGAACCACAAGCAATGTCCCGCACTGCCCTATTTTCCTGCCTGCAACTGCTCTCTTTGACCTGCTCCCTGGCTCCTGCCTTCATTTCCCCAGTGGGGAGAAGGTAGAATACAGCATGGCCACACACTCACCAGCCGCTGCAGAGACTGCAGGTGTCCACTCCCAATCATGTGGCTACAGTACTCCGACACCTCCTCGGTGATACTCCTGCTCGCCAGGAGACAGACCAACAACAGCAGGGAGCCCAGCCATGTCTGTGACAGAGAGGGTGTCATTTCTCCCCAGGTCTCACTCTCCCCAGTTATCCCCATGCCCTGCTCAACGCAGAAAAACAAAGGCCTCATATCTACAATGCTACAGGCTCTGCCCCTTACCTCAGGATACAGCATCCCTCAAATCCAGCTTTCCCAGGATTTCTAGCAGCCACAGCACAACCTTGTTCTCCCATGAAAACAACCCAGATGTCACCTTCTACAAGAAGCCTTCCCAGATTAAGCCAGCCAAACCTAACTATACATTGAACTAATACTGACACAGATGGTGTGCCTACCAGCCTAAATTTTAATGACACAGGAAACTCGAGAGCAGGACTTGCATCTACCCATTTTTTTCTGTCTCTGCAACATCAACACTGAGCCAAGCACTTTTTGAACTGCCCTCAAGTTCATGTTCATGCACCGGCTTTCAGATGGCAAGCCAGAGACAGCTCCCCTGGGCCCAGCATTTCCTCCCACCTGGTTCCATGCAGATCTGGCTCTGCCACTGGAAAAACTGTGGGATCAAACTCAGTTTCACTGGAACTCATCCCTTGCCAGAGACATCTTGGAGCCCTGGGTGTGTGTTTCAAAAGGAGCCCAGCTGATTAATCAGAGGCACCAGTGCCAGTAATGGGCCATCCCTTGCCTGGCACCTGCCTATTTGAGCACCATCAGGCTTTGCCTCCAGCCAGCCACCTCTTATCATGGCAGAGAAGTTTTCTGAGACCCCTCTTCTCTCCCAGCACCTACCTGGCCCAGTAGTTGCTCAGCCCCAGAGTGATGGGACTGGCTCCTGATGCCCTGTCTTTCCCCTTCCTTCCTCTCTTCCTTCTCTTCACTGGGGTCTCCTCATCCCTACCCCTGGCCCTAGGTCTCTCCTTCTTCAGCCAAAAGCAGACAGACTCTTGGGCTTTCTTTCTCCAGCTTGAGGTCACCTCCTGAGAGCTCCCAAGCCTCCTGGCGGCTGATGCCCCCAGATTCAGGGAAATGCTGGCAGGGTAGGGTGAAGGTTGACACTATCCTGGACTCTGGGTTTTGCCTCAATAATCCAGATGTTGAGACAAATACTGCAAATAAGTTGCTCACTGGAAAAACACAACGAGGCTATGAAACAGCCCACAACAATGTGCTAATCTACATATCACCAAAAGCCCAAATGCTTGCCAGCTCTTCTGGGGAGGAGAAGGCAGCTCTGGCTGGGTGACCAGGGAGACTGCAGAGAGCAGGGACCTCAGTGAGGCCTTGAAAGATGGGGAGAAGGTGATGGCAGGAGAGGGGTGGGAGCCATGGAAGGAAGAGCCAAAGGATAGTTTCATACCACTCAGCACAGGGACTGTGAGGATCCTGGCTGATCTGAGGGAGGGAAAGTGTGGAAGAGGGGGACGGCAGTCACGGGGGCTGGGGGGACTTCAGGCTCTGTTGGGGAGGTTGCCCTGGGTGGGAATAATGGCCCAGGTACTCAGAAACCTTAGGTTCAGGAATGATTGGAGGAAACTGGGCCACTAGACGGTGTATCTACCCCAGACTGGCTGCCACTCAAGGTCTGGAGTGAATGGTATGGATGAAAGGGACCGCTCAGGAAGACAACCTCCCTGGAGGAGAGCAAGGTGGGAGCAATGCTTAACCCCAAGGGCTGTCTGGCTTTGATGACATTTGAGGCATCAGTGTGGGGAAAGTGCAGCCACTACATGAGAGGCTGACTTCGAAGCTGGCCAAAGGGGATACCCCTGGACCTGGGGCCTCCATTCTGCCTCAGGAGGATCTGGACAGACAGTGGGGGGTTAACACTCTGGCTTGCATCTGGCTGGGCAGGCTCTCCTCTGACTGCCTCTTCCTCCCACCCCTAGCCCTGGCTTCTGCCTGGGGAGCAGCCCTCAGAAGGAATCTCTGCTGCAGGCTCAGAGATGCTAGGACACCTCAGTCCAGCTGTCCAGCCTCCTCTGCCACCTATCCTATTCCATTTCATCTTCCCCCTCAACAAGGCCTCTGGAGAGACCTGGCAGAACCGGGCCCTTGGACTTCCCCTGTCTAAACACAGCCCCCTTGTCTTTCTCTTCTTTCCTCATGGTCTCCCCTTCAGCCCCGAAGCTTTGCTTTCTGCCTATGGCTAACCCTTCTCCCTTCCCCTCTCAACTCTATCTCCTCTCTCTCAGTGAGGCACTTTCTTTCTGTGGACCCACTCTTCCCTTTCTCTCTCACCTCACCTGCAGCCCGCTCTCCTCTACCCCCAAATAATTTTCTGCTCTTTTCCCCCCAGGTTTCCCCTCTCATTTTCTTCCAGGACTCCTCAGAAGCAAATCTATTATGAGCCCACTGACTGGTCATGAACAGTGCCACCCTCACTTTCTATGGCTGCATCTGCTACCGCCACAGTTGGGGCAGGGCGTCCCTTACGCAGTCAGGAGCAGACCCTGCCCCTGGACACAGCTCTGCAACACCAAACCCTCTTTCCATTTTCCTCAAGCACTGCAAACCACCATAAACCACCACAAAGCCCAGAATCTCCCCAACCGATGAAACCAGAATTTGCAAGAAAAAGAGATTCTGAGCTAGCCCCAAGCAGCCCCGGGGGTGGGGGGCTGTTTGCCGGCTGTTGCCGTCCCCCACCCCACCCCCCAAACAGCCACCCAAGTCCTCCGTAGCTCCTGCCTGTGGGCTGGAACAAGCAGTGGCTTGCCCCTCTCCGTCCCTCTGCCAGCAAGTCCCTGGCGTTCTATAAGCTGGTTGACCCCCTGAACTTTCCCTGCCCAGAAGCGCCCACTCCTCAGCAGGGCCTTGGAAGCACGTGTGTGGCCGATGAGGAAGGTGCCCACCGGGGAGGGCACACACTCAGCGCACAGCCACTCCGCCCGTGCCTTGGTGGTGGCGGGTAGGGAGAGAGGCAGGGCACCCTGGCTGAGCGGGGGCTCCTGCCTGCAGGTGGCTCAGTGTTCCCCTCCGTGCAATGGGGTGAGCAGCCCTCCGTTTCCCAGGGAAGCCTGGCAGTCCCGGTGCAGCTGCAGGGCCGCCACCGGCCTCCGCCCTGGCGCCAGGGCCCAGTCCGTGCGCAAAGGCGGTTCGTCCGCGGCGGGAACGCCGGGCCAGTGCAGCCGGCGCGCCCAGGCTGTCGGCTCCGAGGGGCCGCTCCCGGCCGCCTGGCCGCCGAGCCCCCGCCCCAGCCCGTCCCGGGCCCAGCGCCGCGGCCGTCGCTTACCGTGGGAGGGCAGCGCCCGGCGGCGCCCGGCGCGGTCATACGGGCAGCTGGGTCCCGGCCGGGCGCGTCGGCCGCCCTCGCTCGCTCGCTCGCTCGCTGGCTGCTGCGGAGTGGGCGCCCCGGCCGAGGGCCGCACCGCTGTCCTGGGATGCGGAGAGCGGCTCTGGCGCCGAGAGGACCCAGGCAAACTTTCACTTTCCCCGGGCCGAGCCTCACTGGCCAGCCCTCGGCACAGCCTTTTAAGAGAGGACTGGGGGGCATGTGGTTTATGGGAAATCACCCTGGCCAGGCGCCAGACACACACATACACACACACACACACACACTGACACAGACACACACACTCCAGAGGCCCACTCAGCCGCCTTCCCCCGCCTCCCCTCCCCCACCCGCCGGCCGGCCAGCCCCGCTCGCGCGTCTTCCTAGTCACCCTCTGTCTTCTGCGCTGCACTTCCAAGCCTTCAGCAAACGAGCGCGGGCTCCACCGCGTCCCCACCCTGCCTTCCCCGCGCCCTCTGCGGACCGACCCTTTCCTTCCGCGCTCTCCAGGCTGATTCAGTGCTAGCGCTCTATGATCGTCCCAAGGGACTTTCCCTCCAGGCCTGAAAATCCCCAAATCTTAGCAGAAAACGGACCGAGAGCAGGGACAAGCACTGGGAAGGGAGGGAAATCCTTTGAAGACGCCCCCACCCCATTCTCGGAGTGCCGAAAGGAGTCCAGTGTTACTTGCTCCCTCGTGGAGCCTGAGTCAGCAGGTTTGCCGGCAGCCCCCTTCTTCCTCTGCAGCCCCCAAGCAGCCCGGCCAGCTTCAAGTCCCATTCTGGGAGGGAGGCCAGCTACCTGGCCAGGAAGGGAGCAGCTGTGTCCTGTGACAGCAAGCTGGGGGGCTCTTCCCTGGGTGCCAGCAGACACTTCAAGGCACCTGACCCTTAGATGATGAAAATGCTGGCTGGTACCCATGCTCTCTCCTGGAGGCAAAATCCAACTCAGATTGGAAAGGTCCTGCACCTGGACCCTAGATTTCCCTGGATGTTTTTGGAAATTGCACTTACTGAGGTGATTAATCACGTTTTGTTTCTACATGAGAATGAGTCTAAGTGAGGACTAGTAGGATGAGCCTAAGCCTATTAATTATAATGCCAACTTCAGGAGATTTTTCTTTCTTCAATTCATTATGATTCAATTCCTCTGTGAGGTTGCCCGTTTCCACCCCCTGGGAAATAAAGGATATGTGGCCTGCTCTTGAAGAGGAGTCTCTTGTCAGTAGCGCTACATATCCTTCACTCCAATCCTAGGCAATAATTTTACACCCGAATGCCTTTGCTCAGACTGGTCCCTCTGCCTGGAATGCTCCTTTCTCCACATGGCTGAAGACAAACTCCTCATCATTTCAGGCTGAAATTGCATCTCATCCTCCACCAGCAAAGCCTTCTGTGACTCTCCTGGCAGAGCAAAGGGTCCTTTTCCTGTGTTCCCATTGGACTTGGCTCATTCCTCAATGCTGGCTCTGATAAGTCATTTGCCATCCATTCATTCTCCACAGTACTTTTCGAAGTGTTTAAGGTGGTACCGATGGTTACATTCTGTCCCCACCCTAGACCGAGACTTCTTCCAGGTGGCACCCATGCTCAGTCACCTCTGGATCAATGGTACCTAGCACATAATAGGTACCAAGTTAATGATGGCTGAGTTGAATGATGCCATTAGAGAATACTTTGTTCTTTTGACAAATATGTGCTACCAGATGCTAGGCACCGTGCTGGGCCCTGGGGATACAACAATGACATGGTCACTGTACAATAATGATTTCAGATAACATGTTGACACCACAGTTCTTAAGACTGATAAAAGGTTAGAGGAAGTAACCTGAGAAAGATAAACCAACAGACTTGTTGAGAAAGGGGTCCAGTTTTACTTGCTCCTTCCTTCACCAACCCAGCCCTGGCCCAGGTTCACTGAGGCTGGCATTTGGACTTTGCTCAGCTTCTGGAGGAACGTAATCATTCTCCACGTTGGTGCAAGGCCTGAGGTCCTCATTCCCCGCACTGGAGTTCTTTACATACCCTGGTTTGAACCTGACTCCACTACTTACAAGTGATTTGACCTTGGTAGCTCTGCCAAGTCATTTGCTGTGTGACATTGGACAAACTTCTCTCAGTTCCCATGTCTATAAAATAGAGATGTTAATTTCTCTCTCTGACCAAGGTGTTATGAGTATTGAATGAGATAAGGCCTGTGAAGTATTTAGCACAGGGCCTGAAGACAGTAAGTGCTATTGTTATTATTATCTGTTCACTCACATGGGTTCTAAAGCAATGACACCACAATGGTGCAGTGGACTTGGGAGTCCCAAGGCCAGATTTTAGTCCCAGCTCTGCCATTCATTTGCTGTGTAACTTTGCTGTGTAACCCCTTAGCCTTTTGGGCCTCTCTTTCCTCATTTGTACAGTGGCAATTTTAAGACTTTCCCCAAAGGAGTGGTCATGAGGTCAAATGGGCTGACATATGGGAGTCCCTAGGGCCATGCACAACACAGAGTAGGGGTTCAGTTATGAAAGCTCTTTGGACATGTAGACTGTGGGGCTCTGGGAGGCTCTGCCTTCACGGAGTTGCAGAGGGATGAGCAAGGTCCTTGATAACCGTGACTCCACAGTGGGACTTGCAGCTGTCTCTTCTCTGTTACCTTAAAAGGAGGGATTGTGGATCTGCTTGATGTGGACACTTTTTGTCACCAGACACAGGGAAATTGAGGCTGGAAAAGCTGATGGCTAGCCTGAAGTGACTCACCTGAGTCTCCTCCACTTGCTCCTGCCCTGGAGCTGATGTTCTTCTCTCCACCCTCCGCAAGCCCCCCAGCCCCACTGCGTCTGCCTGGCTGGCTGGGAGACTTGTGGCTGGCAGGTTCTGCCTGCAGTCTTAGGGCCAAGCCAGCAGGATGGTGTCCGTCTGCACGTGGTGTCTTAGCTCTTCACATCCATGCAAGCTGTTTGTACCCATCCATCGGCAAGGAGTGCTGGTACCACAGAAATAGATTTTCCATCCCATGTTGCCTCAGATGAAAAAATGGAGACCCAGACAGCATAAGCCTCCTCCTCCAGAGTCACACATGAATGAAGAGTTGAGGGTCAGGACCTCCAGAGTGAGTCCTGGAGTAAGAGGACTCAGCTCTGCATGCTTACCCTGGACAGCTTAGCTGCTAGCCTCCCTGCTACCAGTGAAGTCATGTCCCAGGCCAGGTTCTGGGACAGGTATAGGGGAATTGGAAGCAACTGAGATTTGGGGTTTTGATAATTTCCTAACGTAGCATCATCAAGAAAGCAGTGCTCAGCTGACCCCAGAGGAGAGTAGAAGGGAGCATAGGAGAGATGCTATTTGCCAGAGGAATGAACCACTGGAGGGAGAAGAGAGATTGAACAGAGGGAAATGGAGATGGATGGCAGGAAGTGGGAGGAAACCCTCATTTGCTGGTTGTCCAAATGTCATTTCCTTGAAACTATTTGACAGCCAATTTCCCCTTGAGATCTTTTCTAGGGAATGGCCTTCTATCATAAAGAGCTTGCTTTCTTCCTTTCTCTTTCTTTTCTTTTTTCTTTCTTTCTCCCCTTATTCATGCATTCCTCCCTTCCCCCTCCCTTTCTTCTTTTTTCTTTCCTACTTTCCTTTTCTTTCTTTTGTTCTCCCTTTCATTCTTCATTTCTTTCTCTTTCCTTTTCTTTCTTTTTGCTATTCCTTCTCTCTTCCTTTCTCCCTTCCTTTTCTCCTTCCTTCCCACCTTTCTCTCTTTCTTCCACCTAAGTGGCTCTGTGGCTCTTTAGAAAGTAGACTGGGGGTGGACAGCAGCTGCCTTGGAAGCTGGGGCTGCAGAGAAAATGCTGCTTTCTTGTCCCAGTGCTACAGAAAGGGCCAGAATGTAGGACTCCTGGCTGACCAGGTTTGGGAGCAGGACGTCAGAGCCAGAGCATCCCATCTCCCAGCCACGCACCTATAGTCATTTGCACTGCAGCCTGCCCTTTCAGTCATGTCTTCTCCCACTTTCAAGGTGAGAGACAGCGTGAAGGGTGGTAAAGCAGCCAGCAGGGAAGGATTTTGGACTGAATGCCCTTGTCAATTAAATGGGAATAGCAGCTTCCTGCCAGCTTCCTAGGGCTGCTGTGAAGCCTTTGTGTTTGGCAAACTACCAAGAGCCAATCTTTGGTACTTTGGAACTATTGATATTTGTCGAGACCACCCCATCCTATGGCTGGGGGAAAGTCAGCTGTCCCCCTTGTCCCAGAGCCACAGAAATACATGGTGGCTTCAGGACTTGTGTCACCCCTGAAGGGCAAGCACTGCTGCAATGCAAGACTGTATCAGCAGCCTGTCCACTTTCCTCTCCCGGAGCTTCCCGCCACAGCCAGGCCCGGCACTGTCTCCTGAACCTCAGCAGGACTGATTCTTAGGTTGCTCTCATGAACTCCTCAGAACTGAAAAATCTAACCCAGAAACTGACAAACATTTATCCACAGTGAATTCTGGCTTCCCAAGTGCCCTCTCTACCTCCCTAAAGTCACAATCCCTCAGCTGAGGACCCTTCTAGAATGAAAGTTTCCAACCTTCATCGGAAAAAGAGAATCACGAAAAGGATGATGTGTCAGCTGGTGCACAAGCATCACAGCAAGCCCACTTCCTATCCTGGCCCTGTGTGACTTCAGAGTAAACGAGGCAGAGAATTACCTAGAAACAGGAAGTGAGAACCTACACTGTCTGTAGTCATCTATTAGTACAATAGACATTTTTGGTGCCTGCTGCATGCCTGGCCTGTGCTTGCCCACACTTCGTTGAATTACATGGCCTCCCTCCTCACAGACTGCCAGGGACACACACATCAAGGGGCAGTGAGTAGGACAATGAAGAAATGTTCCAGTGCCCCAAAGGCCCAGAGTGGCTTGGCTTCAGAAGTCACTTGAAGGAAATCAGAAACCTGGAGTAGAGAAGAGATTGGGAATTAGAAGAAATCAGGTCCTAGATACAGCCAGAGAGACAGACTCCTCTATTCCACTTACATGATTTAAGGTTGTGCTTTGTCTTGGTTCTCTATGTTGGTTTGCCCAGTGCCAACTGGGAGGTCCAAGGTGATGCTTGGATGCTCTGTATGGAGGCCAGGATGGGCAGAGATGGGGGAGGCCCAGAGCAGGAGAGTAAGTGGGGAGAGGACACCTTCCTAAGGTTGCCCCATGTGAAGGAAGGAAAGGCATTGGTGACTCCAACTACAACCAGCAATACTCACTCATTTCTGTGGCTGCCGTGAGCCCCAGGCCGGGGTCCTCCAGCCAGCAGGCAAGTCCCCTTTCCATTGGCTGCTGCTGGGCACTTCTCCCTGGGGGAAGGAAGAGTCTCACAGCCCTCACGAGTGCAGTGTGGTGAGTAAGAGCATTAGCTGTGTAACCGAACTGCTTGGGCTAAAATCCCAGCTCTTCCTCCTGATAGCTCCATGACCCTGGGTAGGGTACCTAAACTTTTTGTGCCTCAGTTTTCTCATCTGTAAAATGAAGTTAATAATGGTGCCTTACTCGGCCGGGCACGGTGGCTCATGCCTGAAATTCCAGCACTTTGGGAGGCCGAGGCAGGTGGATCACGAGGTCAGGAGATTGAGACCATCCTGGCTAACATAGTGAAACCCCGTCTCTACTAAAAATACAAAAAATTAGCCGGCCATGGTGGTGGGCGCCTGTAGTCCCAGCTACTCGGGAGGCTGAGGCAGGAGAATGGCGTGAACCCGGGAGGCGGAGCCTGCAGTGAGCTGAGATCGCGCCACTGCACTCCAGCCTGGGCGACAGAGGGAGACTCCGTCTCAAAAATAATAATAATAATAATAATAATAGTGCCTTACTCATAGTGTTGGTATAAGGATCAGTTAGGTGATTATGCATAAAATGCCTAGAGCATTGCTTAGAATATATAGAATATAGAATATAGCTAGAGAAGGGGTAGAGTGGTCATTGTTGAGTGGCTGGTGAAGCAGGGAGGGGACTGCATTTGTTGTTCAGTCAGTGCCACCTCAGATGTCATTAAAGGGGGACTCCAGAGTGACTGTGCTAATGCCTCCTCAGTCAGGGAATTGTGGTGGGGGGTGGGGGACGGGGAGTGGGGTGGCATATGACCAAGGCTGGTTCCACTCAGGAAAGCCCTTTCTGAATC
This sequence comes from Homo sapiens, assembly GCF_000001405.40. NCBI lineage: Eukaryota > Metazoa > Chordata > Mammalia > Primates > Hominidae > Homo > Homo sapiens. Next base: position 109,904,885 of record NC_000001.11, on the reverse strand, counting down.
CTGTCATGGGGAGAACCCCTGCTCCAGGGGCCAGGAGGATGTGGGGCAGGGGCTTAATTCTGGAGCCCAGAGGAGTGGGCAGGGCTTGTGCTCCCACCTCTTAGTCCAGAACTCTCTCGGAGTCACTGACAGGAGCAGGAATACAGTGTTCCTCCAGGAGCTCCTCCCTTCCCCTAACCACAATTGGCCACATAACCCACAACCGCCAATTGGTCCATTCACTAGAAAGCCTGTTTGTTGGAGCCCAGGCAGAGCGCTCTGCCCCTCCTGCTCCCTGCCAGCTCCCAGTGCTGGGCTGCGAGTCCCCAGAGCAGCTGGTCACTTGGCCTGGAGCAGCCTCCTCTTCTGTCCTCCATGGGCAGGCTTCTGGGGCAGAGTCCAGGCAGGGCCGTCCATGGCTTGGCACCAGGGTGCTCTCTGGGGCTGTTAGGTGAGAATTCTCCCTGTCAGTGTCCAGCTGTTTGCTAGAAGCGATGATCCAGTCCTTGCCAAGGTGTAGAAGGAATGCAGGATTTGGCTTCAGCTCAGATCTTTTTTGGATATACCATTTACCAACAGGGACCTTTGGCAAGTTGTTTGAATCCTCCAAGCCTCAGTTCTCTTCTCTGTAAAATGGGAATTATCATAATTTTGGCCTCCCATGAGTAGTGACAGAATCAAATTAGAAATTTACTGGAAAATGCTCTGTAATCTTAGAAGACTCATGTGATGTTGGCTATCATTAGTAAAGGACTTTGGGGTTGAAATCAGATCTACATTCAGATCTCAGATCCGCTACTTTCTAGCTTTGTGACCTGGGGCAGTGTGGAAGTTTTATGATCCTCAATTTCCTCATCTACTAAGTGGAAGTCATACTACCTGTCTCAGAGTGTTACAAGAAGTCAACATAGTATATAACCAGGCCCATGTTGCAGAGTGGGTGCCCAGTGACTACTAGCTACAATTATTCATAGAAGTAATAGGAACGATATGACCAGAAGGAGCTCACCATAGAAAGCAAACCAGGTTCACATGCATCTTATTTTCCACAGCTATAGCCCCCCATGCTGTACTCACTCAATAAATATTTGCTGATTGATTGAGGATAATTGATCCTGGACTCCTGTGCCAACATTCCTTGAAAAGCTGGGAACTGCCTGGCCCTGGGCCTTTCCTAACAGAGATGGAACAGCCTGGCATAGAGTCTCTCTCCCCTTCTTTCACCCCTGATTAGGTCAGATATTTGCTTCCCTTAAAGCTCATAAAGTGCTATTTCATTAAATTGTGTCTTCAGTTATGCAAAAACAGGGTCATGCCAAGGCTATTTTACTGCAAAGAAAGCAGAGAACCATAGAAGATATATTTTTAGAACATGACAATAGAAGTCATACTCCAGTTCTGCCTTGAATTAAAAGAAAATCATTGAGCACACGCCTAATTCTTTAAGCCAGCTTAAAAGAAGAATCTTCCTAGAGCTGAGTTTGGAGGAAACCAGACTATGGGTTCATGTCTTCTTGGACACTCCATGCCCCTAAGCAATTTCACCCCTTTTTGCAGGTGGGAGCCAGGACTCAAGAGGAAAATTGAGCGTATGCCTCTGGAATCACTAGCACTTCTCCCTACATTCCTTAATTTGCTTACTTAATGAACATCTATTGAGCACCTACCTAGGCACTAGGGCTAAAGTTATTAACTAGGACCATGTTTTACTCCCAGGAAGCTCACAGTCTCATGGGAGGAGGAGACCCTTGAGCTGCATTGAGAGCAAAAGTGCACGTGGCACAGAAGTAGGGAAGGAGCATTCATTCCAGAGAGAGGGAACAGCATGCACAAACTCAGGAGAGGCGAGGGCAGTGTAGTGGGTTCTGGGTAGTATAATTACTCAGGAATGATTGGAGCTGGGGAGGAAGACTAGAGGAAGTGAGAGACAGGCCAGACCAATCCCATTCATTGGGCATCTGTAGGTCATACACGTGACATTTGACTTTACATTGAGAACCACTGAGGATGCTAGGAGATGACAGGATTGGATCCATCCATTCAATGAATGTTTTCCAAGCATAGGGCACTGTCTGATGGGGTCCGTGAAGAGGCACATCTGGTGCTGCCTGGACTTGTCCTTAGGAAATGCAGCATCTCATTAGGAAGTGAGGGCTTGGGGGAGTGCCAGACACTTATACAGGTTTACCAGCGAAAGGGAAGGAGCCCACAGAGGGAGAAGCTAAGCAGATGGAGAGACAAGGCCACTGAAGGAGCAGGGTCCTGGGGATAGGCAGGGGTGAGATCAAGGATATGAGGAGAGGGTCTGTGGGGTCAGAGAAATGGATATTTTGCCTTTGAGGTCCAAGATGTGGGTTTGGCAGAAGGAACAGAGCTCAGGAGACTAAGTGCTGCAGAGGGAGAAATTTGGGTAATCAGTGGTGGATCCGGTGAAGAGCGAAGGCGGGACCAGGAAACAGTCATTGTCTCATTCAACAAACAAGACAAATGCTCACGGATCACCACATGGGGACCAGGGACAATTAGGAACCAGATTGCCATGGTTCCCACCCCCAGGAGCTCAAGGTCTCCTGCCATCCCTGCTTGCCCCTCCCATGTCTTCTTGTTGGAATCTCCTTGTACTCATCTTTAGGGCCCGTCTGAAATGTCCCCTCCTCGGGAAACATTCCCCCTTACTCTCAACAGGAATGCTTCCTCTCTCCTCTGGCCCCATGGTTCTTGGTCTCTGTGTCTCTCTTGTGTTTATGTACATTTCTTACCCTTCTTCTTACTGAACTATGAGAGTAGAGATAGCTTTTATCTCCCATGGAACCCATATATACTAGGTGCTCAATAAAGCTTTGTTGAATGGATGAATGCATGAGTGAATGAATGGATTTTACGAATCCAGATCATTCTCTCTGCTGGAAGTAACCTTTTCCCTCCCCTATTTCTAAGCTAAGCTCCACCCTTTCATCCCACTGTGGCCTGTCCCAGTGCTGACTGCTGTGTCACATGCTTGTCATGGGCCCTCTGCACTTGGGTGAGGTCATGGGTTCTGGCAGGATGCCATAGCTGCAGGTCAGAACTCACTCTGTCAATTTAACCCAGGTACTAGCAGAACTCGGGGTGCTTGTCTAGGCTCTCCAAAGGCTGCAGAGACCTGCATGCATACAGGATGCTGGGGCACCTGTCAGGCCTTCCTCGCTCTTGGTCTGACCTTGCTCTGCTCTAGCCCTCATGTGGCATAGCAGTCCTACCAGTGGGCATTGTCCTCCCTGCTGTGGCCTCACCTAGTGCTGACAGTGGCTCCACACACCCACAGAGTAAATGCTAGCACCCTTGACTGATGCCAGGGCCTTCTTCGTGTTGGTCCCCACCTTCTGCTTCCATCTTGTTTTCCATTATGCACCCCTACACCTGACAAAAATTCAATAGCCATGCCCTGGATAAATCTTTATTGAATGTTTTCTGTGTGCCTGGCTTAAGGTTACGTGCTGGGATTTCCAAAGTAGAAGACAGTCTACTGTCAGTGAGCTCACAGTCCAGTGGGCTGTAGGGGTGGGGCTGGAAGCAGGCAGTGACAGCACCCCATAGTTAGTGCTATCGGGGAGGAAGCCCAGGTTGCTCTGGGAGCCTTAAGGAGAAAGTCCAGGGTCAGGCTCAGTTTTCAGGGATGATGACAGGTGAGCCAAGACAAGGACAGAAGGGAGGGGCAGGGAAGGGGATCCCAGGCAGAGGGAGCAGCAAAGGCAAAGTGGGGAGGGGAGTCTGGCTTGGTGTGGTGAGTGTGAGTGGCAGAGGGTTGGAGGGGAAGAAGTCTGGCAAGGCTGGCAGAGGCAAAGCCACAGAAGGTGTCACTATGCCTCCATCCCCACCTGTGGAAATAAACCCCCTCAAGGCCCTCTCGGCTGCTCTCTTCACCAACGAGAGTTCTGTTTCCCTGACCCACATGGTCTCATCTTCCTCAGAATCTCAGTGGCACTTTACATCCCTCTCCTAACCCTTTTCCCTGTGCCAGCTTATTTGCAGCTTCCGTCTGTGCCTGCCCTACACACCTGTACCTGCCTAGAGTAGGGACATGGAGTTTCAATACCCTGCACAAATACTGAGTGAGGATCTAGGTCTTGGTACCGGAGCACAGTGGAGAGTGAGACAGGCGAATTGAAATACCTCAGTCCCCACCCAAATGACCCTGTCCCTCTTTCAGGCTCCCCAGTGAATCATCTGGAGATTGCTCCATAAGCAAGGAATCTATTCAAGAGGAGGACCATCATGTCATGCCCCTTATTGTGTGACTTTTGGCAAACTGTAGAACCTCTCTGATGGGGATAGAAGTAACTCCTCCCTCAGGGCCTTGTCATGAGCAAATGTGATGGCAAATGTGAAGTCTTGGTAAACTTTAGAGCAGCCTCCAAAGTCCAGAAGATTAGGAGTAGGGAAGCCTTTCCACTGCTCCTCACCAGCATACACTTTCCAGGACATGCCTCCACGGCGGAGCGTCTCAGACCAGGCCTCTGCACCAGGATGGGGCTGACCTGTTCAGCGCTCACTACACCTTCCAGCAGCTTGTCCCATCCTCCCATCCTCCTCGACACCTGCCCCCTTTTTTTTTTTTCATTTCTTATAAGTAAGAAGAAGCTTCTAGCACTTCTAGGCGGCCTCATGAGTAAAGCTGTGATTTTCAAGGCTGCAATTTTTCTTCTGATTCTAGAGGATTTACTTCTTGTCGTGTGTGTGTGTGTGTGTGTGTGTGTGTGTGTGTGTGTGTTTTAACCTCTGAGTTGGACTGCATCCAAATTTCAACATCAGAAGAATGGGAAGTTCTTGAACATGTTTAAACTGTGAAGCCCATAGAAGCCAGATCATTCTTTTGTGGAACTACAAAAAAAAAATTTCTTTTTTTTGAGATGGAGTTTCGCATGCAGTGGCACGATCTCAGCTCACTGCAACCTCCGCCTCTTGGGTTCAAGCAATTCTCCTGCCTCAGCCTCCTGAATTGCTGGGACTACAGGCTTTAGCCACCACGCCCAGCTAATTTTTGTACCTTTAGTAGAGATGGGGTTTCACAATGTTGGCCAGGCTGGTCTTGAACTCCTGACCTCAGGTGATCCACCTGCCTCGGACTCCCAAAGCGCTGGGTTTACAGGCATGAGCCACCTCACCCGTCATCTTTTTAAATAACAGTGTATTCAACCTTAAATTAACCTAAATTGTGTTAAATCAGAGACTACTGGATCCTTGTTCTTGCTATGGTTTTAACACATCCCCCAAAAGTTCATGTGTTGGAAACTTAATCCCCAATATGACCATGCTGGGAGGTGGGGCCTACTAAAAAGTGATTGGGCCATGATGGGAAGTCCTCATGGATGGATTAATGTTATCATGAAAGTGTGCTGTTATCCATTGAGTCTGGCCCCTGATGCTTCTCTCTCTGTGTCTCACATGCTTGCTTGCCCTTCTACTCTGTTATAACGCAGCAAGAAGGCCCTCACCAGATGCCATGCAGATGCTGGGGCCATGCCCTTGGACTTCCCTGCTTCCAGAACTGGGGAAATAAATTTATTTTCTTTATAAATTACCCAGTCTCGAGTATTCTGTTATAGCAGCAGAAAACAGACTAAGACAATTCTCATGTAGACAACTCATAGCAGGGGTCAAAGTTTAAGGAAAATGTTGAGACCTCAAGTCCTAAGTGGGGAATATTCTACACTCAATCTTCAGATTGGGAAGGTTGGGGGTGTTTATGTATGTTTATGGGTAGGACTCCGGCTCTAGGAAACAGAATTTGAGAGCTCTGGGTCCCAGAATCAGGCCAAGCCTCAAAAACAATAGCCCTGGGTCATCAGGGCTCTGCTGGACTTCCAGCTCTCCTTCCTGCTGTGCTGCTCCCATGATGACGTTGGCCAGCCTATCCCTCCCACCCCACCCACCACCTCCTGATCATTCTTAGAAAGGGAATGAAGCAGGTAACATTCTTAGAAAGGGAATGATTAGTAACATGGGCTGGAGCAAGACTGCCTGGATTCAACTCCAGCCTCTGTACTTACTAGCTATGCAACCTTGGACAAGCCTTCTGTGCCTCTGTGCTTCAGTTGCCTTATCTGTAAAATGGAGATAGTAACAGCACTGACCTTAATTGTACTGATGAGGATTAACTGAGTTACTACAGGGGTCTACAGATCTTTTCTGTAAAGGGCCAGATAGTAAATATTTTTAGAATCTGCCATTATTCATCCCATGTCTGACAAAAATCGGATAGCCATCCACGGGATAAATCTTTTTTTTTTTTAAGACAAAGTCTTGATCTCTTGCTCTGTCACCCAGGCTGGAGCATAGTGGCACGATCTTGGCTCACTGCAACCTCCGCCTCCCAGGTTCAAGTGATTCTCCCACCTCAGCCTCCCAGGTAGCTGGGACTACAGGCGCCCACCATCATGCCCGGCTAATTTTTGTATTTTTAGTAGAGATGGGGTTTCACCATTTTGGCCAGGCTGGTCTTGAACTCCTGACCTCAAGTGATCCACCCAACTCGACCTCCCAAAATGCTGGGATTACAGGTGTGAGCCACTGTGCCCGGCTGATAAATCTTTACTTAATATTTACTATGTGCCTGGCTCAAGGTTAAGTGCTGGGATTTCCAAAGTAGAAGATAGTCTACTGTCAATGAGCTCACAGTCCAGCAGAGCTGGAAGGGGTGAGTGAGCCTGGTAAGCAGCCAGTGATGGCATCCCATAGTTAGTGCTGCGGAGAAAGAAGCCCAGGTTGCTCTGGGAGCCTCCAAGAGAAGGTCCAGGATCAGGTGCAGCTTTCAGGCCGATGACAGGTGAGCCAAGGAAAAGAGAGAAGGGTGGGGCAGGGAAGGGGGTCCCAGGCAGAGGGAGCAGCAAAAGCAAAGTGGAGAGGGGAGACTGGCTCGGTGTGGTAAGTGTGAGTGGCAGAGTGTTGGAGGGGTAAGGAAAAGCTTCTAGCACTTCTAGGAGGCCTCAGGCTCTGTCACAACTACTCCACTCTGCCATTGTATCATGAAAGCGGCCATAGACAATATGTACATGATAGGCATGTGTTCCAATAAAATGTATTTATAAAAACAAGCAGGGAGCTGGATTTGCCCAGAGGCCTATAGCTCACTGGCCCATGAGTTAATATGTGAAATAAGTACTTGTCATGTAGTAACACTCAACCAATGTTAGCAATTATTATTCATCATGAATCAACTAAATATTTGAGCACCTACTCTGTGCCAGGCCCTGTTCTGAGTGCTGGGGATATAGCCATGAACAACACAGACAAGGTTCCTGCTCTCGGGGAGCTTCCATTCTAGATGGCAGAGACAAAAATAAACAAGGAAACGAGAGAAAATACCAGTTCGTGGTAAGTGCTGTCTTAAAACTAAAGCAGGGACTGTGATAGTGATGTCAGGGTGGAATACGTCACTGCGGTGGCCAGCAAAGGCCTCTTGGAGGATGTAACGTTTAAGCCAAGACTAGCATGATGAGAAGGAGCCAGCTCTGTGGCAACTGCAAGAACAGAAATCCAGGCAGGAAAAAGCAGCTCAGGCTCTTGCTTCTGCTTTTGCCCTTAGCCCAGCTGCAAACCAGAGGCAAGGGTCTGCAATGCTGGGAGGGCCAGGAGGGGAGGGGGACAGCAAAGAGAGGACAGAAAGGAACATCTCTTTGGATCTTGCAACTCTGGGTGCTGCAGAGGCTGTGGGAGGGGGTGTTTCTCCTCATCCTCTTGATCCTTAGCCCATCTCCCAGGATACAATCCTTTTCTTAACATCCCGGCCCTCAACCCAACACCCCTCTCTCCTTTCTCCTCCATTCCCCTCACCGATTGGCTGAAAGCCCTCAGCCTAGGCATGGCAACATCTCTGCTTCGCACATCTGTCTCTGAGTCCCAGGCTTGCTTGAGCCAGTTTACCCATTACTTAAAGCCGGTGGTGCCACCCAGCTGGTGAGTAGGACGATCTGTAGCTGCTTCCTCCTGTACAACGGGTGTTTGGAATTCCATACACAGAGAAAGAGGTGGGTTTCACTGGAGCCACTCCCGGACACAGGTTTGCTTCCGTTGTTCTCCAGTTCAATGTTTCCTAAGCTCTTTTCCGATTGAGAAAGCTTCTCTGTGCATGTAGTTTCTGGCCCCTGCAGATGCTGCAAGCCCCCTCTCTTTCCCGCTCTCCACCCACAATGTGCAGCCTTCTCTTATTAGTTGAACATTCTGGCTCACACAGAATTCTAGAGGATGGCCTAGCCTAGGAACCAGACTACACAGGTGATGTTGCTCCTCTACAGAGAACAAATCCTCAACTCCAACAGCTTCTGGAGCTGGAGCCAGCCTGCTGAGGTTCCTACCACGTTGGTTTCTCACTTGCAGCTTCTACACCTGAGGGACATGTTTCCTGACCTGGTCCCAGCCTCTAGTTATGCCCTTCTGGGTAGCGCTCTGTCCCTCCTTCAATTCTCACTTCCTTTAGACACCTTCCCAGACTGTGTCCCCAACTCGGATGCCCCCTGGTTCCAGCATGTCCCTCAGGATGCGAGCCTCAGCCCTGGTTCCAGGATCTCCCTCCGGATGCGAGCCTCAGAACCAGCTCTGACTGGTGTGTCCTTCTCACCCCAACGTGCCAGGCATAGGGGTCTGAAATGGCACCTCCTCTCTCTGTGTCCCTCACATCTCGGCTGGCTGTGAGAGGGTTTCCAGGGCTACCAGACTCACCAGCGACTGGTGCTGTCAGGCTGGCTGTCATGTGGCATGGTGGATCCCACAGGCGGGTGGGCAGCATGGGGTGGGGTCGGTGTGTCCTCCAGCCCATTTGGGAGGCCTCCACCGCCCCAACTCTTTGTTGTGCCGCGTTGCTATTTTGGTACCCAGGAAGCTGGCCGGAAAAGGGAAAGTCTGACCCCTCTTCCTGTCAACAATGACTTTCTGCTTAGAGCTGACCCTTCTGGGGTGAGTCACCAGGAAGGGCAATCTGCCTCTGCCGAGGGGAGGAGGAACACCAGGAGGGGAGGCTCACTGTCCAGGGTCACCGAGGCTTGTGGCTAGACCAGGGTCTTCCTGCTGAAGAAGGGGCTCAGAATAGTCTGCCTGCTGACCCCCAAAAGTGGAGGTGGCCTCCAAATCCCTCCCCTAACTCCTCCCTGTCCTGCAGTTTCACCTGCAGGTCACACCAGATTGATGTCCTTAAACACAGCTGTGACCATGTCACATCTTGATTATAATCTTCAGAGGCTCTTTGTTGCCTCCAGAATGAAGTCCAAATGCCCTCACTTGGCCCCAACCTCCTCTTCGACCTCCTCACCCCCTGCTCCTTCATGCCTTCTGCTCCACCAGGCTGGCCTCTTTTGCTCCTGCATGTGACACAGCACACACAGCCGTCTCCACACTTCTGCCTTCGCCATGCCCTTCTCCATCATCCCCCTCCTTGGAATGCCTTTTCCTTTCCAGATGCACCATTCCCATTTCCAATCCCACATCACCCTTCCATCTATCCAAAAAATATTTAATGAGCACCTTCTGTGTGCCGAGTCCAGTGCTATGAGCTGAAGTTTCCACCTCCAATGAGCTAGACAAGCACTCATGGGCCTGTCAGGCTTGCAGAAGGTACAGAGACATACTCAGGCACTTGCAATGTAGCACCTGGGAGGGACACCTCACCCACCTCGAGATCACAGAAGGTGGCTGGTGGAGGTCACACCCCTGCTGATTTCCTGGGGAGTGAGTAGGAGGTAGGTGGGTAAGGGAATAAGGGCTGGAAGCTGGCAGCAAAAATGTGTGGACCAGAGGAACCAGAAAGTAGGAAGACCTCAGTCAAGAGTCAGTGCATTCTAGGAACTGAAAGCTGGTCATAAAATTTGGAGTAGAAGGTGTGAGGTGGGTGGTGAGAAGAGGCGGGGAGTGGCCCAGTGGTCCCTCACAGTTTGGTCTTTATCGTAAGAGCCAGGAGAAGCCAGTGAATGGTTTATAGCAGAGGTTCACAGTGTGCAAATTTGCATCTTGGAAAGTCCAGAGTGACTGGAGTGGGGACCACAGATTGGAGGAGGGTGAGCTGCAGGTGGGGAGACTTTACATGGGAACGGTTTATACAGTCTGGGCCAAGGTCATGGTGGCGTGAGTCGTGTTCCCCCTTAGCCTCCAGCCACATTCGCCTTCTTTACATCTCATTTCCCACCTGGGGCCATTGCACTTGCTCTTTCCTCTGCCTGAAACACTGTGTCCCCTGACACTCACATGGCTTGTGCATCCAAATAATCCAAGTTTCTGTCTAGAGTGGACCCTGACCGCCATCACTCTCAATGTGCTTCCCTTGCTTTAATTTTCATCTTGGCATTTATCACTCCCCGACTGATATGTTGTAGGTTGTGCATGTGTTTCTCTATCTCCATCACTAGAATGAGACCTCCCTCAGGGGAGGGGTTTAGTCTGCCTGCTTTGCCTTCACTTTGGAGGTACCTGAGGCATGCCCAGTGTGGACATCTAGTAGACACTGGTGATGGGATGCAACCGGGAGCATCTGACTCACCAGGAAGCACCATAGCTGCACTTGTGGCAGGGAACGGGATGGTGGGGGTGACAGCAGAACTTCAGTCAGAGTGGGAAGAGAAGGGGCCTGGAAGAGAACCCGAGGTCTGCAACACCTCTGCCTCAGGTAGAGGAGAGGAACCCTCAGAGGAGGAAAGAAGGGATGGTCAGAGAGTGGACCTTATACAAGTGCTGCGCTTTGTGCCTCAGATGGGTGCTTTAGGTTGTGTGGTGCAGCACCGAGGTACCAGGGAGTGGAGATTCCTGACAGGAGGAGCGGACCAAGAACATTGCAAGCCTCAGAGAGCTGGAGGCTGCCAAAGCCCCCTGGGGTAGGCCACTGCAGCTTCCAGAGTGTGCAGACAGACTCCAGGCACAGTGGGGAGGAAAAGAGGAGTTTGGCTGAGGAGAGATGGAAGACGGGGAGCGCTGTGGTGAATAATGACCACAGCCTCTTTAACTGCTCTGCTGGCCCCGCTTTGCCAGCAAATTCTCCATGCAGAGTAATATTTTAAAAGCATAAATCAGATCATGTCACTCCCTTGTTCAAAACCATTACTTAGAATAAAATGCAAACTCCCTAAAGTGACAAACAAGGCCCTAGGGGACCTGGCCTTACCTTGTCCTCTGACTTCTTCTCCCCGGAACTGTGTCCTGCTCACTCCACTACTACCCCTCGACTCCTTGCTGGTCCCTAAGCAAGCTGCTCCCTGCCTCAGAGCACTGGCTGGTGCTGCTCACTCTTCCTGGAAGGCCCTCCTGGATATTGTCACCTGGCCCTCCCCTTCACCACATTCAAGCCTCTGTTCAAATGTCACCTCCTCAGAGAGGCTCTTGCTGAGCATCCTAAGATAGAACTCTCCACCCTTTGTCACTTTTCCTTATTTTTTGCGTGGAAGGCAATTATATTTATTATGTATTACATGTTTGTGTATTTGCTGGCTTCCTTCTTGTTCATCTTCCCCACTAAAGTGTGAGCTCCAGGAGGACAGGGGTTTTGTCTGCTTTGTTCACTCTACATTCTTAGCCCACAGAACAGCCCACAGAACAGCACATAGCACACACTGAGCACACAATAAATGTGCTGAATGGATGTTCGACTAATGAACAACAATCTCTAAAGCGAATTCGCAAGGAGTCTGACATGCAATGGCTCAGCACAACAGCTTTGCAAAGGGGCATCCCCATTTTACAGAGGAGCAAGCCTGGACTTGGAGTAGCTGAGTAACTTGGCCACAGGCAGAGCCCGAGCTTACTGGATTGTAGGCCGTGACCACAGACCAGCTCTTCTTACCCAACTGGGGGACCCTTTCAGAGAGGAACAATCTAGGCCCTCCCTCCACCTTCTCCTAGTTTCAGTAGGGAGATGAGAAGACAATGTGGGGAATAAAGAAGTCCAGCGAGGAGCGCTGGGAGGAGAGGAGGAGGAGGAGCCCCAAGGAGCCGGCTGCTGGAGGAGAGGGCGTCTGTCTTGGCTCCTTGCCGAGGCCTGAGGAGAGAGGCTGTCCTTTGAGTAAGAATTACATGCCCTACATCCCAAGCTAAAGGGCACCTTGGATCCCAAAGCCCACTTCTACCTTCAGGGGATGAGCAGAGATTTGCCTCAGGATGGGAGGGCCCTTCCTAAGGAAGCCCTGACCCTCTGGAAACTTCTCCCTCTCCACCTCCCCACCACCCACTGCAAGCTGCTGGGAATTCCCCACTTCCTGGTAGGAACTATAGAGCCCCAGGGGGAGTTTCCTCAGCCCTGGAATTCAGGACACTTTCCTGCTTTTATGATACTGTCTTCACCCTCTGCATACCAACCCCTCCCCAATACAAATTGGTGGCAAGTAGGTGGAGGAAGGAGGGTCCACTGGAGAACCCCCCCTTACCACCCAGCCCAGGAGCAAACAATTTCTCCCCAGGGCTCAGAAGCTGCCTGTGAGCTTCTTGTTTGGGGCTCACACTGAGTTCCCCCTGTCCTTTATTTGAGATGAGTGACTCGTGACACCACAACTGCTGAATCTACAGCCTCCAAAACCATGCTGGGGTCCAATCTCTAGCCCGGGCAGGAGGCATTCTGCTGGTGCATCTCAGTGTGCCCCCACGCTGTCCCGGTAAGTCACTCCAGCCTGGTCCCTGGAGTTCTTGGCCCTGTCTCTGCTTGCTGGAAGTGCCCCTTCCCTGTCCGTTTCCTGGCAGCGTGTAGGAAAGAATGATGGACAACAGGCCAAAGCTGGGAGGTCTTGTTCGGTCAGCCAGCCTCAGGGAGCCCAGCTGGGATGAGCATCAGCTTGCTGGCATCTGGGGTCTAGACAGCAGTCACATGAGTTGTGTGCACTTGTCTAGTCTGAGACACATCCCAGGCCAACTGTTTGCTCATGTGTCCCCAGAGCACCTGCTACTTCCGGGAAGCTCTCTTGTAACTCATTTCAGAAAACACCCAATCTGCCAAGGCTTCGCTACAAGGCACTGGAAGAGAGAAGAATAAAAGAATGGAGAAGACAGAGCTCCTGCCTTCCAGGAGTCTAGAGGCCCATCCTAACAATCATCACTGTGGTTTAAGATGTGCCAGCCTCTGGAATGAGGTGTGGGGACTCAGCGATAAGTAAAACATTTCTCTGAACTTCAGAAATTTAGATTGTAGCTGGGGAGAGAGACATATAAACTGGTAATTCTACTACATGGTGGAATTACCTGAAAAGCCAGGCAGCTCCTCCCTCCAGCCTCAGCTGAGATGTCATCTTCCCACAGGAAGTCTTCCCTGACCCTCGTCTGGGTAGACGTCCTTCAAGCATCACAGCATATACCACTAAGCTGTGCCATTGCCTGGCAGCCTAGCAGAAACTCCCATTCCCCCATCACCAAAACATGAACACTCTGAAGGCAGGGACTGGCCTTCTGTCTTTGTGTCCTCAGCGTCTCACACAACTAAACATATTTATAGATAAGTGTTACATGAACGATTTCTAAACAGTTGACTGCAATACAAGGCTGACAATATATGCTAAATAGAGATTTGACAACATGCTGGCTTTGTTGTAGAGAAAGGGCTGATTAATTTTGAACTATGAGGATAAAAAAGGCACCAAAGAGAAGGTGTGATTGCGGCTAAGCCCTATGGGATGCACAGGCTCTTGCCAGCCAGAGAAACAGGAGGAGAGCATGAGTCAGGAAAGTACATGCTTTGTTACAGCTAACATACAAAAGCCCACAGGGACTGGCGCATAGGACATGGAGGGAGGAGATGTAGGTGGTCAGGCGAGGAGGAGTCTTGGTATCGTGCTAAGCAAGGAGTGTCGTCTTTGTTCTGTAGACACAGAGACCCTCTGAGAAGTTTCCATGACAGGAGTCATCTAAACTGACCCGCATTTTGCAGAGGCTCTGCTGACGGCTGTGGGAAGGGTGTATTTTGGAGAGTTTATTTCTAGGAGTGTCCTCTCTTTGTCCTCTCTCCCCTGGAAGGGGGAGCTGGGGAAAGTTGGAGGGAAAGGGTGGAGCAGATAAATCAGTTAAGAAGCAATGTAATGTTAGGAGACTGGTGGCAATAACATGAATCAGAACAGGTACAGTGGGAATAAATAGAAAGAGGCAGAGTTGGTGACATGAGAGTGAGACTGAATTATCTACACAGAGTGGCTGGGAGGACATGAGAGAGGAGCAGGCTCCAGGAGTGGGGGAAGGGGAGGAGGCGTTCCATTCTGGGCTGCCATCAGCATGGGAGTAGAGGACGAATCTTAGATTTTCTCAATCCTGATTCATCTTGATAACAAGCTATGTGAGGACTTTGAGGAACCCATTTTGTTCAAAGCTTACACAAGTGACAAAATCTCTTCCTATTATGGAAACATCTCACAGAGCCCTCCCAGTTTTAACTACCACCATCCCACATACACCCACCACCATAGCAACCCACATGGTTGAGACACAGTGGGGTGTTGCCAGGAGAGGTAAGGTGTGGTGTGTACAGGGAGCCCCTGTCATCATCGGGATGACTTTATGTCCGTGAGAGTGGCAGCCCACACCCTAGCCTCTGAGCTGCTGGCTTTCCCCATCTCTGACAACCTTCTGTCCCACTGTGACTTGGCCACCCACTCCCATCACCACTCCCTAGACTTAGTCACCACCCAGAACTCCCTCACCTCTGAAATCACTAATCTTGATGGCCTTCTCTATACTCTCAGCTTCTCCACTCAATCACTTTGTCTACTCTTGACCTCTGACCCCATCAGGTACCCCGTCCATGGATCCCTCTGTTTTCTTTCAATCCAGCAGCCCCCTTTTTCCTGCATTCTCTTTTCTCACACCTGAGATGCACAGCTCAGAATTTTATTCATTCTCTCCTATAACATAAATTCCCCCTTGTTGCACCGCCTGCCAAAATTCCACCGGTGGATGAAGCAGCTGTCCTTTTCCTCTGAACTGCACTGGCATGACAGGTGATTCTGCAGGAGAAGGCCACAGTAGCAAGCTGGCCAGGTCCTCCAACACTGTGACCACCAAGCTTGGCTGGGTCCTCAGTGCTGCCTGCCATACATATTCTAGTCCTGGAAAAACCACCCTGGTAGACCGTATCCCTGTCCTCAAACTTTCCACATACTTACTTCCATCTGAATTCTCAGCAGATGTTATCTCCTACTCCTTTCAAAGATAAGACAGAAGCCAGCCAGGTGTGGTGGCTCATGCCTGTAATCCCAGCACTTTGGGAGGCTGAGGCAGGTGGATCACCTGAGGTCAAGAGTTCAAGACCAGCCTGACCAATATGGTGAAACCTTGTCTCTACTAAAAATACAAAAAAAAAATTATCTTGGGGTGGCGGCAGACGGCTGTAGTCCCAGCTACTTGGGGAGGCTGAGGCAGGAGAATCACTTGAACCCAGGAGGTGGAGGTTGTAGTCAGCCAAGATCGCGCCACTGCACTCCAGCCTGGGTGACAGAGGGAGACTCCATCTCAAAAAAAAAAAAAAGACAGAAGCCTTGAGGCAGTGAGTCTTCAGCCATCCTGCAGCTTCTCTTATCTACCGGCTGCACAGGTCCTCTCCACTTTGCCTCCTGGTTTAATGGAAGGCATACACTCTTCTATCTAATTTGCCCTCTTAGCTTCTGGATCCCAACCCTTGCTGCCATCTCAGGGACCTTGCCTATCCCCTCTTTTCCTTTATCTTCAGCTTCTCCCTCTTTACTCTCAGCTCCCCATCATTTAAACACATTCAAGTCTCTAATGTGAAATCGGGCCCTCCCTTGATTCTATCTCTTCCTCCAATGATTACCCTCTTCTTCCTAGGAAAACATCTCAAACACTTTCCATTTACGCCTCAACTCACTGTGATAGATTTTTCCTCCCTCACAAAATATAAATAAACTGCACCCAAACTACTAATGACCTTCTCCATACATTCAGTGAACAGTTTTAGCCCTCGCATGTTTGATTTTTCCACTGAGGGTCACTTCTTCTTTCTCCTACCCTTGGCTTCCATTACACTTTCCTGTTTGTCCTCCTCTACCCAAACCCTAAATATTGGACTTACTGTGACTGCCCTAGACCTGTCTCCTCTGTTTATTGCCCCTAAGCCACCCCCTGCACTCCTAATGCTTCAAGTGCTGCTCTAGGCTGGAAACTATGGAGGACACCTCTCTTCTAGACCCCTCCTGATCTTCAGATCCATGGGTTCAATTGCCTGTAGGGTTGACAGATTTAGCGAATAAAAACACAGGATGCCCAGTTAAATTTAATTTCAGATAAACAATGGATGCTTTTTTAGTATGAATATGCCCAATGCAATAGGACAGATTTATACTAAAACATTATTTGTCATTTATCTAAAATTCAGACGTAACTGGGCATCCGTATTTGATCTGGCAACCCTGCGTGACTTGACACCTTTATTCGAGACCCCCCCAACAGCAGCCCCACTCAGTATATCCACAGCTGACTTCCCAGGAAACAAACTCAACCATCCAGTGCGTTGTACAAATGAAAAACGGTAGGTTGACTTTGACTCCTCTGTTCTTCTTTAGCTCCCAAATCCTCTAAAATATCCCTAAAATCTGACCTCTTCTCTCCAGCAACAGCCATCATCCTAGTCAAGGCCACCCCATTTTTTACCTGCCACAGCAAGCTTGCTGGTCTCTAGTACGTGATTGCCACAAACAGCCCAATGGTCTTATTTAAATTCATATTTTATCATGGCTGTCACTGGTTTAAATTCTGAAATCCGAAACCCTTACCAGGGTCCCGACGCCCTGCCTTACCAGGGTCCCGACGCCCTGCCTAACGCGGCCCTTGCTCACCTCTCCCTCCTGTTTCTGGCCCATTCTTCCCCTTTCTCAATGCTCCACAGCCACATCGAGCTTCTTTCAGTTCCTCGAAAGTGCTGCTCTGGCCTTGGGTCTTCCCGCATGCTGGTCCCTCTGCCTGGAACAATCCTCTTCTCCTCTCCCTCTTTTCCTCTTAGCTAATGATAATCCTTTAGGTCTCAGGCCCTGTCCTTTGCTCTCCCTCCATCCTATTTTTCCCTTGTGGATCACTTGTCACCCTCTAATGGCCTGGCCAACGCCTGGTTCTCTGTTAGACTGTGAGCACCACAAAAGCAGGACTTTGTCTTCTCTATTGGATCCTGAGCCCCTGGCATAGTCCCTGGCACAGACAAGGAGCTCAATTAATGCTTCAAGGATAAATAAGGGAGTAGCTTTTCTCCCCATTCACCCTTGGATGTCCCCTCTTACCTTCCTGTGAGCTCTCAGTGCAGAGCATTCATCAAAACTGAACATTTTCAAATAGATTTAGAATTTACACACCACGATGTGCCTAAGTGGGGGTGTCAATCCTCCCGGCCCAACACCAATCACTCAGCCAGGGTTATCTGAATCCTGAACGTCAACAGGAATGAGCAGAAGGCAGAGTGGCCAGAGACAAGAGGGAGGGCTGGCAGCCTCCTGTGGGGAGATGGTGGGGCTGATGCTGGTGAGTGGAAGTGAAGGTACAGAAACCCAGGCAGCTTCATTTCCAGGCCTCGCTACTGAAGTGCGGCCTCCAGCAAGGCTGTCCCAAGTCCCACGGAAGACTCCTGAACAATGGGTGTGTTGAGCTTGGGGATTGTGGAGGGCATTCAGCAGGCTGTTACGAAGGAGGGCCTAGAATTGAAGGACGATCAGGCTGAAGGTGTAGATTTAGGATTCACTAACAAGCAAGTGACCATCAGAGCTGTGTGAGTGGTGAGCATCCCTAGGGAGATCATGGGGATGTCCAAGCAGAAGGTACTATTGATAAAACTTTGGGACACCTGATGTAAGGGGCTTAGGAAGAAGAGTAAACTAAACCAGAAATGGGGAAAGAGGAACTACAGCCCTCGAGGGAGAACCATGAAGGTGCAAAGGCCGGAAGCCAAGGGGGTAACTTTTAAAGAAGTGAAGCTTGAGCAACATGGTCAGCTGCCCCAGAGAGGGTGAACGCTGAGAAGTGGCTCCCAGGGTTGGAAAACAGGACGTCAGACATGATCTTTGAAAAGAAAAATTAGCTCATCTCTCCGGTCCCAGCTCCTTCTACCTTCCCTCTGATAGCCCCTCTGTGGGAAGGGGCAACACTTCCTCTCCCTGCCCATTTCTACAAGTGGAAGAACTGTTTCTGATTTGGGGAATGGTCAGAAAGAGAAACAAAGTAAATTCCATTCAAGCAAGGTCACGGCTTATATGTCCAGTTTCCAGAACCTGGGACTGTGATGAGGAAGGCAGGGGTCTGGTCCCCAACCTTCGCAGGCTTACAGGTTAATGGGGTCTCTAGCCATTGCTGCTGCTCAGTCCTGCCCTTTTCAGACCGGGGTTCTTCCTGGTTGACCCCCTGGGTCCTGAGAGGGCTCCTGCAGGCTACATCCTTCTCTGTGCCTTCTCTTGCCGTCACTCCTCTTCTGCCTGGAGTTTGCCTCCCACCTCTTGCTGCTCTGATCCCCAGATCCTGCCTGCAGAGACGGCCCCCAGTCTCCAATTCATTCCACCTCCCAGGACAAGCCTACAACATCCTTTACTGACATCTCCTTCAGGGAAACAAACAGCAAAACAAGCAGAACATGCCCACCCCAGATGGGGAGTTATGAAGCCTGACACCCATCCAAAGCTCCTGCAGCTAGATGTGGCTCTTGGCTCTGATCCTGACCCCTCCTGGGGGCCTCAATGGATTCTGACCCATGGATTTGTTCCTGAGGGTAAGGCCCCCTTCTTTTCTCCACCATAACGCAAGTGGCCCCCTCACCTCCAGCAGGTGAGGTATTTTCCCATAGGAGGTATTTTCTCCTAAAAGGAAGCAGGACAGATTAATCTTTTATAATAATATTTTGTAAATATCACTTTATTATAACACTTTCATGCTCAAAGCCTGTGGCCTGGAAGCTGGGGGAGGTGGCAGGGGGCTTCTTCACTGGTGCTTCAGTCCCTCAGGGTAGGCTCAGGGGGGAAAGTGCTTTCCTTTGGGAGGAGAGTCCACCTGTTTCTCTGCCTCAGTGCTCCCAGGACACCCTCCTGGGCTCCCAGCACAGGAGCAATGAGAGTTTGGACAGGGAGGAGAGAGTGTCAGGAAGTAAAGAATGAGCTTAGAAGACCTTTCTGTCCTGCTGTGGCTCCTGCGTGGCCAACTCCAGATTGCACAAGATTAGGTATCAACTCAGCAGCTGAGTGCTCAAGGCCCTTCTGAATGTCTGGCCCCAATCCATTGCCCAGGGTTCAGGAGGCTTGAGTTCCAACACTCCTGCCAATAACTTCCATGTACCTCGGGCAAGTTCTTTTTTCTCTAGCGTTAGACTCCTTAAGATTACATGGCCCATTCCCACTTTGTCATCCTACAACTCGATGAGTTTGCCTTTCTCCTTTCCTTCATGGCACAAATGTCCTGCTCCAGCCTGATCCATTTTCCTATGCCTTCTAAACACTCTAGACCACCAGGACAGATAGGCTGATTCTCACTCATCAGTTTTGATTGATTGGTGATGGCTGCAGTAAGTTAGAGGGAAACAGTACATCGACAATGTCTGTCAAGGACAGGAGATAGAAGGGGGCTGGCACGTGTGCCATATATTTGTCCATGTCTTACAGCCCTCCACCCTTGGACTCAGGCAATTTCCCCCGCCTGGAATGCTCTCCCTTCTTCTCCACCTGTCCACATTCTTTCAAGGTTCAGATTCTTCAAGAAGCTGGGGTATCTCCCAGCACTCAGAAGTATCTTTCTCCCCTGAACTTTTTAAAGGTAGTGACTTTTGAGGCACATGTGGTTTGTTTCTAGTTTTTAGAGATTGTGAATAGAACCGCTATAAACAAACAAAGTAAATAATAAACAAAGCAAAACAAAGAAGGCCATGATGCTTCTGCTCATTGGACTTTGACTGCAAGCCACCCGGTGGTGTTAAGCTTGTTCTGGTGAGGGTCTGTGTCACTGTCCCTAACAAGACAGTGAACTTGTAGGCAGCAAGGCCTGGCCTGCCCCCGCTGTCTCTCACTGATGTAGGCTGGAGCTAGGCACGGAGCAGGCACTCAGAAGGGTTCACTGACTAGAAAACTTGTGTATACACAAGAAGGACCCCAGAGTCTGATCCTGGCCCCTAGAGACTAACAGTTGGGCTGCCCAAGCTCAATCAACAGAGCAGGTAAGGTCCAACGGGCTTAGTCAGGCGTGAGACCTAGAGCCGGTTTCCCTAGAAGTTGGTTTCAAAACTGGGGAGGAGCTGTTGGATGAGAGGAGGTGGGGAAGTTCCAGCTGTGGGGAAAGTGTGAAGGCTCAGAAGTGGGAACCAAAGAATCTGCTCTGGGAAAGTCATTAGAGAGGTGTTCTAACGCTTTCCCTTCTTCCTGCAGGAAGAATGCATGTTGCATTTTGCCAAGTTGCTCTCAGCTTTTTCCTGCCTGTATGCCATCTTTCTGCAAACTACCAGCGCTGGCCGCCTCGCACAGCGATAATCAGCCTGTCAGTCAATAAACTGAAGATGTTGGTGGTGTGCTGGGGTTGGTGGCCAGCAGTGAGAGCCCTGAGAGTTATAAATTCAAGATGAGAATTGAGATGTTGCCAAGGCTTCACAGAGTCCCTGATTTACTAGGAAATTGTTCCCTAGCCTTGACTGCTGGCCCTGTTATGCAAGGGACTTTGTGTGGGCTGGGGGGATGGTTGAAGGAAAGACAAAAAATAAAAGACCAGAAGCCAGTGTTTAGGCACAGTGGATAGGACATTCCCTACCCCACTGCATTTGGTCACCTATGGTCTGCTATTTAACCTGTCTTAACCATGTTCTGATTTGCATGTGCTTGCTTACTTTCTCCAACTATTTTACAGACCCCTTGAAGGCAGACACTGGCTCATATTTCTGGTGTCTTCCTCCCCCACCCCATTCTAGGCCTCTAGCACCACGCTGGGCTCATGGGAAAGCCGATTGATTAACTGGCTGAATGTGGAGGAGGAGGGGTTAATTAATCCTAGAAAGAAGGCCTCCCAGAGAAGTCCTCCATGCCTGCTCCCTGAGGACCATGAACCTCCCCTAGTCACCCTCTGCCAGCCCAGGCCCTCCTGAGCCTGGTTCTGACACTGTGGGCTCTAGACTGGGCCTTCCTCCTTCAGCCTCTGGGGACAGGTTGCTGGCCTGCAGTTCTGAATATTTCAGTTGGCTCCATGCGTAGGGCCTGCTCCAAGGCCAATCTGAATGAATTTGGCCACCTCCCTGTTTTACAAGTCCCGTTCCTAAACTGGAGCCTACAAACATCTCCCTGCCTTCCTGCACAACGTGTGGCTCTGTTCCCTCAGAGAGAAAACAGTCTGAACCGTCCTGAGCCCATTTCCTTTCCAGGTTTTGCTAGTCTCTTCTCTCGTTGAGGAAGGATGTGCTGGGCCCCAGCCCTGGGTGTGCATGGGGCAGCAACCTGGGCAGCAGTTAGAGAACAGCAAAGGAGGGTCTCCACTCTCCTGAAGCTCCCAGCCCACTGCGGGGACCAGAACATAAGGATCATTGCGAAACCCGTCGAGGCCATGTTTGCTTGATAAGCACCACATGTGTGGAGAGAGAGCTCATCCCAGCCCAGCTTTGGCTCTCCTGGGTGGGCTGGGGTCTGGGGGGAACCCACAGAAAAAATGGGAAGAGAATGCTTCCAAGAGCATGGAGAGCCAGCTCAGCTACTCACCAGCTGTGTGACTTTGGGCAAATTACCTAACATCTCAGGAGTTAGGTTCTTTATCCACACACCAAGATTCCCTGATATTCTAGGATTCTGATGGGGCATGGCACAGAGCTGCAGCCTTGTTGCTACAAGGCTTTGAGAACTCACTGAGCTTGAGGCAGAGGTCCAGACCAGCAGGGAGGGGCCTGGGGCCTGTGATCCTAAGCACAGCTTCTCATGACTGCTAGGTGAGAGGGGTCACACCTGAGAGACTATGGGGCCAGAACCGAATCCTTGAGTCTGGAGATCAGGTGCCTCAGGCCTGGGCTTCAACGCACCCCTGTCCCTGCTTCCCTGGGTCCATGGCTGCAGTGAGCAAGAAAAAAAGAACCCTAGATGGGGGGCGGGGCAGAAGCCACATCAGCACCAACCAGGGCAAACAAAGATGAACTGTCTTCTAGGCTTGAGGTTGTTCATTTGCAAACAACAGTATTTGAGTTGCCACTGTTCCCCGCCTGCCAGGCCAACAGAGGCTGTCTGTGCGTCCGCCCTGCCCCCGTCTCGGGCTCCGTCTCTGGCCTCCACCGGGGCCTTCTGCACGTGCGAGTCCCTTGGTTCTCTGCAGCGGCTCTCAGACACAGGATCTGAGGAGAGGCAGCATCTAGACAAGGGATCAGTGCTGGTTAGAAGGGAGTTTAGAAGGGGGACATTCTGGTGGTGGGGATACCCAGCAGCATGGTAAGTGGAGAAGGTGTGTGCCTGTCACACCCCAGATAGCTGAACTCTGACCACAGCTCAGTGTCCCCCTCCCACCCCAAACCTCAAGGCCAAGGCACAGAGGTGGCCTTTGTCAGTACCCATCAGTCCTGGAAATCTAGGGCTCCAAGAACCTCTGAATTGGCCTCTTGAGATCCTGAAGCCTTGACCCCAGGACAGGCTGATGTTTTGATAATGTCAGGGGCAGGCTCTATGCAACGCATTCCTCCATGAGGTCGACAACCCCTTTCTAGCAGTTCCTTCCTCTGGGATAAGCACTGTCTTATAGGACCTCATCATGCAGGCAGCTGCATGAGTCCCAACAACCAAACAAGCCAGGAGAAACTGGCTCAAAAGCTGGGTAGGCGTACAGGGCCTGGAGAAAGGGGAGACACTCCAGGGGTAGGGGCTCAGCAGCTGGGCCAATGAAGACATCCAGTCCCCCGCTGGCTGAAAGTGAGCCCTGGGAGACAGGTCCGGAGCTTTGGAGCAGCAGCTGAGGAGTGGGATTAGGAGAGAGTACATCTAAGAATATCAGTGGAGATAGATGTCACCCCATTCAGCCGCAGGACCACCTCCTGAGAAGAGGGATGCCCTTTCTTTGCTCACATGCCTAGTCCTTGTCTGCTGTCTGTTCAAAAGGATGGGGGAGTCAGAAAAATTCCAAAGATATGTCGGCACAACTCCCCCACTTCCCACCCTAAGGCGTCAGCCTTCCCTGCTGGCTTCTGCACATCCCGGGCCTGGCTGGGAGTCTCCAGCGAGGGCGAGACCTCTGGTAAGAAAGCCGGCTTGACCCGGAATTGTTCCTCAGCAGACTCATCGCTCAGACAGGAGGAGGTGCAGAGGAGCCTGAGCTACGGGTGCCAGAGACATCAAAGACCTGGGGCCCTGGGAGCCTTGAAGTCAGATAGCCAAGGGTACAATCAGGTTCCCCCAGCTGTGTGGCCTCTTAACCTCTCTGAACTTAGTTTTGTCCTGACCTCACAGTTATGAGAATTAAAGCAGGCAGTGTGTGTGAGAGCGCCTGGCACAGAGCAAGTGCTTATTCATTTTTAAAGTCTCCTCCCTGTGACTCGGGCAGGTGGCAGGGCTATATCCCCAACTCCTCAGCACGACCTGGATGGCCCAGAAAGCCATCCAGGAACCCCTAGCCTGGGCTCAGTGCTGAGTCAGCTCTTAGCAGCCTGGTGCTAAAACTTTGGCCCAGGACCAGGTCCTGGGTGGGCAGAGGTCAGAGCCCTGAACACCACCGTGCTGTGTTCGTCATGCTGTGCTGTGGATGTCCCCCTCCCCCACCGCCACACACAAGCATTGCCCCAATGTCTGAGCAAATCAGTTTCAAATCCTCGATCCCACGCATTTCTCCTCTAAACTGGGAATATGGCGGTCTAGAAGAGCAAAATAAATCCTGTGGGTGGGAGAGCAGTGCCTCCAGCTTAGGCGTGGGGGTGGTGGGCAGGGTAGCTGACTGTATTTATAAGAATCCCAAATTTTTATTGCTACATCTGCTGAGCCTGCCTGTGTTCCCTCCACCTGTTGCCCCTGACTCACGGCCCACCCATCTGCCCAAGGCCTCTGAGGAAGTCCCCAGACATCCTAGTCCTGGCCACCCCTCTACCTAATTTCAGATATCCAAATAAGGAGTTTTAAAAGTGCCTCTGAGAGAAACCTCAGGATGTATACAACATCAGGCCATGAGAGCTTTGCAGTTTTGAGGCAGCTTGCTGTAGGGTAAAAAGGGAGTGAGGTGCAAGTCCAGGCAAGGTCAGGTGAGGCGAGGGAACTGGTGTCCCAAGTCCCGGGGACAGTTTATACACATTTGCTTGGTGGGGTCAGACCAGCCTGTGGCATCTGAGCCTCACCACTTAACGTGCTAGGTGACCTTGGTCAGCTAGTTACCCTCTCTGAGCTGAAGGGACAAGTTCCTACTTGTGGGGTTGTGAGGATTGAATGGGATCAGGGTGTAAAGTGGTTGACCCAGGCCCTGGCCCAGAGTCTGCAGTCAGAAGCTAGAATAACACAAATTATCTAAGCTAATGGCAACTCCATCTTTCCACCATCTCAAGCCAAAAACCATGGAATCATCCCTGACTCCTCTCTCTCTCACATCCCACACCAAAACCATCAGCAAAAGCTGTCATCTCTCCCAATGGCCAGGACCCCACCTGCTCTCACCGTCTCCTATTGCTCTGCCCGGGTCCACACCACCATTATCCCTCACCTGGGTTATGGCTGTGGTGTCCTGGCGTGCCTCCCAATGACCCCTCGGTCTTTTCTCAGCATAGCAGCCAGAGGGATCAGGCTCTCCATGGCTCTCTATTTCACCCAAGTTCATGCAATGGCCAGGAAGGCAGCTCGTGATCTGCCGCTTGTGCTAACCGCCCTGACCTCTACTCCCACCACTCTCCCCTGGCTCCTCTGCCCCAGCCTCTCTGCCCTCCTGAATCTTAGCACAGAGACATAGGCTCCCCTTGCCAGGGGCGCACGCCCCTGATACCCTGCAACTCAATCACCCCTTTCCTATGAGGCCTACTTTGACCGCTCCCTGGCCCTAGCCCAGATCCCCCTCATTCCTTTACCTACTTCACAGGTCCTTTTTTTTTTTTTTTTTTTTAGATGGAGTTTTGCTCTTGTTGCCCAGGCTGGAGTGCAGTGGAGCAGTCTTGGCTCACTGCAACCTCTGTCTCCCGGGTTCAAGCCATTCTCCTGCCTCAGCCTCCCAAGTAGCTGGGATTACAGGCACCCACCACCATGCCTGGCTAACTTTTTGTATTTTTAAGTAGAGACAGGGTTTCATCATATTGGCCAGGCTGGTCTTGAACTCCTGGCCTCAGGTGATCCACCCGCCTCGGCCTCCCAAGTGTTGGGATTACAGGTGTGAGCCACCATGCCCGGCCTACTTCACAAGTCGTTTTGCCCACAGCACTTAGCACATTCTAGCCTCCCATGTAATCTGCTGATTTAATCTGTGTTTTGTACCCTGATGTATCCTAGACACTTCGAACTCAAAAAATATTTGTGTGTGAGTGATATAATCTCACAACAATCCTATGAGGTGGTTAAGTCAGCCTACTCATTTTAATGACAGAAACCCCAAGTTTTCCATGCTTAAGCTGTGATTCTCTCCGAGTGTCTGGGGTCAGGGTCAGGGTGACATTGAAAACAATGGCCCCCAGGACTGCCCAGCCCCCTCCCCTTTATGATTCCCCCACCCAGCATGCTGGCCACTTGAAACACTCTGGCACATGCTGAGATGCAAACCTATTCCTTTGGCTCCCCTCTGCACAGCTGAGGCCAACTAGAACTTTCCTGAGTTTTTCCTACTTCCCACTAAGGGAGGAAATCAGGGAAATTAACACAGAGAACATAAGAATCATAAAAACTGTCTGGCTTACAAAGTGAAGGCTTCTTACAAAGCAGAGGGGACTGCTTTGTTTCCAGTACCTTCTGAGGTGGCTGTGTTCCTACCTCAGGACCCTGGCATGACTCTCTAGGTGCCTGGCCTGTGTCTTCCACTTCCCAGGACCCAACTCCCACCTGCTACCTGCCTCCCACATTCCCCATCCTGCCCGTGGAGCTAGAAAGCTCACCCTGCCATTTCCTCATCATGACTAGAGAAGCTCACTTCTCTGGGACAGTTCTCTCTTCTGTAAAATGGGAAGGGTAGTGCTGGTGGGAGGTACAGATGAAATAACAGTGTGACGGGCTTTGGGAACTTTCAAACCTTACGCAAAGCTAAGATAAAGTGGAGGTGTGCAGGTGGGGTCAGGACCTGCCCCGGAGCCAGGAATTCTGACACAGTGGGTATCTGCAAAATATCCCGTTGCCGGGGCAGGACCCCTTGCCTGGTCAGGACCCCTTGCCTGCGAACTTGCAATTTGATCACAGACAAAGGAGATTTGCTTTCAGTTGAACAGTGACACTTTGGTCTCCCACTTACCTCGTTGTAGATGAGGCAGAAATTGGAGGACCTGGAACACAGAGGGAAAATGAGGCCAACAGTGGGGCCATGCTTGGAGGTACCCCCAAATCTGGTACAGGATCCCAGAGGAATTTCTGGGTGCAGTGGTGCACCCCTGTAGTTCCAGCTACTCAGGAGGCTGCAGTGGGAGGATCACTTGAGCCAAGAATTCCAAGTCCAGCATGGGCAACATAGTGAGACCTGTCTCTTAAGAAGAGAAAATCCCCAGGAGGTCATGTCCTGGCAAGAGCCCCTTAAGAGGCAGAAGCCTTATACTTTCTTAAGAATCTTTGCTTGGCATAGTGCAATCCATAAAGCACCTACTATATGTCAAGCACTGCAGATGGTATTGGGGATACAGCAGTGAACAAAATGGACTCCTGCCCTCATGGTGCATACCGTCTGTGGTCAAGACAGACATTTAGCACATACACAAATAATTATTATTTTATTATTATTTGTGTATTTGCTTAACAAATAATTATTTTTAATAACAGAGGCAAGGACTTAGATGGAGAGGTATAGGGTGCCATGAGAATGTATAATAGGGGAACTTGACATTGTGGAGGAAGTTTCAAGAAGTATTCCCAGAGGAGGTGCCATTTGAGCTGAGAACTACTTGCAGGGTACTGTTCAATTATCTCTAGCAAGTAAAAACTAGGTTCCTCACACGGCCCCCACGAGACTAGATACAGAATGTGGCCCAAGGCCCTAGGCCAAGGCAGACCCCGGATAGGGAATAAGACCTGGCAGTGATGGGGCAGGGAGGTCCTGAGGGGTTCAGGCTGAGCTTGGGCTCTGACCCCGCCTGTCCTCCAGCACACCCGTGTGCACACCCGAGCCAGCCTGTGAAGGGAAAGATCCTGGCTGCTCAACCACCCATGGACGCAGTGGGGCAGGGCCCCATGACCTCATTGTAATAGTGTCCTACAGCCTGGCCAGCAGGAGGAGAAAACAAACACTGAAAAGTCCCCCAGTGCTCCCTGATGCCGGTTCAGGAAGACTCAGGCGCTGCAGGCTCCAGCCTTTGGGCTGCAGGCAGCGCGCCCTACTCAGGAGGCCTGAACGGAATTCGAAAGTACTTATTTCTCACTGAAAAATTCCAAGGATTGCTCAACATTCCATTAACCCCAGGAGCTGGGGTTTGGCCGGAGACGCTGAGAGACGGCAGGAATGGGAGCCTGTGGGCCTGCCGCATGGCTCAGCACTGTCAGGGAATAGCTCCTCTGCCCTGCTCCCTGGGGGCACAAGGTGGGGGCAGGGGTTGCAGGGGGCTGTCAAGACCCTCCCTCCCCCAACGCAGGGGCTCTGAGTGTGGGGTGATTTTGGTGGAGCTGGAAGGAAGCTGGGGGAAATCTCCTGGCTTCTGTAGATGAGAGATGCTGTTCCTGCCCCTTGAAGAGAGCTGCCATATTCCCAAGAGGGCTGGGGACTGGGGCCCCAGATTCTCTGGCTCTGGTATGAAGGCCTGTTTTCCCAGCTCTCAGGAGCCACAGCGGGAGTTGCTCACTGAGAAGACTTTCTGTGGTTACCAGGGAGATCAGCTCCCTCTTCCCAGCTTTCTGCTTGAGGAGCCTGGCTCAAATGCCTCCTCCTCCAGGCAGCCTGGTCCATACCTGGACTGAAATCCTTCTCCTAACACATTATGTTTTATAGTATGGTTATTGCTATACATGTCTGCTCTCCCACACTAAGGAGAAAAGGGGAAGGCAGTCACCTTTTTGGTTCATGTGTGTATAATTCTGCAGGGTCCAGTTGGCACAGAGATGTGTGTACCAAGGTGTTTACCGAAGCATTGCTTACAGCAAGGGGAAATGGTAAGTTATCTAAATGTTCAAGAATAGGAGTTTGATTAAATCATCTAGAGTGTACCCATATGTCAGAATGCTAAGCGGCCATCAGCAATTCCATTCTCAGCAATATTTACAGGTATGGGAGAATATTAAAATCAACAAACTTCCATCACACAGAAGGAACATTTTAGTGTTTCCTTTACTTATTATTTTTTATGTAGATAGACAAATACAGTAAAACCCAACCAAAACATGATCTGTGTGGGGATAAAAATTGACAAGTGCAGGGTTGTATGATGGTGAAAGCAATAGAAAACAGCATTTGAAGCAAGGGGGAGTCTCTATTGTCCCGAAAAGCACAAGATAAAGATGTTGAAAATTATACTACACTCAGGACTCCGTAGGCTGAACTAAGAAAAGCCCCAAGTGACCGTGAGGCTGTCACTGTCTAATCCTACCCACCTGATCCACAGAAAGGAAGAGCAATTGGCTGGCTAGAGAACAATGACAGGAGAACAGAAGCCTATTGATTATTCCATTTCTGAATAATCATCGAATTGGACATAAATTTTTATTAGACCTGTACTGTATATATGTTTCATATCCTTTCATAGTTAACATTGTATCTTAAGCCACACCTCATTCTATTAAATACTATTTTAAAACATTACGTTATCGTAAACATCCTGTTTTTTTTTTAAGTCTTTGTTCTTATCTTCGATTTCCCCTTCCCCTTATTCATAGGGTACCATTGCTGAGTCAAAAGATATAAATATTTTTAAGATCACCGAAACTTATTTTCAAATTTCCCTGCAGAAAAGCGTTTCCAGTTTCCACTCAGCAGCAAATGAGAGTGTTGCCTGCAGCCCTTCCAGTAGGTAGGTCTATCATTGTTAAAGTCTCAGTGGATGGATTTGAGAGAGATTTTTAAAAGATAGAATTGATGGAATTTGGTGGCTGCTTGTGGGTATGAGAGGTGAAATCAAGAGAAGGAAGAGTTCATGATATTGAGATCCTTGGCTTGGATGTGTAGGACGATAGGGAAGCCTGTAGCTGAGAAAGGCAAAAGAGAAAGAGAATTGGGATCAGGCGAATAGAAATTTTGTTTAGGAGTACTGCACATTTAAAACAAGCAAACAAAAACCATGCAACACTCAGTAGATAAATAAGAAAAAACATTTTCCAAAAGGAAACATGTAAATAATTAAATAATTACAAAATATCAGTCTCACATTTCATTAACTAAGATTCATTTGGCTGAAAAGAATAGAATTTTAATTTTTACAAGTTAAGTTAAAGGAGGGAATTTAGAGGAGATAGCTAGGAAGAGATCCTTACACACTGGCAAGAGTCACTCTATCTCTATCTCTCTTCTTTGTTTGACTGCTCAGAGGAGGTGGGTGCTCTTCTGGGCACGCAAAACAATGAATATCCCCTAGATTCCCCGTATACGTACTTTTCTTCCCATACACATAATGCCTCCAAATGTCCTCTCTTAACGTAATGCAACCATCCCATCTCAGTGTAATGTAACTCAAGTCTTATCCAGCGACTGCATCCAGTTCCAAGTTCAGAATCTACTAAATTAGAAATCTCTTTTTTCCTCTGATAGCTGTTAAGATTTTCTTGTTCTTCTTGATGTTCTGCAGATTTAGAAAAGCCTGTATAGATGTGAATTTACTACCTATTCTACTAAGAACTCAGTGGGCACCTTTTTGTTGTTGTTCTGTTTTGTTTGTTTTTGAGACAGAGTCTCACTCTGTTGCCCAGGCTGGAGTGCAGTGGCACAATCTCCACTCACTGCAAACTCCACCTTCTGGATTCAAACGATTCTCCTACCTCAGCCTACCAAGTAGCTGGGATTACAGGCGCATGCCACCATGCCTGGCTAATTTTTGTATTTTTAGTAGAGATGAAGTTTCACCATGTTGGCCAGGCTGGTCTCAAACTCCTGTCAGGTGATCCGTCCACCTTGGCCTCCCAAATTCCTGGGATTACAGGCGCCTGGCCTCTCTTCTTTTATCTTTTGAGGATTCTAAACCAGCTTAGTTTACAACCATTTTCATCTTGCTCTACTACTTTCTTTCCATCTGGAGGGAGTTTGTTCCCTGCTGACTGCTTTTGTTGGCAGTCTTTCTTCATATTAGTTTTCCTGTTTCTTACCCATGGCAATGTTTAGCTTCTTTTGAAATGTGGCAGCATTGTTTTATTTTCCCCTTTTTCACTGGGGAGGCAGCTTAGAGTGACAGTGAAGAGCTCAGGTTCAGGGGTCATGCTGCCAGGGCTCACATCTCCATGATTTGATAGCTGCACAGCCTTGGGCAGCCTTCTTCAGTTCTCTGAGCTTCCATTTCCTCATCTGTTCACTGGGGGATAATAATAGCACTTACCTAATGGGGTTTTTGGGAGAGTTGAATGAACTAACGCATGTAAAGCACATAGACTATGCCTAGGACATAGTCAGTGTTTAATAAATTTTGGGATTATTTCTACGTATTTGGAGAAAATAAATGAGTTTGGTGTGTATGAAAGTGGCGCTCAAAGCGTTAACTTAGAGGGTCATTTGATGGTGAGTCCAAGTTTAGGATTCTTGGGTGTGTCCTCAAGTCTTCTTGTGGCTCCTCATGATCTTGCCCTCATTGGTGATGTGATTATTACAACCACCAACCACCTCCAACACACTTCATGCACAATGCTGGTGGGAAACAAGGTAACCATTGTAAATGCTACCATTTAAATTGGGTAACAAGGAAGCAACATTCAATGGACACTGGTCCAACATTTAAATCACATCCAGCTGGATAGGGACAGGGAGGTCAGGGCTGTGGCTGAATAATATCACTGTATCCTTGGCAAGGAGTGAGTTCTCTAGTTGGCCAGTCTGTCTCTCCAGGTTTTGCCAGTTGGGAACATTCCCTTTGCCCATATCCACAAGACCCCTAGTGAGCATGGGAGTACAAAGGATCCCCACACTTGAGGCTGTGGTGCCTCACAAATCACTTCCTGTTGGCCTACATACCTGCAGATTACCTCATAGCAGAGTTTCCCCCAACTTGTTGGGTGATAGAAATCTCCTAGGAAATTTGGTGAAAATACAGATCTCCAATCACATCTCAAATTCATGCAGTCTCCAGGGGAGGTGCTTTGAAATCTATGTTCTTAACAATCATCCCAGGGGATTCTTATTGTCAGGAAAGTTTAGAAAATAAACACCTTAGTGATTGTGCAATCACACACTTCCATTTGGCAAACTTGTGCTTTTTTAGCACGTAAACCCTTAAACCTTGCATCATCTTACTGTGAGTTCCACTCTGGGGGTCTCTATGACTAATAACCAACTCCAGCAATGTTGAAGGTATGGGAGGTGTGCTGGCCCTTGCCCATGTGGCTCCAGCCTCTTACCGGCAGCTCTGGAGCCTCTGCCCATCCCCCAGGGCTCAGCAGGAAACTGGGGAGGGAAGGCAGGGCTACTCTGTCCTGCTACGTTACTTCTGCCATGGGGACTTTCACATGGCACTGTGGTGGGGTAGGGAGAGGTTGGTGATTCCTTGTCAGGCAAGGAGGGCACAACACAACATGCTTGGCTGGTTATGGTTCTTTCCAGGTATTGCCATTTCAGTTTTCAGGATTCTACAGCTTCTTAATCAGTGCAGAACCTTTAGTGTGGGAAGAAAATTGGTTTTTTTGCTGTTGGACAAAGGCTATGATGATGAACAAAGGGCATGACTTGGCCATTTGGGACTTCTGGAGACTAACAGAAAGACCTCTCTTAAAGTTGCACCTCTCTGCCCAGGGGTGCCTTGATTGCTTGCTTCTTCTGGGTCTTCTCTTTCTCTCCCTCACAGCACCTTACCAAAGGCTGCAGGAAATCACTAACACATTCTATTATTCTGGTATTTTCATACCAGGTCTCCTAAAGCATAAGCCTGCATAGCACATGGTCTGAGTCCCAAGAAACACTGGAAAGTGGTCTAACCCCTTGATACAATTAGGGAATGCGATTTTTCCCAGCCTAGGATCTGGGGATGCTCTCAGCTACCCGCTTTCACTAACCAACCTTAATTCAGCCATTTGGAGCTTGTCAATTTCCACATCCTAGTTCAAGTTCCATTTTCTGCACTAAGACTCATTAAGTAGTAAGTGACAGAAACACAGCTCAAACTAATTTTGGCCAAAGAAACATTTGTTGGAAGGATCATGTGGCTGGGAGAAGAGCAGAGTGCAACTGGCTCCAGTGACCAAAGGTGATCACAGAGACTCTCTCCACTCCTCATCCTTGTTCTCTCTGCACATCAGTGTCATTCTCTCACAGAGGGTTGGTGCAGATGGCAGGAGAATGCCTCTGGCGGCTGCTGTGACTCACCAACAGAGAAGGATGAGGCTTGTTTTCTCTAATCATAACATTTTAAATCACTAAGACAGACTCTGAATGGCTTAGTTTGGCTCAGTTATTCAGCTCTATTTTGGACCACATGTTTAAAAGGAGGTGAAGGAGCATTTCCCAGAAGAAGGGTATTTTCTAAACAATAAAATGTGACAGAACAGAACAGTAGAATTGTTCTACCCAAAAATTTTAAAAATGCATATTAAAATGACAAATACCATTGGGATGAAATGGCCGGATGCAGTGGCTCATGCCTGTAATCCCAGCACTTTGGGAGGCCGAGGCAGGCAGATCACTTGAGGTCAGGAGTTTGAGACCAGCCTGGCCAACATGGTGAAACCCCATTTCTGCTAAAATACAAAAAAAATTAGCTGGGTGTGGTGGTGTGTGCCTGTAATCCCAGCTACTTGGGAGGAGGCTGAAACAGGAGAATCACTTGAACCTGGGAGGTGGAGGTTGCAGTGAGCCGAGAGTGCACCACTGCACTCTAGCCTGGGCAACAAAGCAAGACTCCATCTCAAAAAAAAAAAAAAAAAAAAACATTGGGATGAAATGGAAATACCTAAAGCTGGTGTATTATTTTCTATTGCTGCAGTAACAAATTACTACAAATTTGGTGACTTAAAACAACACAAATTTATTCTTTTACAGTTCTGTAGTCAAAAGTCCAACAGGGGTCTCACAGGACTAAGATCAAGGGGTTGGCAGGGCTGTGTTCCATTCTGGAGGCTATAAGGGAGAATCCGTTTCCTTGCCTTTTCCAGCTTCTAGAAGCCCCCCACTTTCCTTTGCTTGTGGCCCCTTTCTCCGTCTTCAAAACCAGCAACATAAGGCCGAGTCCTTCTCACATGGGTGTCTCTCTGGTCCTCTTCGGACACCTTCTTCCACTTTTAAGGACCATTGTGATCACATTGGGCCCATAAAGATCATCCAGGATACTCTCCCATCTCAAGGCCAGTAGATTAGCAATCTAAATACCCCTTTTCCATGAAAGACAATCCATTCATAGGTTCTGGAGATTAGGACATAGACATCTTTGGGGAGAAGAACAATTAATTCAACCATAACTGTAAGAGTACAGTGAGTACATCCTCTCAAATTCTTTTGGTAAAGTTGTAAAATTTCATAAAATTTCTGGAAAGCAAATTAGCTGTTTGGTAAAATAGGCCTTAAAATGTTCATATGTACTTAGCCAACAATTCTAATAATCTGTCCTAAAAAAATGCTAAATGCATGGGGGAGGGTGAGTTATGCACCAAAGTGTTCATCACCACTTTACTTATATCACAAAAAATTTGAAACAACCTTAATGTCCAGTGGCAGTAAGGCTAAATTAACCATATTATATTCATATAAGGAAATATTATGTTGACAGTTTAAAAAGTATGTTTATGAGAAGCTTTTGATGAAATGAAAATGTGTATATGCCCTAATGTTAAGTAAAAAGAGGAGTATATCTATACCTACCAATTTGTTGTGAACCTAAAGCAACTCTAAAAAATAAAATGTAATAGTTTCTTTTAAGAAATGAATACAAAATAATCATAGCTACAGTATGACCTCAACTCTACTGAAAAATAGATTTGGCCATGCGTAGTGGCTCACCCCTGTAATCCCAGCACTTTGGGAGGCTGAGGCGGGTGGATCACCTGAGGTCAGGAGTTTGAGACCAGTCTGACCAACATGGTGAAACCCTGTCTCTACTAAAAATAAAAATTAGCCTGGTGTGGTGGTGTGCGCCTGTAGTCCCAGCTACTCAGGAGCCTGAGGCAGGATAATCGCTTGAACCTGGGAGGCAGAGGTTGCAGTGAGCCAGGATCGTGCCACTGCCTTCCAGCCTAGGTGACAGAGAGAGACTCTGTCTCAAAAAAAAAAAAAAAAAAAAAAAAAAGATTTACAAAAATATCTGGAAAGGAAAATGTGGTGGGATTTTTGTAGATAATTTTTTTCTCTATATGTACTTCTTAATTTCATTTTTTGATATACGATCTCACTCTGTCACCCAGGCTGGAATGCAGTGGCCCAATCGTAGCTCACTGCAGCCTTGAGCTCCTGGGCTCAAGCAATCCTCCTGCTTCAGCCTCCTAAGTAGCTAGGACTACAGGTATGTGCCACTTACCCCTGACTAATTAAAACAATTTTTTTTGTAGAGACAGGGTCTCACTATGTTGCCCAGGCTGACTCTTTATTTATTTCTAAATTGGCCCTTAGGTACACAGAATAGTGTTCATTATCATCCTTGTTTCGTTACACACCACTATCATTAGTCCAGGCATGGCTACTTCCATTTATTGATTTGGTTAGTAGTTGGCTAGTTATTTTGATAATGCAATGAGTACCCACAAAGCTAACACTCTGAACAAAAGCATCACTAACCTTACCATCACTCCTATTCCACATCCCTCACATACACAACCCCTCCACACTGTTTCTATTTGAGACAAACATGATCTCAAATCCCATGTTTATCTTTTCTTCGTAAATAGTTTTATTGCATTTACTGTGGAACTGCCAGTCCCTTACAAAGTCTTCTCCTTTCATTTTTTTCCTGACAGTTCTATGAGAAGGAAAGGGACAGGAAAGGGTTTTCATTATTAGATAAAATAAATTCTGGCTAGGCACGGTGGCTCACGCCTGTAATCCCAGCACTTTGGGAGGCCAAGGCGGGCGGATCACGAGGTCAGGAGATTGAGACCATCCTGGCCAACATGGTGAAACCCCGTCTCTACTAAAAATACAAAAAATTAGCTAGGCGTGGTGGCGGGCGTCTGTAGTCCCAGCTACTCAGGAGTCTGAGGCAGGGGAATCACTTGAACCTGGGAAGCAGAGGTTGCAGTGAGCTGAGATTGCGCCACTGTACTCCAGCCTGGTGACAGAGCAAGACTCTGTCTCAAAGATAAATACATACATACATACATACATAAATTCTACACTCAAGCAGCAAGTGTTGACATAATGGTAACCAACAAAATGCCATCTTAACTATTTATTCCTCAAACCATCTAGCTCATTCCAATAATACCCATACTTGGTTCAGAAGTTGCAGTTCAGCCCCTGAATGTGTGTGGTCAAATTCCACACTCCTGGTAAAGGGAAGTTTTGAGGTGCCTGAGTTTCATGTGAGACCCAGGCCTTCCTTAAGGGGAGAGCCACTTTTCCTAGTCACATTCTCTGGTCTGTCTCAAGATGGGGCCAGGCTACTTCTGCCTCATGGAACACAGTTAACCCACCTGGAGTCCAGATAGATAAGTCAAGGCCTCTGGCCCAAGCTTCTTCAAGGTCCTATTAATTCCAGGACCCTCAAGTAGACTTTTGTGTTGGGATTTTATTTTTCTCTCTTATGCACCCGGTAAATACTTCCCCAGGAGATCTCTTACAAGCATCAGCTGGAGACCTTAACCAAGGACCCCTATCAGGATCACCTAAGAAGCTTTTAAGAACTACAGATGCCTAGGATCAACCCCACTCCAAGAGATTCTGTAAGTCTTGTGTCAGGAGTTAAGGCCTCCATTTCCTTGGAGACCTTACATACATACTCCATTAAGAACCACAGCCAAGGTGTGAACCTGCCTTGGTCTTCTTTAAGTTCTTCCAGTCACCTGGCTTTTAGGCCTATGTTTTAGGAGTCAAGTGTCCATCCTGTGTTTTCTCATGCCTCCCAGTAGATTGACATTCACCTTCTGACTGTTAGGAAAATGGCCAACAGTCCTTGAGAGTTGCTGGCATTGGCTGTTTTTTATTTCTTGGCCATCATGGTCTTCTGTGGCTGATTGATTGATTGATTGATTGAGACAGGGTCTCACTCTGTTGTTCAGGCTGGAGTGCGGTGGTGTAATCTCAGCTCACTGTAACCTCCATCTCCTGGGCTCAAGCAATCCTCCCACCTCAGCCCCCTGAGTAGCTGGGACTACAGGGGTACACCACTATGCCTGGCTAACTTTTGTATTTTTATGTTCCTTTTTTAAAGAGACAGGGTTTCACCATGTTGCCCAGGCTGGTCTTGAACTCCTGAGCTCAACTGATCCGCCTGCCTTGGCCTCCCAAAGTGTTGGATTACAGGCGTGAGCCACTGTGCCTGGCCCACAGCCATTTAAAATCTCTTTCTCTTTCTCTCTCTCTTTTTATTTCTCTGTTTTTCTCCATCCTTTCCCATCTCTCATTTTAGATTATCCTGTGGGTCAGGATCAGCTTTGTTCTTTTCCTGTTTTTCCCCATGCAATATGCACCTGCAGATTTCTTTTTTTTTTTTTTCTTTTTTTTTTTTTTTTGAGACAGAGTCTCACTCTGTTGCCAAGCTGGAGTGCAGTGGCGCAATCTTGGCTCACTACAACCTCTGTCTCCCGGGTTCAAGAGATTCTCCTGCCTCAGCCTCCCAAGTAGCCAGGACTACAGATGTACACCACCAGGGCCAGCTAATTTTTTTTAGTAGAGACGGGCTCTCACCATGTTGGCCAGGATGGTCTCGATCTCCTGACCTCATGATCCCGCCTCAGCCTCCCAAAGTGCTGGGATTACAGGAGTGAGCCACCATGCCTGGCCACACCTGCAGATTTCTATCCTCCATTTTTGAGACCCCAGAGGCAAAAAGATTTCTCTCTTCAGAACTGGCTTGAAAAATCCTTCAGAAAGACCATGTTTGAGGGGGTGATTAGAATAATGGCTAAGAGCATGGACTCCAGAGCCAGAGTTCAAATCCTGGCTGTGTGAACATAATGAAGTTATGTAACCCCTTTGTGTCTGTTTCCCCCTAAAATGAGGATGATAATTGTATTACTTCATTGGGTTCTTGGGAGAATTCAATGAGCTAATGATGTGCTCAAAACAGTGCCTGGTACATGGTAAGCTCGTATATAACCGTGGCCATCACTCATCCTGCAGACAACACAAGAATGTTTAATTTGCTTTATGAGCTCAACTATCCAAAAGTAGAAGAAATAAGAAGAACTCCTTTGTTGGATCTAATGTTAAAAACATATGTCAATATTGGTTTATGATGCACAAGTGACTAGAGCTTGGGAGAAAGTAATGGCTTTGTGGAGCTCTTTATGGTGCAGAAGGGACCTGTTCATCTCACTCAAGGAGAGCAGATTTCAACAAGTTGGGAAATTTGCATGAGTCAAAAATATTGAAGGAGAATATGGCTAAAGAGGGACAGAAATTTCTAAGAAGTAATATGTTCATTATGTAGTCACAAATGAACCAAGGAAACATGCTGGGCCCCACCTTCTTCCTTGTTTCCTTTTTCATCCCCCTTTAAATTCTGTCCAGTTTAAATCCTAAGTTTGTCTTGCTGCTTCTTCCCATTCCCGCATCATCCACTCTCCTTCAGACTACCTTTATTTTTCACCTGGGCTCCCAACTGGTCTCCCCATATCAACTCTGGCACCTTTTAGAGTTCAAGGCATTCTCCACCCTCCACACTATACCCACAGTGATTATTTTGAAATATAAATCTGATTGCAATCCCATCATCCCTATCCTACCTCCCACCCTTAGAACCACTCACTGGCTTTCTAGCACCTCCAGGATAAAGAAAAACAGTTTTAACAGCCTACCAGACCCTGCTGAGTCTGGGCATCACCTGTTTCTCTAGCTTCATCAAGCTCCATCTTACTCTCTTTACTCTACCCATAATGGCCTTCCTTTAGTCCCAATCACCAAATTTTCCTGTGCCACAGGGCTTTTGCATGTGCAAGTCTCTTCCTGGAAAGCTCCTTCTCTTCCCCCTGTCTGTACCCCAACCCTTTTTAAAATCAATAGGCTATTTTTTTTTTTACAGTAGTTTCAGGTTTATAGCAAAATTGAGTGGAAAGCACAAAGAGTTCCCATATACCCTGTCCCACCCCCACCCCCATCCCCATACACACACAGCCTCCTCCACCCTCAATATCCCGAAATAGTGTGGGACATTTGCTACAACTGATGAACCAACGTAGATGCATCATTATCACCCAAAGGCCATAGCTTACATTATGATTCATTCTTTGTGTTGTACATTCAATGGGTTTACACAAATGTATAATGATAGATACCCACCCTTACTGTTTCACTACCCTAAAAATCCCTTGATCTTTAATTTCCTAGTGACTATGATGTTGGGCACCTGCTCATATGCTTACTTGCCATCTATCTACTTTGGTGAGGTGCCTGTTCAGATCTTTTGCTCATTTCTAAATTGAGTTGTTTCCTTCCTTTTTGACCTCAGTCAATCCTTCCCACTCATCTTTTAGATCTCAGTGATCCCTTTCTTGCATCTTTAACTAGATTTAAGAAAGAAAAAAGGCTCCTTATAAACTCTTCGCTATGTGCCTCTTCACAGTTATTGAGCTGTAATTTTATATTTATTTATGTAATTATTTGAACAGTGCCCCTTTCTTTGAGTTTGTAAGAGCAAGCACCATATCTGCTTTTGTTCCCTGGTATATCAGTAGTTCCTAGTGCTGTACCCAACATGTAGTAGGGGCTCCACAAACAGACCAAGGAATAATTAATAACCTCATTGAGAAGGAAGGCGAACTGGGCCCAGAGCAGTCATCTAAAGAACCACCTCAAATACACGGTGAGTTCAGAATTTCAAAGAGCAGGTATAGCAGTGGGAAGGGGCAGAGGGCCGAAAACAAATGCCCAAAGCAGCACCAGCCCACAAGACTGGGGTCAGGAATACTAACACGTAAAATGAGCTGAGGCTTAAACAAATGACAGAAACCAGAAACCCTGTTTTAGAAAAGTATCTGAAGCAAGAAAAACAATGGGGAAGATCCAGGCCCCACACTTAGTGGAGGGGACAAATTTTTTCATGCATAATGTTTTTCTCCCTCAAGAAGAGTAATTCTCAAACCGGAAAGTGTAAAGGCAAATTCCAGAAGAACGTGGAGCGCAGCCATGAGGAGGTGGTGGAAGCATCTGGCCACATTCGAGTTCTGGTTTTAGAGGAATCTCCTCGGAACTCGGGGATGTGATTGCAGAACTACTGTCCGTGATTTCTGAGAAATTTGGGAAAGGAGCCAACAGCCAGGGAAGTGTGAAATGTTTGTCAGTTTTCAAAACGGAGGAATGTCTAAATGGGGTAAATTTAACGACCTCTGACTTCCAAACAACATTAATTCATGGTACAAGTGTGAACTAGATTTGTAATGGAGTGCCTAGAAAGTGGAATTTTACATCTTTCTGCCTCAATGAACTGCCACTTAAAAGTTGCCAGCTAGCAAGAGGAGGCAGCCAATCTTCTTAGAGGAAGTCTTTGTTCTTAGAACAATCGTGTGAATGGTCTCCTTCAGTTACGTAAATGTGGGCAGCTAGGCACCCATCATCCTGAGAAGAGGATATAACTGGACATTTTTTCCCTACTGTGTGGCTTGACAAAGGCTGTTCTCTATATTTCTTGGTATGAAGAGCTGGTTGCTGAAGCATTTGGACAAATGTATACAGGAGCACAAGGAGCCTTCTGGGAGAAGACGGATCTGAACCACTCCCTTCTTATTTGAGGCAAAAGGTAACTCTGATGGGCTGAAATGATCGTACCTGAATCCATGGATGGGTTCCACCTGAAATGACCAAGAACCACCGCTCACACCCACTGCACCCACCCAAGTGGAAGAGGAGGTGTGAAACGATGGCTTGATTGTCCTCTGGCATGGTGCATGGCTGAGGCTGACACACCCAGAAAGCCCAGCTGCTTCACCAGAGGGGTGTCTGTGTGTAGCAGCCCACATGTGGTACACTCTTGTCTAAGCATGACACTGCAGGAGGACTCAATGCAGCTCGCGTCAGGAGCTGGACTATTTGTGTGATAGGACTTTGGCAGGACTGGTTTACAAGATACTGGTCACAGAGACCCCTGCTGATAAAATAGGATGTGGTAAAGAAGCCAGCCAAAACCAAGATGGCAACAAAAGTGACCTCTGATGGTCCTCACTGCTCATTATACACTAATTATAATACATTAGCATGCCACAAGACACTCCCATCAGCACCACAACAGTTTACAAATACCATGGCAACCACTGCACTACCGTATATGGTCTAAAAAGAGGAGGAACCTTTGGTTCCGGGAAATCTCCACCCCTTTCCTAGAAAACTCATAAATAATCCACCCCATATTTAGCATGTAATCAAGAAATAACCATAAGTATAGCCAGCCAGCAGCCCATGAGGGCTGCTCTGCCTGTGGAGTAGCCCCCCTTTTATTCTTTTACTTTCTTAATAAACTTGCTTTCACTTTGCTTGCTTGCTCTTGAATTCCCTCTTGTGCAAAGCCAAGAACTCACATGGCCTCCCAGGCTGAACCTTAATTTTGGGGTTCACCCTGTGACATTAGCAGCAGTGCATCAGGAGCTGGGGTGGGAGTGGGGGAATTCTAGTTTCAACAGTGATAGAGATGGCAGCATCAGAGAGAGCCTGGGTTCCTTCAGCCAAACACTGCATAAACTACAACAATGCACAGGCAGCAGGGAGAGAGAGGGTTTTGCTCATGAGGAAAGAAAAGAACTTATAGTTGAGGAATGTGAGTCCTTTTAAATCATCAGTCCCAGAGAGATATTAAAATGAGAAAGCAATCACATTCTACTTCCCCCTTGAGCTATGTATTCATCTCTTAAAACTGCTTGCTATTGCCACAAATAGCACTTGGACACTATATTGCTTAATAATGTATAGCAAATCACTCTTCAATGTTACTTTTGTGTATGTGTGTTTTTTTGTTTTTGTTTCTGTTTTTGTTTTTTTGAGACAGAGTTTCCCTCTTGTTGCCCAGGCTGGAGTGCAATGGCACGATCTCAGCTCACTGCAACCTCCGCCTCCCGGGTTCAAGCAATTCTCCTGCCTCAGCCTCCCAAGTAGCTGGGATTACAGGCGCC
This sequence comes from Homo sapiens, assembly GCF_000001405.40. Classification (NCBI taxonomy): domain Eukaryota; kingdom Metazoa; phylum Chordata; class Mammalia; order Primates; family Hominidae; genus Homo; species Homo sapiens. Next base: position 109,863,546 of record NC_000001.11, on the reverse strand, counting down.
CACCACCACATCTGGCTGATTTTTGTATTTTTAGTAGAGATGGGGTTTTCACCATGTTGGCCGGGCTTGTCTCCTGACCTCAGGTGATCCACCCACTTGAGCCTCCCAAAGTGCTGGAATTACAGACGTGAGCCACCATGCTGGCCCAATGTTACTTTCGTAAACCAATGAGAAATCCTGACAAACAACTTTGTATCAGCCTACTCCCTGTCCCCACTTTCTGCCTTTAAAAATCCACTTGTGGCCAGGCGCGGTGTCTCATGCCTGTAATCCCAGCACTTCGGGAAGCTGAGGCAGGCGAATCACGAGATCAGAAGTTCAAGACCAGCCTGACCAATGTGGTAAAACGCCCTCTGTACTAAAAATACAAAAGAAATTAGCTGGGCATAGTGGCGGGCGCCTGTAATCCCAGCTACTCAGGAGGCTGAGTCAGGAGAATGACTTGAACCCAGGAGGCAGAGGTTGCAGTGAGCCGAGATCACACCACTGCACTCCAGCCAGGTGACAGAATGAGATTCGGTCTCAAAAAAAAAGTCTACTTGTAACTGCTGCTGATCAGAGTGTGTGTTCAGGACAACTTGAATCTATGCTGCCTGGTTGCAATTCTCAAGCTTGGCCCAAATAAACTCCTTACATTAATTTTGCCTCAGCTTCTTCCTTTTAGGTTGACACTTACTTGGTGTACTGGGCTGAATAGCAACCCCCACCACCCCAAATTCATATCTACCTGGAACCTGAGAACATGACCTTATTTGGAAGTAGGGTCTTTGTAGATGTAATCAGTTAAGATGAGGGTCTGTTTGTTTTGGGTGGGCCCTAAATGTGATGTGACTGGTATCCATATAAGAAGAGGAGAGGACACAGAGATTCATATGGGAAGTCCAGGTGACCTTGGAGATAGAGATTGGAGTGATGCACCTGCAAGTCAAGGAATGCCAAGGTTTACCAGCCAGAAGGAGCCAACCCTGCCAGCACCTTGATTTCAGACTTACGGCCCCCTGAACTGCAAGACATTAAATTTCTGTTGTTTTCAGCCACCGATTTGTGGTACTTCGTTACAGCAGCCTGGTAACAAATTGATTTGGGCATGTGGGGATTCAGGAGATTAATCTGGAAAATAAGAAATAATGAGAATCTTATTTGAATCCCAGACTGGTAAGGCAAGTTACACTAATTACAGATTATTAAACAGATGTCTTATCTGCTCTGATAAACCAACAAAATGCTGAAATGACATCTTATAATATTTTTGCGGATAAGCTAGGAAAAATGTGGGTTCGATGATGGTACAAGTTGAGGGTTTTCAGCTAGTTTAACACCCGATTGGATTGACCAAATGATGCTGGCCCACAGGAAAATTGCATGACTCTGTCCTTTACAGTAACTTGGATAATACTTTGAATATGTTCTTTTTTTTTAATACTTTAAGTTCTAGGGTACATGTGCACAATGTGCAGGTTTGTTACATAGGTATACATGTGCCATGTTGGTTTGCTGCACCCATTAACTCATCATTTACATTAGGTATTTCTCCTAATGCTACCCCTCCACCTGCACCCCACCCCATGACAGGTCCCCATGTGTGATGTTCCCCGCCCTGTGTCCAAGTGTTCTCATTGTTCAATGCCCACCTATGAGTGAGAACATGTGGTGTTTGGTCTTCTGTTCTTGAGATAGTTTGCCCAGAATGATGGTTTCCAGCTTCATCCATGTCCCTGCAAAGACATGAACTCATCCTTTTTTATGGCTGCATAGTATTTCATGGTGTATATGTGCCACATTTTCTTAATCCAGCCTATCATTGATGGATATTTGGGTTGGTTCCAAGTTTTTGCTATTGTGAACAGTGCTGCAATAAACACACGTGTGTATTTGTCTTTATAGTAGAATGATTTATAATCCTTTGGGTATATATCCAGTAATGGGATTGCTGGGTTGAATGGTATTTCTAGTTCTAAATCCTGGAGGAATCACCACACTGTCTTCCACAATGGTTCAACTAGTTTACACTCCCCAACAGTGTAAAAGTGTCTCTATTTCTCCAGATCCTCTCCAGCATCTGTTGTTTCCTGACTTTTTAATGATTGCCATTCTAACTGGTGTGAGATGGTATCTCATTGTGGTTTTGATTTGCATTTCTCTGATGAGCATTTTTTCATGTGTCTGTTGGCTGCATAAATGTCTTCTTTTGAGAAGTGTCTGTTCATATCCTTTGCCCACTTTTTGATGGGGTTGTTTTTTCCTTGTAAGTTTGTTTAAGTTCTTTGTAGATTCTGGATATTAACCCTTTATCGGATGGGTAGATCGCAAAAATTTTCTCCCATTCTGTAGGTTGCCTGTTCACTCTGATGGTAGTTTCTTTTGCTGTGCAGAAGCTCTTTAGTTTAATTAGATCCCATTTGTCAATTTTGGCTTTTGTTGCCATTGCTTTTGGTGTTTTAGTCATGAAGTCCTTGTCCATGCCTATGTCCTGAATGGTATTGCCTAGGTTTTCTTCTAGGGTTTTTATGGTTTTAGGTCTTATGTTTAAATCTTTAATTCATCTTGAATTAATTTTTGTATAAGGTGTAAGGAAGGGATCCAGTTTCAGCTTTCTACATATCACTAGCCAGTTTTCCCAGCACCATTTATTAAATAGGGAATCCTTTCCCCATTTCTTGTTTTTGTCAGTTTTGTCAAATATCTGATGGTTGCAAATGTGTGGTGTTATTTCTGAGGCCTCTGTTGTGTTCCATTGGTCTATCTCTCTGTTTTGGTACCAGTACCATGCTGTTTTCGTTACTATAGCCTTGTAGTATATTTTGAAGTCAGGTAGTGTGATGCCTCCAGCTTTGTTCATTTTGCTTAGGATTGTCTTGGCAATGCGGGCTCTCTTTTGATTCCACATGAACTTTAAAGTAGTTTTTTCCAATTCTGTGAAGAAAGTCATTGGTTTCTTGATGGGGATGGCATTGAATCTATAAATTACCTTGGGCAGTATGGACATTTTCACGATATTGACTCTTCCTATCCATGAGCATGGAATGTTCTTCCATTTGTTTGTGTCCTCTTTTATTTCATTTAGCAGTGGTTTGTAGTTCTCCTTGAAGAGGTCCTTCACATCCTTTGTAAGTTGGATTCCTGGATATTTTATTCTCTTTGTAGTAATTGTGAATGGGAGTTCACTCATGATTTGGCTCTATGTTTGTCTGTTCTTGGAGTATAGGAATGCTTGTAATTTTTGCACATTGATTTTGTGTGTATTTCTGTGGGATCGGGGATTATATCCCCTTTATCATTTTTTATTGCATCTATTTGATTCTCCTCTCTTTTCTTCTTTATTAGTCTTGCTAGCAGTCTATCAATTTTGTTGATTTTTTCAAAAAAACAGCTCTTGGATTCATTGATTTTTTGAAATTTTTTTTCTGTATCTCTATCTCCTTCAGTTCTGCTCTGATCTTAGTTATTTCTTGCCATCTACTAGCTTTTGAATGTGTTTGCTCTTGCTTCTCTAGTTCTTTTGTGATGTTAGGGTGTCGATTTTAGATCTTTCCTGCTTTCTCTTGTGGGCATTTAGTGCTATAAATTTCCCTCTACACACTGCTTTAAATGTGTCCCAGAGATTCTTGTACATTGTGTCTTTGTTCTTATTGGTTTCAAAGAACATCTTTATTTCTGCCTTTATTTCATTATTTACCCAGTAGTCATTCAGGAGCAGACTGTTCAGTTTCCATGTAGTTGTGTGGTTTTGAGTGAGTTTCTTAATCCTGAGTTCTAATTTGATTGCACTGTGGTCTGAGAGACAGTTTGTTGTGATTTCTGTTCTTTTACATTTGCTGAGGAGTGTTTTACTTCCAGCTATGTGGTCAATTTTGGAGTAGGTGTGGTGTGGTGCTGAGAAGAATGTATATTCTGTTGATTTGGGGTGGAGAGTTCTGTAGATGTCTATTAGGTCTGCTTGGTGCTAAGTTCAAGTCCTGATATCCTTGTTAACCTTCTGTCTCGTTGATCTGTCTAATGTTGACAGTGGGGTGTTAAAGTCTCCCATTATTGTTGTGTGGGAGTCTAAGTCTCTTTGTAGGTCTCTAAGGACTTGCTCTGTGAATCTGGGTGCTCTTGTATTGGGTGCATATATATTTAGGATAGTTAGCTCTTCTTGTTGAACTGATCCCTTTACCATTATGTAATGGCTTCTTCATCTCTTTTGATCTTTGTTGGTTTAAAGTCTGTTTTATCAGAGACTAGGATTGCAACCCCTGCTTTTTTTTTTGTTTTCCATTTGCTTGGTAGATCTTCCTCCATCCCTTTATTTTGAGCCTATGTGTGTCTCTGCACATGAGATGGGTCTCCTGAATACAGCACATTGATGGGTCTTGACTCTGTCCAATTTGCCAGTCTGTGTCTTTTAATTGGGGCACTTAGCCTATTTACATTTAATTTAATATTGTTATGTGTGAATTTGTTCCTGTCATTATGATGTTAGCTGGTTATTTTGCCCATTAGTTGATACAGTTTCTTCCTAGCGTTGATGGTCTTTACAATTTGGCATGTTTTTGCAGTGGCTGGTACCAGTTGTTCCTTTCCATGTTTAGTGCTTCCTTCAGGAGCTCTTATAAGACAGGCCTGGTGGTGAAAAAATCTCTCAGCATTTGTAAAGGATTTTATTTCTCCTTCACTTATGAAGCTTAGTTTGGCTGGATATGAAATTCTGAGTTGAAAATTCTTTTCTTTAAGAACGTTGAATATTGGCCCCCACTCCCTTCTGGCTTGTGGAGTTTCTGCCAAGAAATCCACTGTTAGTCTGATGGGCTTCCCTTTGTGGGTAACCCGATCTTTCTCTCTGGCTGTCCTTAACATTTTTTCCTTCATTTCGACCTTGGTGAATCTGACAATTATGTGTCTTGGGGTTGCTCTTCTCAAGGAGTATCTTTGTGATGTTCTTTGTATCTCCTGAAATTGAATGTTGGCCTGCCTTGCTAGGTTGGGGAAGTTCTCCTGGATAATATCCTGAAGAGTGTTTTCCACCTTGGTTCCATTCTCCCCGTCACTTTCAGGTACACCAATCAGACGTAGATTTGGTCTTTTCACATAGTCCCATATTTCTTGGAGTCTTTGTTCATTTCTTTTTACTCTTTTTTCTCTAAACTTCTCTTCTTGCTTTATTTCATTAATTTGATCTTCAATCACTGATACCCCTTCTTCCACTTGATCGAATCAGCTATTGAAGCTTGTGCATGCGTTATGTAGTTCTTGTGCCATGGTTTTCAGCTCCGTCAGGTCATTTAAGGTCTTCTCTACGCTGTTTATTCTAGTTAGCCATTTGTCTAATCTTAAGGTTTTTAGCTTCCTTGTGATGGGCTCAAACATTCTCCTTTAGCTCGGAGAAGTTTGTTATTACCAACCTTCCGAAGCCCACTTCTGTCAGTGAGAGACAGGACTAGCTGGATTTCCAAGGCCGACTAAGAATCCCTAAGTCTAGCTGGGAAGGTGACTGCATCCACCTTTAAACATGGGGCTTTCAACTTAGCTCACACCCGACCAATCAGGTAGTAAAGAGAGCTCACTAAAATGCTACTAATTAGGCAAAAGCAGGAGGTAAAGAAATAGCCAATCATCAAATGCCTGAGAGCACAGGGGGAGGGACAATGATTGGGATATAAACCCAGGCATTCAAGCAGGCAATGGCAGCCCCGTGTGGGTCCCCTCCCATTGTATGGGAGCTCTGTTTTCACTGTATTACACCAGGATTCCACGGATGGCCCAAATGCATTCAATCTGTAGCAGCAACTGCTTTGTTAACAGAAGAAAGTAGAAAAGTAATTTTTGAGGAAACCTCATTGTGAGCACACCTCACCAGTTTAGAATTATTCTAAGTCAAAAAAGCAAAAAGGTAGCTTACTAACTCAAAAATCTTAAAGTATGGGGCTATTTTGTTAGAAAAAGGTGATTTAACATTAACCACTGAAAATTCCCTTAACCCAGCAGATTTTCTAACAGGGGATTTAAATCTTCATTACCATACAAAGGTCCAACCAGACCTAGTAGGAACTCCCTTCAGAACAGGATGATAGATGGTTCCTCCCGGGTGATTGAGGGAAAAAAAACCACAACGGGTATTCAGTAATTGATAGGGAGACTCTTGTGGAAGCAGAGTTAGGAAAATTGCCTAATAATTGGTCTGCTCAAACAAGAGCTGTTTGCACTCAGCCAAACCTTAAAGTACTTACAGAATCGAAAAGAGTCTATCTCAATCTTGACTCAAAATGTTACCTACACCCTCTCTGAAGTGAATTTGCATAAGAACTATTGTTTATGGGAATGCATCTTGATGGGGCAGCTAGGTTGTTATGAAATACTCAGGAACTCAGCCCAGCTCTAGAACTCACCTCTGAGCGCAAAGGCAATGTTGTGCACACTGGTAAAGGACCACTAGAATCCAGCAGCCCGGACCCCTTTATCTGTGGTCAAGAAAGGTGGGAAAACAGGTGCACGACTGCTACATTGGTGAGCATAACTAATCCGATAAGCAGAGGTCCATGGATGGTTACGCACCCTGGAAAGGAATAAGCATTAGGACCATAGAGGACACTCTATGACTAATGCTCATTGGAAAATGACTAGGGGTGCTGGCATCTCTCTGTCTTTTTCCAGATGGGAAACGTTTCCCTCAAGGCAAAAATGCCCCCTAAGATGTATTCTGGA